>NT_187600.1:0-337848 GCF_000001405.40 Homo sapiens | reverse complement strand
ACCCATAAAAATTCTGTAAAATAAAATATATAAAAAGAGGTGACAGATATGGAAGACAGGCAAAGAAGAGACGACATCCACATAATCCGAGTACCTAAGAAAGAATGGAGTCCAGTGCATCTCAGGAGCCACCATTCTAAGCCAATTTTCTCTGGTTCTCTCAGTCACCCTACTAATACGTGGGCAATCTTGTTTTATTTCAGGATAGAGTTTTTGAAATTATAGATTTAAGTATGCTTTCTGTTCTATTACTTTTGGTAATTAATTTTAGAAAGAACTAATTTGGGCACAAATTTGAAAAAATTCTAAATCCAAAAAAAAAAAGAAAAAAACACACACACAATCATCTATAAGGGGGATGATGACCAGTCCTAGATTTCTCACCAGCCACATTCAAGATCAGTAAATGGTAGGACAAAACCTGTAGGGTCCTTAAGGGGGAAAGAAGTAGTGGATAGTCCAGAGTCTATATACAGCCAACTGTTCTTGAAGAAAAAAGGCTGCTGAAAAGGAGTTCCAAACATTCTATAATCCATAATCTCATGATGAAACTACTAGAGGAAGACCACCAGCCATCAAAAGGTGCTTGGAGAACCCAGGGCCAAGAACCAAAAGTAAATATTAAGTGTCCTTAACTGCGAGACTAAGATAGAAATGACTGTGGGGGACCATGTGGCCTCAACAGAGGTGAAATGGTGTCTGCCTGACAAAGTGGACATTTTACAATGATCAAAACACAGAATATGAGATAGAGAGCACTTCTGAATTACTGCCTCACTCCAAATAACTCTCAGCCAAAGGACTTCAGTAAAACCAAATTGGGCATATTAGACAGTACAAACAAATTCTAAGAAAATAATATTACTGATTACAATCACATGATGCTAGAGATGGAGGGGAAAAGGAAGAGGAAACCAGGTAATTTCATACTCGTATATAGTAAAGAACTAAAGTACATTGTCCAAAGAAGAACAAAGAATATTTTGGAAAGTTATAAAGGTAGCCACTACACATAGAAGATAGCAAAGAACAAGAAAACTTAAGATGGAAAACTTTTTGGAAGCATAAAAATAGAAAATATAAACTACTAAGATAAGATTGAAGCCAAACAGATCTATGAAAACAACAAACATCAATGGCCTTAACTTGCCTATTAAAAGGAAGAGACTTTCAAATTGGACCACAAGATAAAACCCAACTCTATATAGCATATGAGTATTACACACAAAATGGGAAAAGCTGAAAAAACTTGGGCAAAATTCACCCCAAGCAAATTCCACTGTTTCCTTTGGGACAAAATGCCAAGCTCCATGCCAGGGAAGATGATTCTCCTCAGACCTTCTCCTCACTCTCCCAGTCCTCTTAGGGAAGGAATTGGGTGTTAGAGGAGGGAGACTCTGTCGATTATCAGCTGAAGCAGTGGTGTGCTCCTGCGTTGCTTCTGACCTGGGAAATGAAGCAGCAAGACTCTTTCTGCTGTGTCTTTGCCCAGAAGGGCCATCCCCCCAGAGCAGAGTACCCAGGCCGGCAGGAGCAGTGGTGGAAGCGTGGAAACCACGTCTCCTACAGCAGAGACCATCAGAAGCGGAGCCTCGGGTATAAGGGAAACAACGCGTTCTCCCTAACCTGGGAGTGACAGACAGCGTCATTCCTCACAGTGATACCCTGTGTTCTAGCCATCTGGCCCATGACAGAGCCAGCCCAGAGCCAGCCCAGAGCCAGCCCCTCACCAACCTGGAGCCTGGCCAGCTCGCCAAGCTGCACCATAGGCCTGGAAGGCGTGGAGACCTGCGGCAGTGCCCTGTCCTCCCGTGAGGCCTGCCATCCCTGCCAGGGGTCGCCTCTGGCTTCTCCTCCAGGACCGCACGGTCCAGAGGCTCAGTGCCTGGAGTAGGTGTTGCCCCCCTGCTTCTAGGCCCAGACCCTCCCTTGTTCCTGACCCCGGGCCTTTCCCTCTGGCTTGGACATCCAGGGCCCTGTCTCAGCTGGGGAGCTGCTCCTGCTCAAGGACTGTCTTCCGCGGGATCGAAAGGCCGCGTCCTGAACAATGCGTGGGCCACGTGAGCGGAGCAGGCTCTAAAGGCCGCGTCCTAAACAGTGCGTGGGCCACGTGAGCGGAGCAGGCTCTAAAGGCCGCGTCCTAAACAGTGCGTGGGCCACGTGAGCGGAGCAGGCTCTAAAGGCCGCGTCCTAAACAGTGCGTGGGCCACGTGAGCGGAGCAGGCTCTAAAGGCCGCGTCCTAAACAGTGCGTGGGCCACGTGAGCGGAGCAGGCTCTAAAGGCCGCGTCCTAAACAGTGCGTGGGCCACGTGAGCGGAGCAGGCTCTAAAGGCCGCGTCCTAAACAGTGCGTGGGCCACGGGAGCGGAGCAGACTCTAAAGGCCGCGTCCTAAACAGTGCGTGGGCCACGTGAGCGGAGCAGGCTCTAAAGGCCGCGTCCTAAACAGTGCGTGGGCCACGTGAGCGGAGCAGGCTCTAAAGGCCGCGTCCTAAACAGTGCGTGGGCCACGTGAGCGGAGCAGGCTCTAAAGGCCGCGTCCTAAACAGTGCGTGGGCCACGTGAGCGGAGCAGGCTCTAAAGGCCGCGTCCTAAACAGTGCGTGGGCCACGGGAGCGGAGCAGACTCTAAAGGCCGCGTCCTAAACAGTGTGTGGGCCACGTGAGCGGAGCAGGCTCTAAAGGCCGCGTCCTAAACAGTGCGTGGGCCACGGGAGCGGAGCAGACTCTAAAGGCCGCGTCCTAAACAGTGTGTGGGCCACGTGAGCGGAGCGCCCTCTCCACTGCCCTCGGGGCCGCAGCTCCCAGCTCAGCTCCCAGCCCTGCTCAGGGCAGCCAGGCCAGGAGGTACCATCCAGGCTAAGTGACCCTCAGGGGGGACAGGTGCCCCAGGAGATGCCAGCTGTTGGGAGAGGCTGGGGGACCAACTCGACCTGGCCTGTGGGCCCTGCCCTGGCCACCCATTGTAGGATCCAGCCGCCACGCCTGTGACACTCGTGTGCTTTCCCTGGTGTGTGCTTGTGGCAGGTGGGGGCAGAGGGTCCTCAGGCCAGAGAGCCACTCCCCCAGCGCCAGACCACCCTCTTCCTCACTCCCCCACCTCACCCCCTCACAGGTGCCTCCCAGGCCATCAGGGCCCAACCACCCCTAAACAAATGGGTTCTCGGCCCCTCGTGGCTGGAGGTGGGTTCTCTCACCATTCCCAGCCTAAGGCTCCATCCCCATGCTGGCAGCTGTTCAACCATGTCTAGAGAGATCCACTGTCCCAGACAGCACCTCAGGGTCCCCCGTCCTGCCTGGAACCCTGTAGGAAACTCCACAAACCGCCGCCATTCTGTCCACACCCCTACAGGAGCCCCAACCCTCTCCCCACATCCAGGCTTCCCTCCCAGACCCCTCATCCCTGCCCGCACGGTGCCTGAGGGGGCCTTCTTGGGCAGCGCCTAAGCAAGCCCCCAGCACCCTTCGGCCCCTTCAAGGCACACAGGCCCCCTTTCCACCCAGCCTCAGGAAACCACCTGTGTCCTCCAACGACAGGTCCCAGCCTCCCAGCCTTTGCCTTGCCTGTTCCTCTCCCTGGAACTCTGCCCCGACACAGACCCTCCCCAGCAAGCCCGCAGGGGCACCTCCCCTGCCCCCAGACACCCTGTGCCCGTCAGTTCATCCCCAGCAGAGGCCCTCACCAGGCACACCCCCATGCTCACACCTGGCCGCAGGCCTCAGCCTCCCTGAGGGCCCCACCCAGCCCGCGTCTGGCCAGTGGTGCGTGCAAAGCCCCTCACCCAGACTCGGCGGAAGGCAGCCAGTGCAGGCCTGGGGAGGGGCTCTCCTTAGACCACCTTGCACCTTCCCTGGCACCCACCATGGGAAGAGCTGAGACTCACTGAGGACCAGCTGAGGCTCAGAGAAGGGACCCAGCACTGGTGGACACGCAGGGAGCCCACGCCAGGGCGCCGTGGTGAGTGAGGCCCAGTGCCACCCACTGAGGCCTCCCGTTCAGTGGGACGACGGTGAACAGGTGGAACCAACCAGGCAACCCCCGCCGGGCCCCACAGACGGGATCAGAGCAGGAAAGGCTTCCTGCCCCTGCAGGCCAGCGAGGAGCCCTGGCGGGGGCCATGGCCCTCCAGGCGAGGAGGCTCCCCTGGCCACCGCCACCCGGGCCTCTCTGCTGCTGGGAAAACAAGTCAGAAAGCAAGTGGATGAGAGGTGGCGTGACAGACCCAGCTTCAGATCTGCTCTAATTTACAAAAGAAAAGGAAAAACACACTTGGCAGCCTTCAGCACTCTAATGATTCTTAACAGCAGCAAATTATTGGCACAAGACTCCAGAGTGACTGGCAGGGTTGAGGGCTGGGGTCTCCCGCGTGTTTTGGGGCTAACAGCGGAAGGGAGAGCACTGGCAAAGGTGCTGGGGGCCCCTGGACCCGACCCGCCCTGGAGACCGCAGCCACATCAGCCCCCAGCCCCACAGGCCCCCTACCAGCCGCAGGGTTTTGGCTGAGCTGAGAACCACTGTGCTAACTGGGGACACAGTGATTGGCAGCTCTACAAAAACCATGCTCCCCCGGGACCCCGGGCTGTGGGTTTCTGTAGCCCCTGGCTCAGGGCTGACTCACCGTGGCTGAATACTTCCAGCACTGGGGCCAGGGCACCCTGGTCACCGTCTCCTCAGGTGAGTCTGCTGTCTGGGGATAGCGGGGAGCCAGGTGTACTGGGCCAGGCAAGGGCTTTGGCTTCAGACTTGGGGACAGGTGCTCAGCAAAGGAGGTCGGCAGGAGGGCGGAGGGTGTGTTTTTGTATGGGAGAAGCAGGAGGGCAGAGGCTGTGCTACTGGTACTTCGATCTCTGGGGCCGTGGCACCCTGGTCACTGTCTCCTCAGGTGAGTCCCACTGCAGCCCCCTCCCAGTCTTCTCTGTCCAGGCACCAGGCCAGGTATCTGGGGTCTGCAGCCGGCCTGGGTCTGGCCTGAGGCCACACCAGCTGCCATCCCTGGGGTCTCCGCCATGGGCTGCATGCCAGAGCCCTGCTGTCACTTAGCCCTGGGGCCAGCTGGAGCCCCCAAGGACAGGCAGGGACCCCGCTGGGCTTCAGCCCCGTCAGGGACCCTCCACAGGTAGCAAGCAGGCCGAGGGCAGGGACGGGAAGGAGAAGTTGTGGGCAGAGCCTGGGCTGGGGCTGGGCGCTGGCTGTTCATGTGCCGGGGACCAGGCCTGCGCTTTAGTGTGGCTACAAGTGCTTGGAGCACTGGGGCCAGGGCAGCCCGGCCACCGTCTCCCTGGGAACGTCACCCCTCCCTGCCTGGGTCTCAGCCCGGGGGTCTGTGTGGCTGGGGACAGGGACGCCGGCTGCCTCTGCTCTGTGCTTGGGCCATGTGACCCATTCGAGTGTCCTGCACGGGCACAGGTTTATGTCTGGGCAGGAACAGGGACTGTGTCCCTGTGTGATGCTTTTGATATCTGGGGCCAAGGGACAATGGTCACCGTCTCTTCAGGTAAGATGGCTTTCCTTCTGCCTCCTTTCTCTGGGCCCAGCGTCCTCTGTCCTGGAGCTGGGAGATAATGTCCGGGGGCTCCTTGGTCTGCGCTGGGCCATGTGGGGCCCTCCGGGGCTCCTTCTCCGGCTGTTTGGGACCACGTTCAGCAGAAGGCCTTTCTTTGGGAACTGGGACTCTGCTGCTGGGGCAAAGGGTGGGCAGAGTCATGCTTGTGCTGGGGACAAAATGACCTTGGGACACGGGGCTGGCTGCCACGGCCGGCCCGGGACAGTCGGAGAGTCAGGTTTTTGTGCACCCCTTAATGGGGCCTCCCACAATGTGACTACTTTGACTACTGGGGCCAGGGAACCCTGGTCACCGTCTCCTCAGGTGAGTCCTCACAACCTCTCTCCTGCTTTAACTCTGAAGGGTTTTGCTGCATTTTTGGGGGGAAATAAGCGTGCTGGGTCTCCTGCCAAGAGAGCCCCGGAGCAGCCTGGGGGGCTCAGGAGGATGCCCTGAGGCAACAGCGGCCACACAGACGAGGGGCAAGGGCTCCAGATGCTCCTTCCTCCTGAGCCCAGCAGCACGGGTCTCTCTGTGGCCAGGGCCACCCTGGGCCTCTGGGGTCCAATGTCCAACAACCCCCGGGCCCTCCCCGGGCTCAGTCTGAGAGGGTCCCAGGGACTTAGCGGGGTGCCAGTTCTTGCCTGGGGTCCTGGCATTGTTGTCACAATGTGACAACTGGTTCGACCCCTGGGGCCAGGGAACCCTGGTCACCGTCTCCTCAGGTGAGTCCTCACCACCCCCTCTCTGAGTCCACTTAGGGAGACTCAGCTTGCCAGGGTCTCAGGGTCAGAGTCTTGGAGGCATTTTGGAGGTCAGGAAAGAAAGCTGGGGAGAGGGACCCTTCGAATGGGAACCCAGCCTGTCCTCCCCAAGTCCGGCCACAGATGTCGGCAGCTGGGGGGCTCCTTCGGCTGGTCTGGGGTGACCTCTCTCCGCTTCACCTGGAGCATTCTCAGGGGCTGTCGTGATGATTGCGTGGTGGGACTCTGTCCCGCTCCAAGGCACCCGCTCTCTGGGACGGGTGCCCCCCGGGGTTTTTGGACTCCTGGGGGTGACTTAGCAGCCGTCTGCTTGCAGTTGGACTTCCCAGGCCGACAGTGGTCTGGCTTCTGAGGGGTCAGGCCAGAATGTGGGGTACGTGGGAGGCCAGCAGAGGGTTCCATGAGAAGGGCAGGACAGGGCCACGGACAGTCAGCTTCCATGTGACGCCCGGAGACAGAAGGTCTCTGGGTGGCTGGGTTTTTGTGGGGTGAGGATGGACATTCTGCCATTGTGATTACTACTACTACTACTACATGGACGTCTGGGGCAAAGGGACCACGGTCACCGTCTCCTCAGGTAAGAATGGCCACTCTAGGGCCTTTGTTTTCTGCTACTGCCTGTGGGGTTTCCTGAGCATTGCAGGTTGGTCCTCGGGGCATGTTCCGAGGGGACCTGGGCGGACTGGCCAGGAGGGGATGGGCACTGGGGTGCCTTGAGGATCTGGGAGCCTCTGTGGATTTTCCGATGCCTTTGGAAAATGGGACTCAGGTTGGGTGCGTCTGATGGAGTAACTGAGCCTGGGGGCTTGGGGAGCCACATTTGGACGAGATGCCTGAACAAACCAGGGGTCTTAGTGATGGCTGAGGAATGTGTCTCAGGAGCGGTGTCTGTAGGACTGCAAGATCGCTGCACAGCAGCGAATCGTGAAATATTTTCTTTAGAATTATGAGGTGCGCTGTGTGTCAACCTGCATCTTAAATTCTTTATTGGCTGGAAAGAGAACTGTCGGAGTGGGTGAATCCAGCCAGGAGGGACGCGTAGCCCCGGTCTTGATGAGAGCAGGGTTGGGGGCAGGGGTAGCCCAGAAACGGTGGCTGCCGTCCTGACAGGGGCTTAGGGAGGCTCCAGGACCTCAGTGCCTTGAAGCTGGTTTCCATGAGAAAAGGATTGTTTATCTTAGGAGGCATGCTTACTGTTAAAAGACAGGATATGTTTGAAGTGGCTTCTGAGAAAAATGGTTAAGAAAATTATGACTTAAAAATGTGAGAGATTTTCAAGTATATTAATTTTTTTAACTGTCCAAGTATTTGAAATTCTTATCATTTGATTAACACCCATGAGTGATATGTGTCTGGAATTGAGGCCAAAGCAAGCTCAGCTAAGAAATACTAGCACAGTGCTGTCGGCCCCGATGCGGGACTGCGTTTTGACCATCATAAATCAAGTTTATTTTTTTAATTAATTGAGCGAAGCTGGAAGCAGATGATGAATTAGAGTCAAGATGGCTGCATGGGGGTCTCCGGCACCCACAGCAGGTGGCAGGAAGCAGGTCACCGCGAGAGTCTATTTTAGGAAGCAAAAAAACACAATTGGTAAATTTATCACTTCTGGTTGTGAAGAGGTGGTTTTGCCCAGGCCCAGATCTGAAAGTGCTCTACTGAGCAAAACAACACCTGGACAATTTGCGTTTCTAAAATAAGGCGAGGCTGACCGAAACTGAAAAGGCTTTTTTTAACTATCTGAATTTCATTTCCAATCTTAGCTTATCAACTGCTAGTTTGTGCAAACAGCATATCAACTTCTAAACTGCATTCATTTTTAAAGTAAGATGTTTAAGAAATTAAACAGTCTTAGGGAGAGTTTATGACTGTATTCAAAAAGTTTTTTAAATTAGCTTGTTATCCCTTCATGTGATAATTAATCTCAAATACTTTTTCGATACCTCAGAGCATTATTTTCATAATGACTGTGTTCACAATCTTTTTAGGTTAACTCGTTTTCTCTTTGTGATTAAGGAGAAACACTTTGATATTCTGATAGAGTGGCCTTCATTTTAGTATTTTTCAAGACCACTTTTCAACTACTCACTTTAGGATAAGTTTTAGGTAAAATGTGCATCATTATCCTGAATTATTTCAGTTAAGCATGTTAGTTGGTGGCATAAGAGAAAACTCAATCAGATAGTGCTGAAGACAGGACTGTGGAGACACCTTAGAAGGACAGATTCTGTTCCGAATCACCGATGCGGCGTCAGCAGGACTGGCCTAGCGGAGGCTCTGGGAGGGTGGCTGCCAGGCCCGGCCTGGGCTTTGGGTCTCCCCGGACTACCCAGAGCTGGGATGCGTGGCTTCTGCTGCCGGGCCGACTGGCTGCTCAGGCCCCAGCCCTTGTTAATGGACTTGGAGGAATGATTCCATGCCAAAGCTTTGCAAGGCTCGCAGTGACCAGGCGCCCGACATGGTAAGAGACAGGCAGCCGCCGCTGCTGCATTTGCTTCTCTTAAAACTTTGTATTTGACGTCTTATTTCCACTAGAAGGGGAACTGGTCTTAATTGCTTGATGAAGAGCAGGAGACTCATTTATGTGAGTCTTTTGAGTGACCATTGTCTGGGTCACTCCCATTTAACTTTCCCTAAAGCCCATTTGAAGGAGAGGTCGCACGAGCTGCTCCACAACCTCTGAATGGGGATGGCATGGGTAATGATGCTTGAGAACATACCAAGCCCCACTGGCATCGCCCTTGTCTAAGTCATTGACTGTAGGTCATCATCGCACCCTTGAAAGTAGCCCATGCCTTCCAAAGCGATTTATGGTAAATGGCAGAATTTTAAGTGGCAAATTCAGATAAAATGCATTTCTTGGTTGTTTCCAATGATGACTGTTATCTAGAGGGAATTTAAAGGCAGGGGTTTACTGCAGACTCAGAAGGGAGGGGATGCTCCGGGAAGGTGGAGGCTCTGAGCATCTCAATACCCTCCTCTTGGTGCAGAAGATATGCTGCCACTTCTAGAGCAAGGGGACCTGCTCATTTTTATCACAGCACAGGCTCCTAAATTCTTGGTCTCATTCTCAAGATGTTTTAATGACTTTAAAGCAGCAAAGAAATATTCCACCCAGGTAGTGGAGGGTGGTAATGATTGGTAATGCTTTGGAACCAAAACCCAGGTGGCGCTGGGGCAGGACTGCAGGGAACTGGGGTATCAAGTAGAGGGAGACAAAAGATGGAAGCCAGCCTGGCTGTGCAGGAACCCGGCAATGAGATGGCTTTAGCTGAGACAAGCAGGTCTGGTGGGCTGACCATTTCTGGCCATGACAACTCCATCCAGCTTTCAGAAATGGACTCAGATGGGCAAAACTGACCTAAGCTGACCTAGACTAAACAAGGCTGAACTGGGCTGAGCTGAGCTGAACTGGGCTGAGTTGAACTGGGTTGAGCTGAGCTGAGCTGAGCTGGGCTAAGTTGCACCAGGTGAGCTGAGCTGAGCTGGGCTTGGCTGCACTAAGCTGGGCTGAGCTGGGCTGAGCTGGGCAGGGCTGGGCTGAGCTGAGCTGGGCTGGGCTGAGCTGGGCTGGGCTGGGCTGGGCTGAGCGGGTCTGAGCGGGGCTGAGCTGAGCTAGGCTGGGCTGGGCTGAGCTGGGCTGAGCTGGGCTGAGCTGGGCTGAGCAAGGCTAGGCTGAGCTGGGCTGAGCTGAGCTGGGCTGAGCAAGGCTAGGCTGAGCTGAGCTGAGCTGGGCTGCGCTGAGCTGGGCTGGGCTGCGCTGAGCTGGGCTGGGCTGAGCTGGGCTAGGCTGGGCTGAGCTGGGCTGAGCTAGGCTGGGCTGGGCTGGGCTGAGCGGGGCTGAGCGGGGCTGAGCTGAGCTAGGCTGGGCTGAGCGGGGCTGAGCTGAGCTAGGCTGGGCTGGGCTGGGCTGAGCCAAGCTGAACCGGGTTGAGCGTGCTGTGCTGGGCTGAGCCAAGCTAGGCTGAGCTGAGCCAAGTTGAGCTTAGCTGGGCTGAGCTAACCTGGGCAGGGCTGAGCTGGGCTGAGCTAACCTGGACTGGGGCTGAGCTAACCTGGGCAGAGCTGAGCTGGGCTGAGCTAACCTGGGCTGGGGCTGAGCTAACCTGGGCTGGGCTCAGCTGAGCTGAGCTACGCTGGGCTGGGCTGGGCTGAGCCGAGCTGAACTGGGCTGAGCAGGCTGTGTCGGGCTGAGCCAAGCTGGGCCGAGCTCAGCAGAGCTGAGCCGAGCTGAGCTTAGCTGGGCTGAGCTAACCAGGGCTGGGCTGAGCTGGGCTGAGCTGAGCTGAGCTGAACTGGGCTGAACGGGCTGAGGCGAGCAGGGCCGAGCTGAGCAGAGCTAAGCCGAGGCTGGGCTGGGCTAACCTGGGCTGGGCCGAGCTGAGCAGAGCTAAGCCGAGGCTGGGCTGGGCTAACCTGGGCTGGGCTGAGCTGAGCTGGGTTGGGCAGGGCTGGGCTGGGCTGAGCTAAGCTGAACTAGGGTGAGCTGGGCCGAGCCAGGCTGGTTTGGGCTGAGTTGAGCTGACCTGGACTGGGGCTGAGCTAACCTGGGCTGGGCTCAGCTGAGCTGAGCTACGCTGGGCTGGGCTGGGCTGAGCCGAGCTGAACTGGGCTGAGCAGGTTGTATCAGGCTAAGCCAAGCTGGGCCAAGCTCAGCAGAGCCGAGCCGAGCTGAGCTTAGCTGGGCTGAGCTAACCAGGGCTGGGCTGAGCTGGGCTGAGCTGAGCTGAGCTGAACTGGGCTGAACGGGCTGAGGCGAGCAGGGCCGAGCTGAGCAGAGCTAAGCCGAGGCTGGGCTGGGCTAACCTGGGCTGGGCTGAGCTGAGCTGGGTTGGGCAAGGCTGGGCTGGGTTGAGTTGGGCTGAGCTAAGCTGAGCTAGGGTGAGCTGGGCTGAGCCAGGCTGGATTGGGCTGAGTTGAGCTGACCTCAACTGAGCTGACCTAGGCTGAGCTGAGCTGAGCTGAAGTAGGCTGTGCTGGGCTGAGCTGGGATGACCTGGGCTGGGCTGAGCTGATTTGGGCTGGGTTGAGCAGACCTGGGCTGAGCCGGGTTGAGCTGAGCTGAACCAGGATGAGCTGGGCTGAGCTGAGCTGGGCTGGGTGGTCCAGGCTGGGCTGACCTGGACCAGGCTGGGCCAGGTTGAGCTGGGCTAAGCCGAGCTGAGCTGAGCTGAGCTGGGATGATCTGGGCTGGGCTGGGCTGGGCTGAGCTGACCTGGGCTGGGCTGGGCTGAGCTGAGCTGAGCTGAGTTAAGCTGAGCTGAGCTGAACTGGGCTGTGCTGAGCTAGGCTGGGCTGGGCTGAGCTGGGCTGGGCTGGGCTGAGCCAGATTGTGCCTGGCTGAACTGAGCTGGGCTAAGCTGAGCTGGGCTGAGCTGGGCTGAGCTGAGCTGGGCTGAGTGGGGCGGGGCTGAGCTGAGCCGGACTGGGCTGGGCTGGGCTCAGCTGAGCTGAGCTGAACTGGGCTGGGCTGAACTGGGCTGGGCTGAGCTGAGCTGAACTGGGCTGGGCTGAACTGGGCTGGGCTGAGCTGAGCTTGGATGAGCTGGGCTGAACTGGGCTGGGTTGAGCTGGGCTGGGCTGAGTTGAGCCAGACTGATCTGGGCTGAGCCGAGCTGGGTTAAGCCGAGCTGGGTTGGGCTGGGCTGGGTTGGGCTGGGCTGAGCCGGACTGGGTTGGGCTGAGCTGAGCTGGACTGGGCTGAGCTGAGCTGGTCTGGGCTGGCTGAGCTGAGCTGTGTTGAGCCAAGCTAGGCTGGGCTGGGCTGAGCTGGGCTGAACTGGGCTGAGCGGAGCTGAGCTGAGCTGGGCTGGGTTGAGCAGAGCTGGGGGCTGAGCTGGGCTGGGCTGGGCTGAGTTAAGCTGGGCTGACCTGGGCTGAGTTAAGCTGGGCTGACCTGGGCTGAGCTAAGCTGGGTTGAGCCGATCCGGGCTGGGCTGGGCTGGGCTGAGCCAGGCTAGGTTGAGCTGGGCTGGGCTGGGCTCTGCTGTGCTGTGCTGAACAGGGCTGAGCTGAACTGAGCTGAGCTGGGCTGAGCTGGGCTCTGCTGTGCTGTGCTGAGCAGGGCTGAGCTGAACTGTGCTGAGCTGGGTTGAGCTAAGCTAGGCTGGGCTGGGCTGAGCTGGGATGAGCTGGGCTGGGCTGGGCTGGGCTCTGCTGTGCTGTGCTGAACAGGGCTGAGCTGAACTGAGCTGAGCTGGGCTGAGCTGAGCTCTGCTGTGCTGTGCTGAGCAGGGCTGAGCTGAACTGGGCTGAGCTGGGCTGAGCCGGGCTGAGTTGAGCAGAGCTGGGTTGAGCAGAGCTGGGCTGGGCTGGGCTGAGTTGAGCCAGGCTGACCTGGGCTGAGCCAAGCTGGGTTGAGCCAAACTGGGCTGGGCTGGGCTGAGCCAGGCTGGATTGAGCTGGGCTGGGCTGGGCTAAGCTGGGCTGTGCTGCACTGAGCTGGGCTGAGCTGGGTTGAACTGTGCTGAGCTGAGCTGGGCTGTGCTGAACTATGCTTAGCTGGGCTGGGCTATACTGGGCTTAGCTGGGCTGGGCTAAACTGGGCTTAGCTGGGCTGGGCTATACTGGGCTTAGCTGGGCTGGGCTATACTGGGCTTAGCTGGGCTGGGCTATACTGGGCTTAGCTGGGCTGGGCTGAGCTGAGATGGTCTTAGGTGGTCTGAGCTCAGCTAGGCTGGGCTGAGCTGGTCTGAGCTCATCTGAGTTGGGCTGAGCTGAGCTTGGCTTTGCTGAGCTGGGGTGGGGTGGGCTGGGCTGGATTGAGCTGGCCTGGGCTGGGATGAACTGGATTGAGCTGGCCTGGGCTGGGATGAACTGGAGGACATGGCACTGGGCCAATCTTCATGATCTTGTTGGACATAGATGGATAGCCTCAGCTGAGTCTACACTGCGTTCCCCATCACACTCACCCTCCCTATACTCACTCCCAGGCCTGGGTTGTCTGCCTGGGGAGACTTCAGGGTAGCTGGAGTGTGACTGAGCTGGGGGCAGCAGAAGCTGGGCTGGAGGGACTCTATTGGCTGCCTGCGGGGTGTGTGGCTCCAGGCTTCACATTCAGGTATGCAACCTGGGCCCTCCAGCTGCATGTGCTGGGAGCTGAGTGTGTGCAGCACCTACGTGCTGATGCCTCGGGGGAAAGCAGGCCTGGTCCACCCAAACCTGAGCCCTCAGCCATTCTGAGCAGGGAGCCAGGGGCAGTCAGGCCTCAGAGTGCAGCAGGGCAGCCAGCTGAATGGTGGCAGGGATGGCTCAGCCTGCTCCAGGAGACCCCAGGTCTGTCCAGGTGTTCAGTGCTGGGCCCTGCAGCAGGATGGGCTGAGGCCTGCAGCCCCAGCAGCCTTGGACAAAGACCTGAGGCCTCACCACGGCCCCGCCACCCCTGATAGCCATGACAGTCTGGGCTTTGGAGGCCTGCAGGTGGGCTCGGCCTTGGTGGGGCAGCCACAGCGGGACGCAAGTAGTGAGGGCACTCAGAACGCCACTCAGCCCCGACAGGCAGGGCACGAGGAGGCAGCTCCTCACCCTCCCTTTCTCTTTTGTCCTGCGGGTCCTCAGGGAGTGCATCCGCCCCAACCCTTTTCCCCCTCGTCTCCTGTGAGAATTCCCCGTCGGATACGAGCAGCGTGGCCGTTGGCTGCCTCGCACAGGACTTCCTTCCCGACTCCATCACTTTCTCCTGGAAATACAAGAACAACTCTGACATCAGCAGCACCCGGGGCTTCCCATCAGTCCTGAGAGGGGGCAAGTACGCAGCCACCTCACAGGTGCTGCTGCCTTCCAAGGACGTCATGCAGGGCACAGACGAACACGTGGTGTGCAAAGTCCAGCACCCCAACGGCAACAAAGAAAAGAACGTGCCTCTTCCAGGTGAGGGCCGGGCCCAGCCACCGGGACAGAGAGGGAGCCGAAGGGGGCGGGAGTGGCGGGCACCGGGCTGACACGTGTCCCTCACTGCAGTGATTGCTGAGCTGCCTCCCAAAGTGAGCGTCTTCGTCCCACCCCGCGACGGCTTCTTCGGCAACCCCCGCAAGTCCAAGCTCATCTGCCAGGCCACGGGTTTCAGTCCCCGGCAGATTCAGGTGTCCTGGCTGCGCGAGGGGAAGCAGGTGGGGTCTGGCGTCACCACGGACCAGGTGCAGGCTGAGGCCAAAGAGTCTGGGCCCACGACCTACAAGGTGACCAGCACACTGACCATCAAAGAGAGCGACTGGCTCGGCCAGAGCATGTTCACCTGCCGCGTGGATCACAGGGGCCTGACCTTCCAGCAGAATGCGTCCTCCATGTGTGTCCCCGGTGAGTGACCTGTCCCCAGGGGCAGCACCCACCGACACACAGGGGTCCACTCGGGTCTGGCATTCGCCACCCCGGATGCAGCCATCTACTCCCTGAGCCTTGGCTTCCCAGAGCGGCCAAGGGCAGGGGCTCGGGCGGCAGGACCCCTGGGCTCGGCAGAGGCAGTTGCTACTCTTTGGGTGGGAACCATGCCTCCGCCCACATCCACACCTGCCCCACCTCTGACTCCCTTCTCTTGACTCCAGATCAAGACACAGCCATCCGGGTCTTCGCCATCCCCCCATCCTTTGCCAGCATCTTCCTCACCAAGTCCACCAAGTTGACCTGCCTGGTCACAGACCTGACCACCTATGACAGCGTGACCATCTCCTGGACCCGCCAGAATGGCGAAGCTGTGAAAACCCACACCAACATCTCCGAGAGCCACCCCAATGCCACTTTCAGCGCCGTGGGTGAGGCCAGCATCTGCGAGGATGACTGGAATTCCGGGGAGAGGTTCACGTGCACCGTGACCCACACAGACCTGCCCTCGCCACTGAAGCAGACCATCTCCCGGCCCAAGGGTAGGCCCCACTCTTGCCCCTCTTCCTGCACTCCCTGGGACCTCCCTTGGCCTCTGGGGCATGGTGGAAAGCACCCCTCACTCCCCCGTTGTCTGGGCAACTGGGGAAAAGGGGACTCAACCCCAGCCCACAGGCTGGTCCCCCCACTGCCCCGCCCTCACCACCATCTCTGTTCACAGGGGTGGCCCTGCACAGGCCCGATGTCTACTTGCTGCCACCAGCCCGGGAGCAGCTGAACCTGCGGGAGTCGGCCACCATCACGTGCCTGGTGACGGGCTTCTCTCCCGCGGACGTCTTCGTGCAGTGGATGCAGAGGGGGCAGCCCTTGTCCCCGGAGAAGTATGTGACCAGCGCCCCAATGCCTGAGCCCCAGGCCCCAGGCCGGTACTTCGCCCACAGCATCCTGACCGTGTCCGAAGAGGAATGGAACACGGGGGAGACCTACACCTGCGTGGTGGCCCATGAGGCCCTGCCCAACAGGGTCACCGAGAGGACCGTGGACAAGTCCACCGGTAAACCCACCCTGTACAACGTGTCCCTGGTCATGTCCGACACAGCTGGCACCTGCTACTGACCCTGCTGGCCTGCCCACAGGCTCGGGGCGGCTGGCCGCTCTGTGTGTGCATGCAAACTAACCGTGTCAACGGGGTGAGATGTTGCATCTTATAAAATTAGAAATAAAAAGATCCATTCAAAAGATACTGGTCCTGAGTGCACGATGCTCTGGCCTACTGGGGCGGCGGCTGTGCTGCACCCACCCTGCGCCTCCCCTGCAGAACACCTTCCTCCACAGCCCCCACCCCTGCCTCACCCACCTGCGTGCCTCAGTGGCTTCTAGAAACCCCTGAATTCCCTGCAGCTGCTCACAGCAGGCTGACCTCAGACTTGCCATTCCTCCTACTGCTTCCAGAAAGAAAGCTGAAAGCAAGGCCACACGTATACAGGCAGCACACAGGCATGTGTGGATACACATGGACAGACACGGACACACACAAACACATGGACACACAGAGACGTGCTAACCCATGGGCACACACATACACAGACATGGACCCACACACAAACATATGTGGACACACATGTACAAACATGCACAGGCACACAAAGAGAACACTGACTACAGGCACACACACACACGGGCACACACATGGATATGTGCACACATGGACACATACATGTGCAGGACATGCACACACACAGACACACTAGCACAGAGGCATACACACACAGACACACACATTCACAAACACACATGTGCATGCAAACACACACACATGTACAGACACAAGTACATGGACACATGCACACCCAGAGACACACTGACACAGACACACAGGAGCATGTGATACACTAACACGTGGACACACACGTCTACCCACAGGCACACAACAGATGGACACGCGTACACAGACATGCACACACCCACAGGCACAACACGTGCGCATGCCGGCCGGCCCCCGCCAACATTCTCCCAGGGCCCTGCCGGATACTCTGTCCCTGCAGCAGTTTGCTCCCTGCGCTGTGCTGGCACCGGGGCTTTGGGCCCAGGCTCTGCTTGTCCTTCTGTCTCTGCTTGGAGGTGCTGCCATGGCACCCAGCTTGTGCTCTGCCTGGGGAGCGGAGGCCCCAGGGATAGCATGTGACCCCTGCTGAGGCCAGGCTCCTGATGAAGGCAGCAGATAGCCCCCACACCCACCGGTGAGCAGAACCAGAGCCTGTGCCATGTGCTGAGAGCAGGCAGTGACTAAGCATATGGGCCCAGAGGGCAGAGTGGCTGCCCTGGGCAGCTGCTCCTCTTAGCAGGAGGCCTCAGGAGATGAGCTAGAGCAAGTCTGCCCCTGCAAATACCACCTGCTCCCCAACCCACAGCAGGGAGCAGGCGAGGTCAGACAGCAGCAGCCCGGGAAGGACCGAGCCCCAGCAGGGAAGGCAGGGCCCGAGTGAGGTCTCCACACCCAACGCACAGTGCTGTCTCTAACTGGGGCCACCTCCGAGTCCCCGCCACACTCTTGGCCCTTTGGAGTCCTGGGCTCCAGGTGTCTCCCAAGGGCCCATCTGTGCAGGGGATGCAACCCCCCGAATGTCCTCATCCCACTGTGGAGCTCAGGTCTCTGTCTGCTCCCTGGGTCCTGGCAGGGTAGGACAAGTCCGCCAGGATGTCCCCATGCAGACTCTGCTCCAAGAGGGAGCTGGAGAGTCAGGGCCTTGGTGAGGGAGTCAGGATCGGGTTCCCCCCAGCTCAGTCCTCCCACCTGCCAGCCCCCACAGCACAGGGCAGGGCCACACCCCCTGCTTCCCCCTCCAGGAGAGTCAGGACATGCTGGCCGCTGCTCCGCTGGGGCCCCGCCCTCCAGCCCCCACCTTGGTCTGTGTGCTGCATCCCCCACGCTCTCTCTGCCACCCCAGGACTCTGAGGAAAAGACCTCAGAGTCCCAGCCCTGCCCAGTCTCGGCCTGTGCCCCCGCTGCATCAGGCTTTCAGGGGCCCAGCCCATGCCCTGGGCAGTGCCCGAGCCCCCCTGCACTTGCTCTCCCCACCCCTGGGTGCAGCACAGCCTAGGGGCCAAGGGTGGGCCTAGAGGATGGGCCCCGGGGGGGCTTTGCTGGGTGCCACCCCAGCCTGACCCTATTCCCCCGTGCTGTGTCTCCTGCAGAGGGGGAGGTGAGCGCCGACGAGGAGGGCTTTGAGAACCTGTGGGCCACCGCCTCCACCTTCATCGTCCTCTTCCTCCTGAGCCTCTTCTACAGTACCACCGTCACCTTGTTCAAGGTAGCACGGCTGTGGCACAGGGAGGAGGGTGCAGGGCGAGTGTGGGGCCCAGGGAGCAGCCTGGGCTGGACGTCTAGCCCGGAGGCCCCCACACCACCCCACTGGGTCATCTCTGCCCCGGCTCCCTTCCCGACCACGGGGAAAGCATTTCACACTGTCTCTGTTGCCTGTAGGTGAAATGATCCCAACAGAAGAACATCGGAGACCAGAGAGAGGAACTCAAAGGGGCGCTGCCTCCGGGTCTGGGGTCCTGGCCTGCGTGGCCTGTTGGCACGTGTTTCTCTTCCCCGCCCGGCCTCCAGTTGTGTGCTCTCACACAGGCTTCCTTCTCGACCGGCAGGGGCTGGCTGGCTTGCAGGCCACGAGGTGGGCTCTACCCCACACTGCTTTGCTGTGTATACGCTTGTTGCCCTGAAATAAATATGCACATTTTATCCATGAAACTGCTTTCTGGTGAGGGTTTTTGTTTCTTTTTCAAAACTTTCCTGCTACATGGGCATCTCAAGGGGGACCCCAGTTCCAAAGGGAGCTGTGGAAAAGAGCGCTGGGTCAGCCAGCGCAGGGGGTTTCGAGGAAAGCCACGTGCCCAGGAAAGGGGCCGCAGAAGCAGGTGGGCCAGACTCAGACTCGGGGCATGCCCAGCCTGATGGAAGGAAGGGGACTGAGCAGGAGAGGGTTCCAGGCCTGGTCCTCCAAGCACAGCCTGAATTGAGAGACTGGGGCTCAGGCCTCGGGGGCCTCTGTGTGTGCTCCACATGCCTACAACTGCCCGGGTCACCTTGCCACCCTTCCCAGCAAGCCCAGACAGTTCTTGGCCTTGCCCCAAACCTTCATGATGTGTGGTGCACGCCACCGGGATCCAGGAGGTGCAGGCTGAGCCCTCGAGAGCATGTGGGCCTCACCGGGATCCAGGAGGTGCAGGCTGAGCCCTCGAGAGCATGTGGGCCTGTCTGCACAGTGTGGGGGCCTTGCACTCCACAGGAGCACAGGGGTGGGGTAGCAGTCGCGCCCGTGGCAGGGGAGTGGAAGTTGGAGCAAAAGTTTCAGGTGAACGAGTGTCTTAGTCTAATTGGGCAGCTATCACAAAACACTATCGGCTGCAAAGCTTGAGCAACAGACATTTGCCTCCCACAGCGCTGGAGGCTGAAAGTCTAAGATCAAGGCGCCGGCAACTTCAACGTCTGGCGAGGGCCAATTCCCAGCTCAGAGACGCGCCTCCTCACTGCATCCTCGCGCAGCCGAAGATGGTGAAGGAGCTCTCAGGGTCTCTGTCATACAGGCACTAAGCCCGTCACGAGGGTCTCTCTCATACAGGCACTAAGCCCGTCACGAGGGTCTCTCTCATACAGGCACTAAGCCCGTCACGAGGGTCTCTCTCATACAGGCACTAAGCCCGTCACGAGGGTCTCTCTCATACAGGCACTAAGCCCGTCACGAGGGTCTCTCTCATACAGGCACTAAGCCCGTCACGAGGGTCTCTCTCATACAGGCACTAAGCCCGTCACGAGGGTCTCTCTCATACAGGCACTAAGCCCGTCACGAGGGTCTCTCTCATACAGGCACTAAGCCCGTCACGAGGGTCTCTCTCATACAGGCACTAAGCCCGTCACGAGGTCCTCATCATTGCCCAGATGCTAGGGCTCCCAGTGCCATCCCCTTGTGGATGAGGATGGGGGGCGTGACCATGTCGTCCTTAGAAGCCGTTAGGGAATGCATAGTGGGGAGGACAAGTCTCTGCCATCACCCTGAAGATGGGCAGGTGGTGGCCAGGCTTGGGGCAGTGCCGAAAAATGACTCCCCAGGTAGGTGGGAGCAGGATCAAAGAGCAGGGGATTTTTTCAGAGATGGCAGCCAAGCCAAAGTTGGGGGCTCATGCCAGGAGGCTCACTTGGCCATGGTGCAGTCACCCAGGGGTGACCCACAGTCCATGGCAAAGTCAAGGACAGCAGTGGCTGTGAGACCAGGGTGGAGGCAGGTGGCTGGGGGGAGAGGACCAGGCTGGAAGGACTGGGCAGACCCCAAGGCCATAGAAGTGTCCTAGAGGAAGCATCCAGGATGGCGTCTTGGGAGGGCTCATAAGCTGGGGGCCCAGAAGGAGGACATTTCAGGTTCTGAGGAGCAGCCTGGCACTTGCTCTGAGCCAGCTGTCATGGGTATCTGGGGGCTGCTGGGTACAAGTTGTGTCCCTCCCACTAAATGTGCTCTCCACATGGACCCGGCCCGCCCTTCTGTCCCTGCTGGATCCCTGAGCTGGCACCAGCCCTGCCCTCAGAGACAATGTCCAGGAGACAGGTGGAGGTGCACGTGTGGGTCCCTGGGGAAATCCATCCTCCAACCGTGGGCTCCGAGTCGCCTCCCAGCCTCTCGCTCCAGCTTCACCCCATGTAGCTCATCACAGGCTCAACCTCCCAGCCTGGGGGAGGATGGAGTGAGGAGCCCCACACTGCCCAGGGCACACCCAGGGGGCTGGGGAGTCTGCACTGGGCTGGGGCAGGGAGGCCTCGTGCAGCCTGTGGGGCTGGCAGCTCAGGACAACACTCGTATCCGTTAACTGTGGCCCTGGCAACACTGCACCCCAGACTGCGTGGCTTAAACAACAGACGTTTATTCCGTCCTGGTTCTGGAGGCCGGGCATCTGGGATGGAGGCCTTGGCGGGGCTGGCTCCTCTGTGTCACGGGAGACTCTGTTCCAGGCTCTCTCCCTGCTGCTGGGCTTTGCCGGCCGTCTCTGGTGCTCTTGGCTTATGGAAGCAGCACCATCTTCACAGGGCGTTCTCCACACGTGCTGTCTGTGCCCAGATTCCCCCTTTTCATGAGGACAGCAGTCATATTGGATCAGAGGCTTGCCCTACTCCAGGGTGACCTCATCTGAACTTGATTGCAGCTGCAAAGACTGTTTCCAGACAAGGTCACATTCTGTGGTCCTGGGGGTTAGGACTTCGACACATTAATTTACAGGGGACACATTTTAACCCATGACAGTTTGCCCTCCGTTCCCCCCATAATCATGTCCTTCTCACAGGCAAAATCCCTGCATCCCATAGCAACATCTCCAGAACGGCTGACCCCTTCCAGCACCAACTCTTAGTCCACAATCTCAGCGAAATATCACCTGCATCAAGTGTGGGAGAAACCCAGGGTGAGATTCATTCTGGGTGAAATTCCTCTCCATCTGTGGACCTTTGTAACTTGACAAGAAGTTATCTGCTTCCAAAGTACAATGATGGGGCAGGCATAGGATGGACATTCCTATTCTAAAAGGGATACATAGAAAGGGAGAGAGGAGCCATGGGTCCCAAGCAAGCCCAAACCCAGCAGGGAAAGCTGCATTAGATTTAAGGCTCAAGGCTCATCCTCCTGGGTCCGTGCTCCATCTTCCAGGCCCACTGGGGTGACCCCATGCTCTTCGCCCATGGTGGCCAGAGCCCCCACAGCCTCCTCATCTTTGGCTCTGATCTCAAAGTCACCCTTCCTTCATTTTTTCTGGTCTTCTTTCCCTTCCATCCAATTGGCATTGTTTCTTCTGTTTTACAATTCACAAAATCCTTGTCAGCTTCCCATGAAATTCCTGGGGGTTTGAGTCATCAGACAAGAGAGCCCTGCACAGTTATATCCTCAATAACCTTATCTCTACTCCTGGTTTCTGCTGAGATGGTTGATTGGATCCATAAGTCATGATTCCAATCTCTTTAACAAATGGTTGCCCAGACACATCCTTGGCCTTGTTTCCAGAGCATGCTATTGGACAGGCTGAGAATTTTCCAGCTGTTCAAGTTGTGGGTCCTGTTTACTGAACACTTTCTCTCACTTTTTACTATAAGCAGTCAGGAGAAATCAGGTTGTGCCTTCAACACTTTTCTTAGAAATATCCTCAGCTAAAATCCAGGTTCATCACTTGTAAGTCCTACTTACCATAAATAGAATGCAATTCAGCCAAGTGCTTTGCCACTTTCTAACAAAGGTCACCTTTCCTCCAATTTTCAATAACATCTTCCTCATTTCTGTCTGGGGCCTCACCAGAGGCATCTTTAACATTCACATTTCTAGCAACATTCTGTTTGTGACAATTTATGTATTCTCTAAGATGACAGGAGTTTTCTCTATAGCTCTCCTCTTTCTTTCTGAGCCCCCACCAGGATCACCTTCAATGTCCAAATTTCTACCATAGTCTTCAAGGAAATCTAGGCTTTTTCTAACATGCACCTGAAAACTCTTCTCACCTCTACACATTACCCTATCCCAAATTCATTTCCACAGTTTTAGGTATCAATTAAATCAGATAAATAAATCATTACCCTGAATTATTTCAGTTAAGCATGTTAGTTGGTGGCATAAGAGAAAACTCAGTCAGATAGTGCTGAAGACAGGACTGTGGAGACACCTTAGAAGGACAGATTCTGTTCAGAATCACTGATGCGGCGTCAGCAGGACTGGCCTAGTGGAGGCTCTGGGAGGGTGGCTGCCAGGCCCGGCCTGGGCTTTGGGTCTCCCCGGACTACCCGGAGCTGGGATGCGTGGCTTCTGCCGCCGGGCCGACTGGCTGCTCAGGCCCCAGCCCTTGTTAATGGACTTGGAGGAATGATTCCATGCCAAAGCTTTTGCAAGGTTCGCAGTGACCAGGCACCCGACATGGTAAGAGACAGGCAGCCGCCGCTGCTGCATTCACTTCTCTTAAAACTTTGTATTTGATGTCTTATTTCCACTAGAAGGCGAATTGGTCTTAATTGCTTCTCTTAAGCCACCACTTCTAAAGCCAAAATCTGTTTTAGTTTCTTATGAGCTATTGTAACAAAGTACCACAACTGCATGGCTGAAACAACAGAAGTGTATTCTGTCTCATTTCTGGAGGCCAGGTGTCTGAGATCAAGCTGTGGGCAGGGTTGGCTCCCCTGGGTTGGCAGGGAGAATCTGTTCCAGGTGTCTGTCCTGGCTTTTGTTGGTTTGCTGGAAAGCTTTGGTGTTCCTTGGCTTTTGGAAACAGCTCCTCCGCCTCCATCTTTACCTTCACATGGCATTCTGCCTGCGTGCATGTCTGTGTCTAAATTTCCACTTTGCATAAGGACACCAGCCATATTGGGTCAGAGGCTCACCTGCCTCCAGCGTGACCTCATCTTAACTTGATTGCATCTGCAAAACTCTGCTTCCAAAGAAGGGCACATTCTGAGGCCCTACGGGTCAGAGCTTCAACACGTCCATTTATTTGGAGACACAACTCAACCCATAACAAGACCCATCCCTAGTGTCTCACCAGTGGTGCTGTAGAGGGAGGCCTGGCAGGGCTGACATCCCAGAACCTCAGGGAAAAATGAAAACAGCCCAGAGGGGTCCAAGAGGTGGCTCGAGGAAGGGAATTAGGAACACACTGTTCAGGTGGAAGATTCTGAGATGGGCCGTGAATACTGCCTAGGATGTGGAGGGTTGACAATGGGTTGACAATCCTGCTCAGAAAATCCCAGGATAAAGGATGTAAATGGGGAGAAGAGGAGGGTCATCCAGAATTTGGGAAAGCAGGGCGACAGTTTCTGCCCCAAGGGAGAAGGGAAGGAGGATGGGGCCACCGCCACACCAGATGACCTTGCGTACCAGGCCAAAGAACGGGAACACCTGGCCCCACCTGAGCAGCAATAGTCAGTGTGGTGGTGGGCAGACATGGGTGGAGGCAGGGGGTGAGTAGAAGGTTAGACTAAGACGGAGCACCTGGGGCCTCCAGGGACCCAGGCAAGAACCCTGCACTTGCTCAGCTGCCCTGGGTACCCAGGTCTCCAGGAAAGTGAGGCTGAGAGCCAAGCCCAGCAGGCAGCCACACATTCTGGGACCTGCCACCCTACAGCCTGCTGTCCATGAGTAACACCCCTTACAAGGGGCCAGGTCAGCTCATGGGTTTATCCCAGGCAGCAGAGCCCCTGGGGCCAGGAATCAGGGAGAGGAGCATCCAATCCCACCAGCTCCTCCGGAGCCACTCAGAGGGCCAGACGCATGGCCCTCCACAGGGACCCCATGGCCCCTGCAGGGCAGCTGAGGACCCGTGGCTGGGAGCCTGGGCAGGAGGGTCATACAGCCCTAGGCCCGTTGCTCCCAGGCTTGAGTGCCCCTCCTCCCCTCAGGGGCCCAAGGGAAGTGGGTTCCAGAGAGGTTGGGGGCAGCAGGGAAGGTGGAGGTCCCAGGAATGCCCAGAGGGGCACCAAAGCCTCTGGAGGGAAGACCCCTCCCTTCCAGGAGCTCTCGGCAACAAGAGCCCAGGGTCCACAAAGCCACAGGTCCCACTCGGTTATTCTGACTCACAACACAGGAGCGGCAGCAGGGGCATTCGTGTTCACGGGCCACTTGGTCAGCCCCGCTCACCCTGGGCACTCCTCCTGGGCCCCTTTTCCCTGCCTTCCCTGTCACCCTGCTGCCAGGGTCCTCTGCCCTGCCCTGCCCCTTGTCCTCAGAGCCTCCAGCCTCAGACTCCCACTGTGTCTGTCTTCCAGCACCCACCAAGGCTCCGGATGTGTTCCCCATCATATCAGGGTGCAGACACCCAAAGGATAACAGCCCTGTGGTCCTGGCATGCTTGATAACTGGGTACCACCCAACGTCCGTGACTGTCACCTGGTACATGGGGACACAGAGCCAGCCCCAGAGAACCTTCCCTGAGATACAAAGACGGGACAGCTACTACATGACAAGCAGCCAGCTCTCCACCCCCCTCCAGCAGTGGCGCCAAGGCGAGTACAAATGCGTGGTCCAGCACACCGCCAGCAAGAGTAAGAAGGAGATCTTCCGCTGGCCAGGTAGGTCGCACCGGAGATCACCCAGAAGGGCCCCCCAGGACCCCCAGCACCTTCCACTCAGGGCCTGACCACAAAGACAGAAGCAAGGGCTGGGCTGTGAGGCAACCCCCACCTCCCCCTCAGAGCACGTTCCTCCCCCTTCACCCTGTATCCACCCCTCCGGACCCTCCCCATCTCAGTCCCTCCGCTCCCTCTCTCTGAGGCCCATCTCCCAATACCCAGATCACTTTCCTTCCAGACCCTTCCCTCAGTGTGCACGGAGGCAGCTTGCCCAGCAAAGGTGACTGTCTAGTGGGCTTCCCACAGCCAAGCTCCCACCCCATGCTGCGGCCCCTCCCTTCTTCCTGCTTGGCTGCCTGTGCCCCCCACCTGCCTGTCCACAACCCAGCCTCTGGTACATCCATGCCCTCTGCCCTCAGCCTCACCTGCACTTTTCCTTGGATTTCAGAGTCTCCAAAGGCACAGGCCTCCTCAGTGCCCACTGCACAACCCCAAGCAGAGGGCAGCCTCGCCAAGGCAACCACAGCCCCAGCCACCACCCGTAACACAGGTGAGAAGCCCCTTCCCTGCACACTCCACCCCCACCCACCTGCTCATTCCTCAGCCGCCTCCTCCAGGCAGCCCTTCATAACTCCTTGTCTGAGTCTCCAAGTCACACTTTGGTAAGGAGAGGGACACTGAACGGACCTCTAACAAACACCTACTGCCAGCCAGCCCCAGTCTGGGGGCCAGCAGATGCCAAACAACCAGCAGACTCCCAGAGCAGACCTGGGCCGGCTCCCTGGCCCATGGACCCAGCTCTGCCTCGCTGAGCTGAGGCATGGGCTCTCAGCGCAGCCTCACATAGAGCCACCCTGCCGAGGCAGTCCGGCTTGCAGACTCACAGGTCACTTGGGCCGCAGCAGCCCCTCCCCGTGACCCTCGCCTCCCGCCCGCCCCAGCCTGGCTCTCTCCAAGTGTTGGATCTTGGTGGCCAGCCTGCTTCTCACCCTCACCCTGCCTGCCACCTCAGAATGGCAGGGGAAAGAGGGCCCTCACCAAGAACTTTATCTGAGAAGTCTGAGGCTTGTGACTCTGACCTGCCTGAGATGTCCATGTGGCCGGGGGGACGGGTTCAGTGTTCGGGAGAACTCGGGTACGTGCCTGACTTTCTCTGAGTAGGGCAGGAAGCTGTTAGGAGAAGCAGCAGTGAGGTGGGCTGGACCAACAGGCAGAATGACTGTCCCTCAGCCACCCTCTGGGATGTGGGTCAAGCTCTGACAAAGGCATGGCACAGCCATGGTGGCCCCTGCTTGGATGAGTGGCCACGGTGCCCTCACCCTGGGCCAGAATCTGCCTCCACTCTGCAGGTGCAGAAACACGACATTCCCGTCTCTAAACACACCTAGCTCCTAGGCTTGGGGTGGGCCTATCAAATGCAGGGAGATGGACACAGCACAAGGGCCAGAGCTTCCCATGAGAAAGGTGAGGGCAGCTGCTCCCTGACCCGGGCATCTGCACTTGTCCCTCTCCACCCTCCTCATGGGCAGTGGAGACTCAGCAACAAAACAAGTTGAGTGCATTAGCAGCCAGCTCTGGAGCCAAGTCACTCACCCCACGGCCTTGGCTGCTGGTGGAGGGGCCTTCCCCTGGGCAGCCTCCAAGAAGACAGCCAAGTGCTCTTACTCAGACCACGGCGCTGCTTCCTGGCACCTCGATTTCCCACAACAACATGGGGTGCAGACAGGCTAGGGCCCCCTGCCCTGGGGCCTGGACGGCATCCAGTTAAAGATGACCCTTCACGGGCGGTGCCTGAGGTGTGCTGACCTCAGCAGCTAAGCCCTCAGGTCTGGTCTGCACTGCCCCACCTGGAGGACCCAACTGACCCAGACACAGCCAGGGTTATGGCATGACCCCGTGGACGGTGACCCACAGGCCAGATGCAGCCGGGGGCTGTTTTGTGTGGCCTAGAAATGTCTTTACAGTTGTAGTGGGATGGAGGAGGAAGAGGAAGAGAGGAGGGGAGAGGAAAGCAGGGAAGGGGAAAAAGAGGAGTTCAATGCAACCCCAAAAGCCAGAACAGTTTTGAGCTGAAAGAACAAGGCAGGAAACATCCCAGTACCTGACTTCAAAACATACTATAAAGCAGTTGTAATCAAAACAGGATCATAAAAACAGACACACAGACCCATGGAACAGAAAAGCGAGCCCAGAAATAAATCTACATGCTTGCAGTCCATTGATTTTCAACAAAGGCACCAGGAAAACACAATGGGGAGAGGACAGTTTCCTCAATAAATAGTGCTGGGGAAACTGGATATCCATGTGCAGACTAATGAAACTACACAAAAATCAATTGAAAACAGTCTAGGCCAGGCGCGGTGGCTCATGCCGGTAATCCCAGCACTTTGGGAGGCCGAGACAGGCGGATCACCTGAGGTCAGGAGTTCGAGACCAGCTTGGCCAACATGGCGAAACCCGGTCTCCACTAAAAATACAAAAATTAGCACATGGTGGCCTACGTCTGTTATCCCAGCTTTTCAGGAGGCTGAGGCAGGAGAATCGCTTGAATCCGGGAGGTGAAGGTTGCAGGGAGCCAAGATTGCGCCACTGCATTCCAGCCTGGGCAATGGAGCGAGACTGTCTCAAAAAAAAAAAAAAAAAAAAGAAAAGAAAACAGTCTAAAGGTTTAACTGAACAGATAAAGCTACTAGAAGAAAACATAGGGGGAAAACTCCATGACATTAGTCTGAGCAACGATTTTTGGATATGATCCCAAAAGCTCAGGCAGCACTAGTCACAAAAGCCAAGATACAGAACCAACCTAAGCACCCCTCAGCAGATGCACAGGTAAAGAAAATGTGGTACGTATGGGGCACAATGGAATACGATTCAGCCTTTAAAAACAGTGAAATTCTGTCATTGGCAACAATGTAGATGAACCTGAAGGACACTTATGCTAAGTGAAATAAGCCAGGCACAGAAGGAGCAATACTGCATGATTGCACTTACATCTGGCAGGTTAAAAAGGCAAACTCTTAGAGGCAGACAGTAGAGAGGTGGTGCCAGGGAGCGGGCACTGGTGGCTGGGGAGATGTTGGTCAAAGGGCACAAAACTGCAGTTGGGAGGAATTAGTTCAGGACATCCCTTGTACATGGGGACAGTGGTTAGTAACAACGGATTGTATCCTTGAAAACCGCTAAGAAAATAGTTTTTAAGTGTTCTTGACACAAAAAGTGACACGTATGTGAGATACTGCATGGTCATTAGCTGGATTTAGCCATTCCACAATGTACACATATTTCAAACATTGTGTTGTATATGATAAACATGTATAATTTTTGTCAATTAAAAATTTTTAGGAAGAGGAGGAGAAGAGAAGAAGAAGGAGAAGGAGAAAGAGGAACAAGAAGAGAGAGAGACAAAGACACCAGGTTTTTTCTGACCCCTGGGCTATCAAAACACCTATTGCCCAATAACTAGTTGGCCGTTGGTGCCCTAAACTATTGAAGCGATTGCTGTTATGTGGATGGGCCCCGGACACTTAGAAACTCGTGACCCCTGAGGACCCCCACGAGGACAGTCAGGGTCCCCCCGAACTCAGGGAGCACTGAGGAAGGAGCTCTTAGAGGCGTGGGGCCCCTCAGGCCCCTCAGAGGGCTCTGCCACATGGGTCAGGGGCAGGCTGAGGGGGAGTCCCAGGCTCCATGCCCAGCCTCTGTGCCTCTGACCAGGGTGTCCCCCACACCGCCTCCTCCCCAGTGCCCTCCACTGGCCACACCTGGCCAGAAGCTGGGGAGAGGAGAGCACAGTGGTTAAGTCAGTCCCTGCAGGGAGACGGCACCAGAAAAACCTGGCCTGTGGATGAGTCCCGGCCTGGCAGCCACAGAGCAGAGAGCTCTGGAAGCAACGAAGGCCCGAGTCTGCTCAGGGAAGAGCGGGCAGCAGCCCCAGGGCCGGACAGTGACCAAGAGTGGCACCGCCCATGGCTCAACGGGTCTTTGCCCACAGATCCCCCAGCCCCTGGAGACAGGGTCTGTGTGCCTGGCCGTGCAGGCAGGCACCACACTCAGGGGGAGGCCACTGTGGAGCTCTGTGCAGAGCCCCGGGCGGGAGCCTACTGCTCCCGAAGGTCCGGCCACAGCTGCTCTCGTTTGCTCTCCCCTGCAGAGTGTCCGAGCCACACCCAGCCTCTTGGCGTCTACCTGCTAACCCCTGCAGTGCAGGACCTGTGGCTCCGGGACAAAGCCACCTTCACCTGCTTCGTGGTGGGCAGTGACCTGAAGGATGCTCACCTGACCTGGGAGGTGGCTGGGAAGGTCCCCACAGGGGGCGTGGAGGAAGGGCTGCTGGAGCGGCACAGCAACGGCTCCCAGAGCCAGCACAGCCGTCTGACCCTGCCCAGGTCCTTGTGGAACGCGGGGACCTCCGTCACCTGCACACTGAACCATCCCAGCCTCCCACCCCAGAGGTTGATGGCGCTGAGAGAACCCGGTGAGCCTGGCTCCCAGGTGGGGAGACGAGGGTGCCCACAGCCTGCTGACCCCTACGCCTGCCCCAGGGCCATGACCCCAGCTGGGCCCCAGCAGCACCGGTCATCCTCCACAGGAAAGGAGAAGGGAGGCACCAGCACCCTGGCCGGCCCCACTTCTCTCCCAGTGCCCCCGTGGCCAGAGCCTGACAGCCTCCCCCACCTCCCCGCAGCTGCGCAGGCACCCGTCAAGCTTTCCCTGAACCTGCTGGCCTCGTCTGACCCTCCCGAGGCGGCCTCGTGGCTCCTGTGTGAGGTGTCTGGCTTCTCGCCCCCCAACATCCTCCTGATGTGGCTGGAGGACCAGCGTGAGGTGAACACTTCTGGGTTTGCCCCCGCACGCCCCCCTCCACAGCCCAGGAGCACCACGTTCTGGGCCTGGAGTGTGCTGCGTGTCCCAGCCCCGCCCAGCCCTCAGCCAGCCACCTACACGTGTGTGGTCAGCCACGAGGACTCCCGGACTCTGCTCAACGCCAGCCGGAGCCTAGAAGTCAGCTGTGAGTCACCCCCAGGCCCAGGGTTGGGACGGGGACTCTGAGGGGGGCCATAAGGAGCTGGAATCCATACTAGGCAGGGGTGGGCACTGGGCAGGGGCGGGGCTAGGCTGTCCTGGGCACACAGGCCCCTTCTCGGTGTCCGGCAGGAGCACAGACTTCCCAGTACTCCTGGGCCATGGATGTCCCAGCGTCCATCCTTGCTGTCCACACCACGTGCTGGCCCAGGCTGGCTGGCACAGTGTAAGAGGTGGATACAACCCCTCGCCGTGCCCTGAGGAGTGGCGGTTTCCTCCCAAGACATTCCCCACGGCTGGGTGCTGGGCACAGGCCTTCCCTGGTGTGACCGTGAATGTGGTCACCCTGAACAGCTGCCCTCTCTGGGGACATCTGACTGTCCAAGACCACAGTCAGCACCTCTGGGAGCCAGAGGGGTCTCCAGAGACCCCCAGATGTCAGGCTTGGGCTCAGTGCCCAGCGAAAGGTCAGCCCCACACATGCCCATAATGGGCGCCCACCCAGAGTGACAGCCCCCAGCCTCCTGCCAGGCCCACCCTTTTCCGCCCCCTTGAGGCATGGCACACAGACCAGTGCGCCCACTGCCCGAGCATGGCCCCAGTGGGATGTGGTGGCCACGAGGGGCTGTACACACAGCAGGAGGCTGTCCGCCCTGCTCAGGGCCTGCTGCCTATGCCCCAGCTGTCCAGCCAAGGGAGGCATGGAAGGGCCCCTGGTGTAAGCTGGAGCCAGGCACCCAGGCCCCCGGCCACCCTGCAGAGCCAAGGAAAGGAAGACACCCAAGTCAACAAGGGGCAGGGCTGAGGGCTGTCCCAGGCTCTTTTGGCCCGAGGGGCTGCCAGCAGCCCTGACCCGGCATGGGCCTTCCCCAGAAGCGACCCTGTGAGGTGGCCTCACAGAGAACCCCCTCTGAGGACAGTGTCTGACCCTGCCTGCCTCACACAGATGGGCCCCACAGCAGTGGGCAACCTGGGGGGCAGCAGCCCAACCTGACCCTGCAGGGACTGCCCCCTGCAGCAGCAGCTGCTTCTCAGTCCCCCAACCTCCCTGTCCCCGCCAGAGGGTCTTCCCCGAAGCTGCAGCCCCAACCCATGGCTGCCCACCTGGAACCGGGACTCCCTGTCCACTGCCCCCTCCCCTTCGGGGCCCCATCTGTGCTGGGGCCCAGGTTCGGCCTACAGATTCCCATCATTGCCATGGCCTCCTGACCTTGCCTATCCACCCCCAACCACCGGCTCCATGCTGACCCTCCCCCAGGCTCCCACGCCCAGCTGGCCGGCCATCCCCAGGCACAGACAGTCTGGGATCTCACAGGTTAGCCTGGACCATCCACCTGGCCAGACCTGGGAGAGGCTGGAAGCTGCCCTGCCACCATGCTCCAGGGCCCCAGGTTGCAGTACTATGGGGTGAGGGTGTGTGTGCACACCCGTGTGTACCTAGGATATCCGAGTGTACCCTTGTGCCCCCAAGCACAAGTCTCCCTCCCAGGCAGTGAGGCCCAGATGGTGCAGTGGTTAGAGCTGAGGCTTATCCCACAGAGAACCCTGGCGCCTTGGTCAAGGAAGCCCCTATGCCTTTCTTGCCTCGATTTCCCCTCTTGTCTGCTGAGCCAGCAGGGGCCACGTCCTGGGCTGCTGTGAGGAGGAAGTGAGTTGGTGCTAGGAGGGGCTCCTGTGTGTGCATGGGCGGGAGGGGTGCAGGTATCTGAGCACCCCGGTCTCCACTTGAGAGAGCAGGGCAGGAGCTCCCTGACCCACCCAGACTACACACGCTGTGTCCACGTGTCTCACATTATCTGTGGCAGAGGATCCGGCTTCTTTCTCAATTTCCAGTTCTTCACAAAGCAATGCCTTTGTAAAATGCAATAAGAAATACTAGAAAAATGATATGAACAGAAAGACACGCCGATTTTTTGTTATTAGATGTAACAGACCATGGCCCCATGAAATGATCCCGGACCAGATCCGTCCACACCCGCCACTCAGCAGCTCTGGCCGAGCTCACAGTACAACCACAATAAACTCTTGTTGAATGAACTCTAGGAAGTCTGTGACGTGGCTGGTTCTTGTCAATGCTTCCTGCCTGCCCACAGGCTCTTCCTCGTGGATGGGGCTGTGCTTGCCATGGAAGCGTTTTTCCCGGCCTAGGCTTGCCTTGGGCCCCACTGCCGTCTCCAGCTGGAGATGACCTTCTATACACACATTTGCTCATGACAGACCCTTGCTTAGCCCCCTTCCATGGCTCCCTCCTGCTGCTGGGATAAAATCACCTTGCCTGGATATCCCCTCCTGGGCCCCTTTCCACCCTCCTTAGTCAGCACCCCCAGTTCAGGGCACCTGCTTTCCCCGCTGCGGAGAAGCCACTCTCTCCTTGCTGCCCGGCTGTGTCTTGCCTTCCACACCTTGTCACAGTGGCCACTTCCTAAGGAAGGCCTCCCTGTGTGCAGGTGTGCAGAAGTGCCCCAGCCTCCCGTCACCTTTGTCACGGGAGCCCAATCCATGAGAGTCTATGGTTCTGTCTGTCTGCCCCACTCAGGGCAGCGACAAGTCCAGGCGGGGAGGACACAGTAGGCAGAGATTTGTCGAGGGGACATATGAGCAAGAGGGTGAGGCTGGGAGCTCCCTGGAGATAACCACGCCTCCTGGGAAGACTCGCCGTCATTTCAGCTCCACGCTGTGCGGGGGTGGGTGGAGGGGTAGCCTGGCCCTCATGACCAGGGAGCTTCTCACTCAGCCCCCGTTCCTCCCCAGACCTGGCCATGACCCCCCTGATCCCTCAGAGCAAGGATGAGAACAGCGATGACTACACGACCTTTGATGATGTGGGCAGCCTGTGGACCACCCTGTCCACGTTTGTGGCCCTCTTCATCCTCACCCTCCTCTACAGCGGCATTGTCACTTTCATCAAGGTCAGGGGAGCGGCCAGGCTCTCAGTGACCCTCGGGGTGGGTGTGGGGCAAGGTGCCCTTCCAGGGGACATGCCAGAGTTGGTCCAGGGATCCTGGACCAGGCAGAGGCAGGGCTGAGGGAGCCTGGAGGACATGCAGGCCCTCTGTGGCCTGTGGACACTGTCGAAGGCCCTCTTGACCCTGTGGATAAAGGACAACACCCCCTCCCCTGCTCCTCTGTCTCCCCTGCCCCTCCACCCCTCAGGCTTCTAGCCCCCTGTCTGACCCCAGGGGCTGTCTTTCAGGTGAAGTAGCCCCAGAAGAGCAGGACGCCCTGTACCTGCAGAGAAGGGAAGCAGCCTCTGTACCTCATCTGTGGCTACCAGAGAGCAGAAAGGACCCACCCTGGACTCTTCTGTGTGCAGGAAGATGCGCCAGCCCCTGCCCCCGGCTCCCCTCTGTCCGCCACAGAACCCAGTCTTCTAGACCAGGGGGACGGGCACCCATCACTCCGCAGGCGAATCAGAGCCCCCCTGCCCCGGCCCTAACCCCTGTGCCTCCTTCCCATGCTTCCCCGAGAGCCAGCTACACCCCTGCCCCGGCCCTAACCCCCATGCCTCCTTCCTGTGCTTCCCCCAGAGCCAGCTAGTCCCACCTGCAGCCCGCTGGCCTCCCCATAAACACACTTTGGTTCATTTCACCTGCCTCCTGTTCTTTGTCCCAGTGGTCTGGATTCACCTCAAGTTAAAGGACACAGGGAGCTAACGGCAATGGGAAGGGAGTTTGGGGTGTCAGCAGCAACAGGGAACGCAATAGCCAAAGCTGTCACAGCAAGAACTGAGCGGAGACCTTGCTCTGAAGTTAATGGGTTAAGAAACGCCCCTCCCCACACCAAACACAAACATTTCACGCTCACTCGTACATGCACACACATGCACACAAGCATCTATGCACACATGCACATGTGCACAGCTCACGAATAAACATATATGCACACACATGCAGTACACTCACATGCAAACAGGCAGATGCACAGGCATGGGCACACATGCACAAGGCATGCATGTGCAGGTCTGCAGACACACACATCTGCATGCACATACACGGACGTGCACCTGCACACACACAAGTGCACATAGGCATCAAAGACACACATGCTCGTGCACGCGCATACACACAGACATGCACACTTATGCATGCACACGCCATGACAGGATGGCACGGGAACAACCTTGCACATGGAGCCTGTTCTGTGTGTATCGAGAGCCTGCACCTCTTACTGTCTGCATGACTGTGGGCAAGAGCCTGAACTCCGTACCTCCATTTCCTCATCAGAATGGGGTGAAAATACACCTGTCAAGTAGAGTGAGGTGAGAAGTGAGTAAAATCCTATCTGAAAGGGGCTCAGCAAGGACCCAGGTATTGGTCGGACCTCCTGTTATCATCTGCTGTGGGCTGAACATTTGTGTCCTCCTGAAATTCATACATTCGTATATTCATACCTTTCCCCCTGAAATCCTAACCTCCAATGTAATGGTATTAGAAGATGGGGCTTTTGGGGGTGCTGAGGTCATAAAAGGGGGGCCCTCATGAAGAGGATTAGCACCCTTATGAGAGGGGCCCCAGAGAGCTCCCTCACCCTTTCTCCCCTGTGAGGAGATGCCGTCTATGAGCTGGGATGCAGGCCTCACCAGACACCCATCGGCTGGAGCCTTGGTCTGGGACATTCAGCCTCCAGAATGGTGGGAAATAAGTTTCTGTTGTTTCTCAGCCACCACGTCTGTAGTATGTGGAAGTCATCAGAATCAAAATTGAGTCACCTGTGGTTTTTTTTTTTTCTAAATCCCTGACAAATAGAGCCTAGGAAGGCCAAGAAGAGAAGAGGGTTCTCATCCATAAACACTTGATAACAAAAACTATCACCAAGGACTCTACAAAAACTGCAACTGGCACAAAGACCATCACAACCTTACACAGAAAGTACTTCTGTGAGGACATCTTCCCAGCAACGGGCTGTCCAACCTCAGACTGGCATTGCCTTTGTTATTGGTCCTTGTAGAGAGGGTAATTATCTCAAAGCAATCATGTAATCCTCCTCATTTTTCCTTTGAAAGCCTTGGTCTCCCTTTGCCTCCCTGAATACGCACATAGCTGATCATGGCAGGTGTATCCCACTGCAGTGCTCTACCTCCAAATAGATATCTTTTTCTTTTAGACGGCATTTCTCTTGTTATTTAGATTGAGATACATGGAGTCAGAAGTGGGATGTGGAGAAGGATCACTGCTGGAAGGAGTCAGTAATTCTTGGGCCGGTGTGCAGTATTCACTTGAGCCCTTTGAGCTCTCAGCTTTTTCTGAGCTACTCCGTCTTCTCTCAGGCCAACCCTCCCTCTTTTTGGAAGATGCTTTTTTAATATTATGTGGGGTTTGTTTATTAGACTGCCTTAATAAAGGACCTTATGTCCCTCCTGGGATGATAAAAGGCTTTTCGTGCTTTCTGGCAAGTCCTGTTTAGCATAAAGACATTCCAGCCTGAGTACTCTGGTTTCCACAGAGTTTGCATTCTGTCTCTGAGGGATGTCTTCTCTGGTGAGGTGCCTCCTTTAATACTTTGTTGGATATGCATGCCTGGGTGAACATATTTGTGAGCACCCTTATCTTGCCTTCTTTTGCTGTGGTTATGTGTATCTGTAAATGACCTGGCTCTTTTCCTCTGCTTGCTTCTAAAAATCTTTGGAGAGCAAAATAAACATTCTAAATGGTGGGCACAGGCTGTCTCATTAGAAGCTGCTACAGCAGTCACCACCGTCTAAAGCACCAGTCCAAACTGCCGGCGTGGCCTCATAGTATCTGTAGAATGTTCTTTACTGTAAAAAGATTAATAAGAAGGGGAATGGTTTTTAAATATTAAGGCACAGTAAGTTTTCTGGAACTCCCGCTGGCTACGTCTTTGTGCACATTTTTAAACTAATGGGCAAATTACGTCAAGGAAAATTTAGAGTTCCAATGGTTATTTTTCGAACTCTAACAAAAACCCTGCAACAGTAGTCATCATGCAGTGCCTCCTAAGTCCTCTATCTCTCTATTTTGTTTTTCTGCCTACTTTAAATCTGCTGACTTTTTTACTCATGTTGCAATAAAACTCACTGGTTACAGCATTCCAGCCAAGATATTTTTGGTTTTTTGTTTGTTTGTTTTTTGTTTTTTGTTTTTTTAGATGGAGTCTCACTCTGTCACCCAGGCTGGAATGCAGTGGCGCTATCTTGGGTCGCTGCAACCTCTGCCTCTCGGGTTCAAGTGATTCTCCTGCCTCAGCCTCCTGAGTAGCTGATTACAGGTGCCCGCCACCATGCCCAGCTAATTTTTGTATTTTAGTAGAGACAGGCTTTCACTGTGTTGGCCAAGCTCGTCTTGAACTCCTGACCTCAAGTGATCCACCTGCCTTGGCCTCCCAAAGTGCTAAAACTATAGGCGTGTGCCACCGTGCCTGGCCCAAGATTTTTTAAAGTTTCCTAAAGGTTTTAAATTAGTGGCTTTACAAATTACAACAGCTCTATGGTAACCAATGACCTAGATGTAAGAGTCATTTCTTTTGAAAATGTAGATTAGCTTTGCTTGGCTAACAACTGCTTAGGCTGATGGAATAGCTAACTGAAGGACTGATGGTCTCAAAGAACAGAACTAGGTAAATATTTACAGAAATTGGGCTTTCAGATCGAACAGGCCAAAATCTTGAGCTTAGAGCAGTAATATAAGGTATCTCTGTCTGCCATAAAAATTTTGCTTTGCCACAGGTGCCAGAAAAAGGAAAAACACTGCTAAATGCTTCCCTGCATGCATTGTCTAGTCCAGAAAATCAGACCAGCAACCAAAAAATAGATTTGTTACTAGTATAGACGAGTTGAAGATTTTGTTTTTCATATACAATTCAGCCAGTCCTAGCTAAAACGCAATCACTGGAAATTTAACCTTAAATTCATTTAAAACTGAAAAAGGTCTTTTGAAATCAAACTAATGCAGAAACTGCTTTACCCAAAATTCTGATCCATGGCCCTCATTAGACGACCCATCAGGACAAATAAAGTTTAGCTTGTGAACAAGTCCCAGTTTTGTCAAAAATATAATTTGGATTGAAGTGTCTTTTAGAAACTGACACATTTGTGTTATTATCTCATGACCAAAATTCTAAAATGAAAGCTACAGTGTCTTTATTTGTGTGCGTATGTGGTTAATTGTGTTTATGCATATGTATGTGTATTATGTTGTATGTTGTTATCTACATGGTAAAATCTGGCATCATCAACAAAAAATCTATTAAGGGATTCTATTTAGATTGGCTTAGATAAATAAGCATTCATAAAAAATATGTACTAATTAACCCAAATGCCTTTTAGTTCATGTGACTTAAGTATATCTTTAATAAACAAATCAGTTTTAAAATTGTTGGTAAAATAAAAATACAAATGTTCTCAGAATTGTCAGCATATATTTTTCCCTGAGTTTACTCGTCAGACAGCTTTATATTTGTCTCTGATAGATGTTTTAAGATGTCAGGGTTTGACACAAAGATGATAAAACTATAAACCCATCCTAAAACAGAATAATCTTTGTATGATCTTTGATAAATAAGACTAATTTGGCTGAGTGCGGTGGTTCATGCCTGTAATTCCAGCACTTTGGGAGGCCAAGGTGGGCAGATGACTAGAGGTCAGGACTTTGAGACCAGCCTGGCCAACACAGCAAAACCCCATCCCTACTAAAAGTACAAAATTAGCCAGGTGTGGTGGTGGGCATAATCCCAGCTACTTGGGAGCCTGAGGCAGGAAAGTCACTGGAACCCGGGAGGCAGAGGTTGCAATGAGCCAAGAGAGCGCCACTGCACTCCAGCCTAGGCAACAGCGAGACTCCATCTCAAAAAAAAAAAAAAAGGCTAATTTAATATTGCAGGCTTAATAAAAACAGCTGTATCTTATGAGCTATCGACAAAATACCCATACACTTCACTAAGTTTCTTACTAAGTGAACATCTAATAATCACAGGCTATAAAAATGGTTAAAAGGGAAATAACTTTAAGTAATGGCTAGCTTTGTCTAATATCTCAATTTTCATAAGTAATCTAGGTAAATTATTAAAAATAAATTAATTAAGCCTGGTGTCATGGCACACGCCTATAGTCCTAGCTACTCAGGAGGCTGAGGTGGGAGGATTGCTTGAGCCCGGAAGTTCAGACCACCCTGAGCGATGCAACAAGACCCCCATCACTAAAATAAATAAATAAATAAGATAAATGTCAAGAAAATAAATGTTTATAAATAAGCTTCTTATGTAATTTAAGATCTTAAAATTATGTTATCTTCAGTTAAATAATAGATACTCATTAAATGTCTGGGTCATTTCCAAATAAGATTTTTAAAACTAACACAAATTACTGAACATAAATGTTTGTTCTTGGCTTCTTAAATTTTATAGAAATTTTGTAGAAAGACTAAATTTATTTGGGTCTATTAATATATGTAAAAATTATGTCATAGAAATATGTTTTCAAAAATTATAAAATTTTTCTCATCTATAAAATAGTGATATGTGACAAATGGTTAAAATTTGCTTGCTAGAAAATAAGGTTACTAAGAGTTAAAATTCTAATTAATATATATAATTCTGTCTACAAAGTATACCACAAAAAATAAGATGTGTTTTTCATTTTTAAAAACTATAAGACAGGCATTTATAATTTATTTTACTGCAAAAAAAAATTTATCTAATTTGGAGTTTGTTTAAAGGTTGTTTCAAAGCACAGATTTAGGAAAAAAGTAAAAACAAGATGGAAAAGAACCACTCTCATCTGCCCCCACGTAAGACGTACCTGCTCCCCTTCCACCACGACTGTGTTTCCCAAGGCCTCTCCAGCCATGTGGAACTGAATTTAATCTACAAATAGAGTTGATCAAGTAACTTTAAGGTATATGGACAATAATATGCTTTGCAGCATAAAGACCTGAAAACAAACTAAATGCCCATCAGTGGGAAATTGTTTCAATAAACCACAGAACATTCCGTGGAAAACTCCACAGCCATTCAAAAGAATGAAGGGGGAGAGATCATCATGGTGGACAGGAGTCAGGACTAGATTGCAGTCCGACTGGGATGGACAGAGCACATGTGGAGGCTGGCACCGTGAATTTTAGCTCCAGAACAACTGCAGGAATAAATCAGGAATCCCAAGAGGATCCACAGACCATGTGAAGGAAGCAGCCTGCTCCTGCAGGACCCAGAGACACCCCAAATACTGTGAGTGCCCAAACTGTGGAAGTGGGAATGGGAGATCGTCCATCCTGCACACACACCCTCACTAGAGAAACCAAAGGTCTAGTTGGTGGGAAAAGGTTCCAACCTTACCTGGAGCTGAGTCAATTTAGAAAGCTGAGCGAAATACAGGGGTACAGGGAGCAGCGGGAAAGGCCCTGGGAGCTTCCTGGGTCCCCAGGCAGGCCATTCCTGCATGGCACCATATGAATACTTTGGGAGGGTGGCCAGAGGCACAGGGAAAATGTCACAGGGAGAAGGAAGTCTCCAGCTGAACGCAGGGGAGGGCACGAATCCTGCAGACCCCACTGGTAGAGGAACAACCAAAGCCCTTCTTCATAGCTGGGAAGTAGGTAGCCTGGGGCAAGTTCTCTGCTTGCCCAATGCCTGGAAACAGACTCAGTGCTGTTGGCGAGGGGCATGGTGTGAGTGAGACCCACCTTCAGTTTGCATGGGAGCTGGGTGACACCTGTGACTGCCGGCTTTCCCCACTTCCCTGACAACCTGCATGACTCAGCAGAGGCAGTCATAATCCTCCTAGGTTCACAACTCCATTGACCTAGGAACCTCACAGCCATCCCCCCCAGCAGCTGCAGCAAGAACTGTCCAAGGAGACTCTGTGAGCTCAGACACACCTAGCCCTGCCCGCATCTGATGGTCCTTCCCTACCCACCCTTGTAGTTGAAGACAGAGGGCATATACTCTTGGGAGTTCTAGGGCCCTACCCACTGCTGGTTCCTCTCCATACTACCACCACTGATGCTCTCTGGAAAACGCCATCTCCTGGCAGGAGGCCAACCAGCACAAAAACAGAGCATTAAACCACCAAAGCTAAGAACCTTCATGGAGTCCATTTCACCGCCCCGCCACCTCCACTGGGACAGTTGCTGGTATGCACGGCGGAGAAACCCACAGACAGTTCACATCACAGGACTCTGTGCAGACAACCCCCAGTACAAGCCTGGAGCCTGGTAGACTTGCTGGGTGGCTAGATCCAGAAGAGAAATAACAATCACCACAGCTCGGCTCTCAGGAAGCCACATCCACAGGAAAAGGGGGAGAGTGCTACATCAAGGGAACACCCCGTGGGACAAAGGAATCTGAGCAACAGCCTTCAGCCCCAGACCTTCCCTCAGACAGAGCCTACTCAAATGAGAAGGAACCAGAAAACCAGCTCTGGTAATATGACAAAACAAAGCTCTTTAACACCCCCAAAAAATCGCACTAGCTCACCAGCAATGGATCCAAACCAAGAAGAAATCCCTGATTTACCTGAAAAAGAATTCAGGAGGTTGGTTATTAAGCTAATCATGGAGGCACCAGAGAAAGGCAAAGCCCGATGCAAGGAAATCCAAAAAAAGATACAAGAAGTGAAGGGAGAAATGTTCAAGGAAATAGATAGCATAAAGAAAAACAATAAAAACTTCAGGAAACATTGGACACACTTATAGAAATGCAAAATGCTCTGGAAAGTCTCAGCAACAGAACTGAATAAGTAGAAGAAAGAAATTCAGAGCTCGAAGACAAGGTCTTTGAATTAACCCAATCCAACAAAGACAAAGAAAAAAGAATAAGAAAATATGAGCAAAGCCTCCAAGAAGTCTAGGATTATGTTAAATGAACAAACCTAAGATAATTGGTGTCCCTGAGGACGAAGAGAAATCTAAAAGTTTGGAAAACATGTTTGGGGGAACAATTGAGGGAAGCTTCCCCAGCCTTGCCAGAGACATAGACATCTAAATACAAGAGCACAAAGAACACCTGGGAAATTCATCACAAAAAGATCTTTAAAACTAAAACTAAAACAAGCAATCTACAAAACCTAGGCACATTGTCATCTGGTTATCTAAAGTTAAGATGAAGGAAAGAATCTTAAGAGCTGTGAGACAAAAGCACCACATGCTTAGTTTCACTGGATACAAAATTCTTGGCTGATAATTGTTCTGTTGGAGGAGGATGAAGATAGGGCTCCAATCTCTTCTAGCTTGTAGTGTTTCTGCTGAGAAATCTGCTGTTAATCTGATAGGTTTTCGTTTATAGGTTACCTGGTGCTTTCGGTTCAAAAATTTTTTTAATTTCCATCTTGATTTCGTTTTTGACCCAATAATCATTCAAGAGCAGTTTATTTAATTTCCATGTATTTGCATGGTTTTGAAGGTTCCTTTTGGAGTTGATTTCCAGTTTTATTCCACTGTGGTCTGAGAGAGTGCTTGATATAATTTCAATTTTCTTAAATTTATTGAGGCTTGCTTTGTGGCCTATCATACGGTCTGTCTTGGAGAATGTTCCATACGCCGTTGAATAGAATGTGACCATATGATAGGAAATAAACTCCAAAAGAAGCCGAACAACAACAGTGACACAACCTGTTGAAACCTCTGGGATACAGCAAAGGCGGTGCCAAGAGGAAAGTTCACACCCCTAGGCGCCTACGTCGAAAAGACTGAAAAAGCACAAATTGACATTCTAAGGTCACCCCTCAGGGAACCAGAGAAACAAGAACAAACCAAATCCAAACCCAGCAGAAGAAAGGAATTAATCAAGATCAGAGCAAAACTAAAGGAAATTGAGACAAAAAAATACAAAAGATAAATGAAACAAAAAGCTGGTTCTCTGAAAAGATAAATAAAATTGATAGACCATTAGCAAGATTAACCAAGAAAAGAAGAAAGTCCCAATAACCTCAATAGGAAACGAAATGGGAAATATTACAACTGACACCACAGAAATACAAAAGATCATTCAAGGCTACTATGAACGCCTTTACACACATTAACTAGAAAACCTAGAAGAGATGGATAAATTCTCAGGAAAATACAACCCTCCTAGCTTAAATCAGGAAGAATTATATACCCTGAAGAGACCAATAACAAGCAGCGAGATTGAAATGGTAATTTTAAAATTACCAAGAACAAAAAAAAGTCCAGGACCAGATTCACAGTAGAATTCTACCAGACATTCAAAGAAGAATTGGTCCTATTGGTACTATTCCACAAGACAGAGAAAGCGGGAAGCCTCCCTAATTCATTCTATGAAGCCAGCATCACCCTAATACCAAAACCGGGAAAGGACGTAACCAAAAAAGAAAACTACAGACCGATATCCCTGATGAAGATAGATGCCAGAAATCCTTAACAAAATGCTAGCTAACCAAGTCCAACAACATATCAAAAAGATAATCCACCCCAATCAAGTGGGTTTCATACCAGAGATGCAGGGATGGTTTAACATACGCAAGTCAGTTAATGTGATACACCACATAAACAGAATTAAAAACAAAAATCACATGATCATCTCAATAGATGCAGAAACAGCATTTGACAAAATCCAGCATCGCTTTATGATTAAAACTCTCAGCAAATCAGCATACCAAGGGACATACCTCAGTGTAGAAAAAGCCATCCATGACAACATAATTCTGAATGGGGAAAAGTTGAAAGCATTCCCTCTGAGAATTGAAACAAGACAAGGATGCCCACTGTCACCACTCCTCTTCAACACAGTATTGGAAGTCCTAGCCAGAGCAATCAGACAAGGGAAAGAAATAAAGGGCATCCATATCGATAAAGAGAAAGTCAAACTGTCACTACTGATGATATGATTGTTTACCTGGAAAACCCTAAAGACTCCTCCAGAAAGCTCCTAGGACTGAAAAAAAAATTCAGCAAAGTTTCCAGATAGAAGATTAATGTACACAAATCAGTAGCTACTCTATACACCAACAGTAATTAAGCAGAGAATCAAATCAAGAACTCAACCCCTTTTACAATAGCTGCAAAAAATAAAATAAAATACTTAGAAATATACCTTACCAAGGAAGGGAAAGACCTCTACAAGGAAAACTACAAAACGCTGCTGAAAGAAATCATAGATGACACAAACAAATGGAAACACATACCACGCTCATGGATGGGTAGAATCAATATTGTGAAAATTACCACACTGCCAAAAGCAATCTACAAATTCAATGCAATCCCCATCAAAATACCATCATCATTCTTCACAGAATTAGAAAAAACAATTCTAAAATTCATATGGAGGCCAGGCACGGTGGCTCATGCCTGTAATCCTAGCACTTTGGGAGGCCAAGGCAGTAGGATCACTTGAGGTCAGGAGTTCAAGACCAGCCTGGCCAACATGGTGAAACCCCATCTCTACTAAAAATACAAAAACTAGCCGGGTGTGGTGGCATGTGCCTGTAATTCCAGCTACTACTCAGGAGGCTGAGGCAGGAGAATCACTTGAACCTGGAAGGTTTGCAGTGAGCCCAGATTGTGCCATTGTACTCCAGCCTGGGCAAAAGAATGAGAATCTGTCACAAAAAAAAATTCATATGAAACCAAAAAAGAGCCTACATAGCCAAGGCAAGACTAAGCAAAAAGAACAAATCTGGAGGCAACACACGGCCTGATTCCAAACTCTACTATAAGGCCATAGTCACCAAAACAGCATGGTACTGGTATAAAAATAGGCACATAGACCAATGTAACAGAATAGAGAACCCAGAAATAAACCCAAGTACTTACAGCCAACTGATCTTTGACAAAGCAAACAAAAACGTAAAGTGGGGAAAGGACACCCTATTCAACAAATGGTGCTGGGATAACTGGCAAGCCACGTGTAGGAGAATGAAACTGGATCTTCATCTCTCATCTTATACAAAAATCAACTCAAGATGGATCAAAGACTTAAATCTAAGACCTGAAACTGTAAAAATTCTAGAAACTATAAAAATTTCCAATAACATTGGAAAAACCCTTCCAGGCATTGGCTTAGGCGAGGACTTCATGACCAGAACCCAAAAGCAAATGCAATAAAAACAAAGATAAATAGCTGGGACATAATTAAGCTAAAGAGCTTCTGCACAGCAAAAGGAACAGTCAGCAGAGTAAACAGACAACCCACAGAGTGAGAGAAAATCTTCACAATGTGTACATCTGACAAAGGACTAATATCCAGAATCTACAACAAACTCAAACAAATCAGCAAGAAAAAAACAGACAATCCCATCAAAAAGTGGGGTAAGGACATGAATAGACAATTCTCAAAAGAAGATATGCAAATGGCCAACAAATATATGAAAAAATGCTCAACATCACTAATGATTAGGGAAATGCAAATCAAAACCACAATGCGATACCACCTTACCCCTGCAAGAATGGCCATAATCAAAAAATCAAAAAACATTAGATGTTGGTGTGGATGCAGTGATCAGGGGACACTTCTACACTGCTGGTGGGAATGTAAACTAGTACAGCCGCTATGGAAAACAGTGCAGAGATTCCTTAAAGGACTAAAAGTAGAACTACTATTTGATCCTGCGATCCCACTACTGGGTATCTACCCAGAGGAAAAGACGTCATTCTACGAAAAAGATACTTGCACACTCATGTTTGTAGCAGTACAATTTTCAACTGCAAACTTGTGGAACCAACCCAAATGCCCATCAATCAACAAGTGGATAAAGGAACTGTAGTATGTATATGTGATGGAATACTACTCAGCCACAAAAAGGAATGAATTAATGGCATTCACAGCGACCTGGATGAGGCTGGAGGCTATTATTCTAAGTGAAGTAACTCAGGAATGGAAAACCAAACATCGTATGTTCTCACTGACATGTGAGAGCTAAGATATGAGGATGCAAAGGCATAAGAATGACACAATAGACTTTGGGAACTTGGGGGTAAGGGTGAGAGAGGAAAGAGGGATAAAAGACTACAAATATGGTGCAGCATATGCTGCTCGGGTGATGGGTGCACCAAAATCTCACAAATCACCACTAAAGAACTTATTCATGTAACCAAACACCACCTGTATTCCAATAACCTATGGAAAAATAAACATTAAAAAAATTAAGAAGACTGAAAGAATTAAAAAATTTAAAAAACAGTAAGTAGAAGAGAGGTATGTGAAGAAAGTTATGGGTATGAAGATGTATTTTTGGTACGGAAGGTTAAAAAGAAAAGAGAATTTTTTTAAAAAAGGAAGAATCTTGCGTGATAAATTTTTGTCATAAAGTAAAATGACTGCTTACTTTAAAAAAAGAGGTATCACACACACCAGGGCCTGTTGTGGGGTGGGGAGAGGGGGGAGGGATAGGATTAGGAGATATACGTAATGTAAATGACGAGTTAATGGGTGCAGCACACCAACATGGCACATGTATACATATGTAACAAACCTGCACGTTGTGCACATGTACCCTAGAACTTAGAGTATAATAAATATATATATATATAAAGAAAATTCCACACCTGAAGCCATGTGACAGGCTACAGACAAAACACAGTTAAAACTTTGTTTCATGTACAAAGTTATTTAAAATATTGTACAAAATCACCTTCAGGCTGTCTGTATAAGGTGTACATGAAATACAAATGAATTTTGTGTTTAGACTTGGGTCTATCCAAGATATCTCATTATATATATGCAAATATCCCAAAATCCAAAAAATATAAAATCTGAAACACTTCTGGTCCCAAGCATTTCAGACAGGGGATCGTTAGCCTGTAATGAGAGGGAGTATGGGTCAATTATGACGTTGAAGATTCAAAAAAAATTTTTTTTTAATTTTCAGTCAAGCTCTACCAACTACACTAACTAGAAAACACTCAGGCAGATTGCTTTTTGCTAGGTTAATATGGCATGATTACAACTGTGCATATGAATAACATGTATCAGATTCCTTTTGTTTGGGAATTATTTCATTACAACACTAAACACTGCTTATGTACGCTGGGTCTCTTTTTCAAAGACTACAAATAATGCTTGGTTCTTTGCTTTCAAAATATACCAAACATGAGGTACAAGAATGTACCCATCCATATTTGACCAGGGGTAGAATTAAAAGGTTTGGGTTGAAGAAGATGACATAACATCCCAAGAGGGTTGCATCCCTAGGGGTCATGGGAACAAATGTGGCCAAGTCCCTTTTTAACTGGAAAGGATTTCAGATCCCTGAACAAGACAATTCATCAGTCTTAAGCATAGTAAGTCATCAGCAAATAAGAGAATGATAAACACTAGAAAAATAATCAAATCATTGTCTAAATTCATTATAAAACTATATGAGAAAACTATAAAACTATATGAGAGAGATAAACAGAGACAAGAAGACAAGGATAAAATAAAAAAAGAGGTATCAAACAAAGCAGAACGCCTCAACATGTCATAAAACATCTGAGTAAGTCATAATAAGGTTTGCAAATAATGAATTTACGAAAGGAATTTTGCGTGTGATCAAGATGGCTATAATTAGAAGGGAATTATTTATAAGTCTTTCTAAAGACTGAGGTTTGCTATTAAAAATATGCTAATATAAAACTAAAGATTTAGTTTCCTGTGTTAGAACAACAAAGTTATCTTGAAGTATTGATCTGTTCTTAAAACTACAAGAAGTTTTTATTTTTAATTCTAAAATCTGTTTCTTTAACAGACCATTTCTATTGCTTCCTGGGATCCATTTACTTTCCCTAGTTTCAGGTTGGAAGTCCTCTTCATGTAAAACGAGAATTTCATTTCTTGACATAGTCTTTTCCCCCTAAAGCTTCTCAGTTTTAGATTTCAGAACTTCAACTTCTGTTGTATTTCACAGCACATGATTTATAGATCATGTATATAAATATGGATTTATAGATCATGTATATAAATACAGACTTATCCATCAGTGCCTTCAGCTCTTCCTCCCCATGAGATGGCCTGGGGTGATAGCTCTCTCTTTCAACTTTTTTTTTATCAACTCCTATAACATTTTTTCTCCCATTATAACTCTGTTGTTATGGCTCAATGCTGAAATGTTTATCCTGAAAGTCTAGAAAACAAATGTTCTCTCCAGTATAATTCCAGTATAATTGAATTTTCCCTTGTAACCAGGAAGTTTCTCATGCTGTTGCTTTTTCTATGTGTTCCCCTGCTCAGGTACTAGTTATCTTGTTTACATTTCTCTACTAATGGTTTACACTTATAGCCTTGGACATACTCTTTCTCTGCCTAATTAAACTCAGTGTCTTTTTCATCAGATTTGACTTCCAGTTTATCTACATGGGCTTCCCATGAGGAGACACAATCACACTGCAGGAGGCATTTCTTTAACTTTTGGGTAAGTAGCCTAAAAAAAACAAAGATTTTGTATTTTATTAGGATAATTTTTTGTGTTGTCTTTATGAGGTTTTTGGTTACTTAGGTAACTTGAGCTTTGAAGAAGTTAGGTCCTTTTAATCCATGTAACTTTCCGTATTACTCTTCAAGTCTTTTGATGATCACTGGTTGAATACATGGCTATATTTAATAGTGACCTGAGATTCTGCTTTGATTAGCCATGTTGAACCTTTGACATCTTTGGCAGGCTTCCTCAGGATCAAAATTCTAAAATAAGTCTTTTTTTATCTAGAATTGACTTAGGGATTTTACAGTTAGACCCCTGGAAAGCCTCAAAGAATTTATCTCTCATCCTATAGAGAAAATAAATGATTAGGCTTATTTGGTAAATTATATGGGAAACATTGTCAAATAATAAGTGATATTAGATCTTCTTTCAGTTACATTTGTGGGTATGCTATTGATATGATGTTTCAAAGATTATATAAATTCATATCAGTCTATAACGTTATCAGCCATAATTTTGGTTATGCTACATCTTCTTTAAAGCTATATTTGTATGGAGACGTTACTGATGTGAGTATATTCTAAAGATTATGTGAAATTTATAAAACCCTGATGGTTCTGATGTGATGCTATCAGTCACAGTCATGATTCTGTTTGCTACCTTAAAACACTATAGTAATTTTTAAAAAGTCAATTTCCTTATCAATTGCTGATTATAATGAATTTTTATCAGATGTTTAACCATGGCCATTTTGTTTTTGTGACCCAGAGTTATTGTTTTGATTTTTCTCCAAAAGCATTTGTAATCAGCTATTGTCCAAAATTGCTTTTCATGGAAGAGACTCAAACAGGAACTCTTAAATACGGTTTCCCGATAAAAGATCAATGGACTCAATAAAAAATTTTCAGAACTCTAATAAAGAAACTGAGAAATTCAAAAACCTCCAATCAAGCTCAAGCAGAAAAGCTGACTTCATGATATTGAAGAAGTGATGAGGGGAATATTTTTATGAATTTTATTTGAAGCATCGTTCGTTCTTAAATGTTTTGTTTGCCAGATTTAAGGAAATTTTCTCTCGTAAGTCATCTATAGTTTACAGTAATTTAATACAGTATACTTTTTGTGAACAAAGATGAAAGCAATTATTTTCCCCCCTACGTGACTCCTCCAAAATTTAGAAACTATTCACAAGTGTTCTTATGACGATGTGGCCATTTGTATAAGTCCAGATAAAAACTAGTTGTCTCCTCACTGCAGGATGTAATTGGAAACATCAGGTATATTACTAAGGCTTTGGCTGAAATACCATATTTGAAAAATATACATAGAATGCCTAGTTTCAGCCGGGCGGGGTGGCTCACCCCTGTAATCGCAGCACTTTGGAAGGCCAAGCCAAGCAGATCACCCGAGGTCAGGAGTTCGAGACCAGCCTGGCCAACATGGCAAAACCCCATCTCAATCCCGTCTCTACTAAAAATACAAAAATTAGCCAGGTGTGGTGGCGGGCACCTATAATCCCAGCTGCTCGGGAGACTCAGGCAGGAGACTCTTTTGAACATGGAAGGCAGAGGTTGCAGTGTGCCAAGATCACGCCACTGCACTCCAGCCTCGGCAACAAAGTGAGACTCCGTCTCAAAAAAAGAAAAAAGAATGCCTGGTTTCCAGGGTTCCTTATAATGAGTAAAAATCATCATTTCCTGGCAAGCCCAGAAACCTTAAAACTGTAAGTAAAAGCTAAAGCCTGTCTTGGTTTGGCTTACCAGCATAAAGAGGTATTGAAGTACGAGATTCCTATGTGATCAATGTACAGAGGAAAACTTATGCTTCCAAAGAAAAGCTGTAACACACCTGCTTTTAGATTGTAGCTCTGTGCATTATTTTCAAGTTCTTGTTTTCTACCTATAGACTAGATCCTGAATTCTTCTAGATTCTTCCAATCCAACTTTCTTCCATGGAGAAAAATGAGAACTGCTCTGTTCCTGAAGCCCTATAAGCTGAAGCTAGATAAATGCTAAGAAACAAGTCTCATGCTTGATGTCCGAGCCAGACAGAAAGTTCACCAGACTGCCCAATGCCACGACTAGAGACATTCAAACTGCAAAGCAAGATGAGGAATTTCACATTTTCACTCTGTAGACAGCTTCTCCCAAGTCATGGGAACAAGACTCCATATCATAATGGGACTCTTACCTGTCCTAGGGCCTACAGTTTTTACTTGGCTTCCTATTTTATTTATTCAATTAATTGCCTTGAATCCTGGATTCATTATTTATTCAATTAATTGCCTTTAATCCTAGACATTGCATAATCCTATTATGCAAACTAGGATTGTCATGTTATTACTAATTTTACTTTTTATTTTCCCTTTTTAAACTTTGTATCTGTTACTTGCTGAATTTTTTCAGAAGTACAACTTCTAACAGAATATTGCTAGCCCAGCACTTTGAGATAATAGCAAAAGACCACACCACAGACAAAATTGAACTTAATCATTTACTCCAGGTAGACTTAGCCTGAAAGCCACTGTCTTCAAACCTCCTTTGTTACTCAAATGTGGCTAAAAGGATTTTGACACTGACTCCTAGACATCAATCACTCCTTCAAACATGTGACCAGACCAGACACCTGGGACAGGCCCATCCAAATACTGAGGGACATCAGAACCTACCACAGCATGGTCCATCAGTGAGGCTTCCAGAGAAAGACCTTGACCAAAGGGAGAAAATATGATGAAAGTCGTCAGAATCAAAATGGAGTCCCTTGTGTTAAAAAACAAACAAACAAACGAAACTCTGACATATAAAGCCAGAGAAGGCTGAGAAGCATTCTCATGCATAAACACCTACTAGCAAAAACTATCACAAAAGACTATAAAAAACACAGCCTCGCACAAAGGCCATTGCAACCTTACACAAAAAAATACTTCTGCGAGGACAGCTGCCCAGCAACTGCCTGTGCGCCTCATACTGGCATCACCCTTGTTATTGATCCTTGTAGCCAAAGATTATTTCAAAACGATCATGTAATCGTCCTCATTTTTCCTTTAAAAACCTTTGTCGTCTTTTACCTCCCTGAATATGCACATAGTTTATGATGGTATGTGTGCTCCCACTGCAGTGCTTGGGGACCAAGCTCCCTCCACACCTCACTGTTCCCAAATAAATATTTTCTGTTAGAGCCTCTCTCTGTTCATTATTTAGCTCGACAGGTATTTGGTACAGCAGCCAAAACAGGCCAAGACATTGCCCGGAATCTTCCAGCAGTAGACTGGGGGCCCGGATTTGACCCTGGTCAGTTGGACACGGGCTTCTCTCACTCCACCAGATGAGGAACAAATAGTGAGGTGTGGCGGGAGCTTGGTCCCCAAACAGCTCCTCCGGCCATTTGCCCTCCCCACCCACGGACCAGAGACAGGACGAGGGTGAGCCCCGGTGTCAGCCATGTGCCCCAACCCCGGTGCCTCATTTGCTCCTAGGATGCGTCCTGTAGGTCATCTTCTTGCAGCTGTCCCGCTCAGTCTCCCCTCAACCCCTGCTCATGCTCTTGGTGAGCTTATCAATATTATGGTTTCCAATAGCTTCTGTTCATAGTTTCAACTCATATCTGTCCCTAAGTGTGGACTTTTATTCCACGCGTTGGCACTGGCAGTCAGCTATGTGCCTCCTACTCAAGGCATCTGAAACTGCAGGTGGGTAGTCGGCTAAGTCAGGCCCCAAAAGTGTCTTCATCCAGATTCCCAGAACTGTGACTCTGAGATCTTACATGGCAAAAGGGACTTTGCAGATGAGATTAAGCCAATGATCTTGAGATGAGGAGAGGGGCCTGGATTACTTGGGTGGCTCCGAATGTGGGCACAGGTGTCACAGGAGGGAGGCAGAGGGAGACGTGAGAAGGAGAAGGTGCCATGACTCCGAAGCCAGAGGCTCCTGCTGATCCTCCGGCCCCACCCCCACCCCACGGACCATGTGGTCTTTTTAAAACATGAATCTATCAGGACGGCCCATTCAAACCCACAGAGAGGTTCCCACTGCACCAAGAACAAAGTCAGAACTCTCAGGCCTGACCCACTGCCCTCGGCCACCCTGGAGCCCCAGTGCCCCCAGACCCGGTCCTGGCCTCAGAGTGTAACAGGCTCACTCCCACCACCCATCTGCATGGCAGGCGCCTTGCCATCGCCTCCCCTCTGAGAGCACAGACAGCCACAGCTGGCCTCCGGGTGAAAGGATGGATGAACAGTCAGGCCGGGCGAGTGCTCTCAGAGCCTGCTGGCCAACGGAGGCAGCCGCTCAGGCCTCTGCCTGAGCCATGTGCGATCACAGCTGCCGCCCAGCTGTCCCAAGGAGGCAGCTCTTGGCTTTTCCCCTGGGAGTCGAATTCGCAGGGAGTCCCATCCACAGGCCCCTGGGAGGCGGGAAGACATCTCGGTCTCCAAAGCCAGTAACCTGTGATTCCCCTGAGGATGGTGGGAACCTGGTGTGGGGCAGATGATCTGTATTTGAGCTTTGTTTCTCTCTAGCAATTATACCTAGGAAATACCCTAAAATGCACGACGCAATGCACATTGACCCCAGCAAACTCCCCACCCTGCGCCTGTTTCTAGTGCCGGGGCTGCTCCAGCACAGCCTGTGCACTTGACCGAATGTCTACAGCCCTGGCCCTCAGCCACACTGTGTTGTTTTCATGCACCTTCACCCAACAGAATTGCTCCAACAGAGTGATTCAGGGGGCTGCCCTCCAGCACCACTTCCCCTTTCCATGTTACGTAAATGTCCGTTGAGTCCTGACTGACTACAGAAATCTGTCTTCTGGGGGCATGTGATGCCCCAGGTGGCCCAGGGCCCCGCACAGGAATGTGTTTACAGCTTTCCCGGCACTGAAGCCACAGTCGTAACTCAGCCTCCTGACATGGGCCAGGGCCCTCGCCTCCGCACGCTCTGCAGCTCACCCGTGTCGCCACAGCCTGCTGGGCCTGGACGCCACCCTCTAAGGTGGCACTCGGGGCAGAAACATCTGTTTCCAGCTGGTAACAAACAGGACATGTCTGCCTCCCACACCTAAATCAATGCTTGACAAGCCTGGCCTGATCTCGGGGCGCTCACCACCAGCCACCTGCCTGGGCCCAGCCGACCTCCTCTCCCTTGGTATTTTGAGGGAAGGGTCTGAGCCCTTTCTGCCCCCCTAGACTTGTGGACAGAGGCCCCCCAAGACCTGGACAGAAATCAGGCCATAGTCTCCAGCCCCAAAGAGACTTCCAGAGGCCTGCACCTCTCCTCTCCAGCCGAGGCCCTGATGTCTGCGGCTGTGGCCATAGCCGGCTCTATACCTGCCAAGTTTATTCTAGAAAACATTGGTTTGGACAAGACCTCAAAACGGAATTGGGAAAATGAAAGAGAAAAGAGAAAGGATTTCTGCTCTCATTGTAAGGACAAAAAGCAAATTGAAGACCAGCACTGATACAGATCAATAATCACACCAGAAAAAAATATGGCAAAATATCTATATTCTCTTAAGGTGAATAAGTGTTCTCTCAGAATGAGGCTAAGGCCAGGAACAGTGAAAAGTAAGACTGATAAATTTGCCCACAAGGAAAAAAATAAAGTCTCTATAAGGACAAAGCCACCAAAAACAAAGTAAGCACCCCAGGAAAGAAAGTGACCAAAGTATCTAACATGAAAGAGAGCCTGTATTCGCATGAGCTCCCGAGAAACAGAACCCATAGATGTGGATGTGGATATCGACAGAAATAGGTATCAACATAGACACAGGCTATGGCCACAGGTATGGATAGAGGGAGAGATGCGAGAGAGAGATTTTAAGGAATTGGCTCACACAGTTGTGGAGACGAATGTCCAAAATCTGCAGGGCAAACCAGCAGGCTGGTGACCCAGAGAAGAGCTGAGGCTGCTGCTCCCGTCCAAAGTTCAGCCTGCTGGCAGAATTCTGTCCTCCTTGGGGACTGCCGTCTGTTTTCTCTTAAGGCCTCCAACTGCCTGGATGAGGCCCACCCACATTATGGATGATGATCTGCCTTACTCAAAGTCCACAGGTTGAAATGTTAATAACATCTAAAAATCACCTGCACTATCTAGACTGGTGTTTGGCCAAATATCTGGGTAGTATGGCCTGCCCAAGTTAACACCTAAAATTAACTATCAGAGTCCAAGTAAGTGAATGTAAAAAACAAACAAACAAACAAACAAAAACATGATGAATGAGACAAGCTCGACCTTGAAGAAGTTTTCAGTGGAACGTGGGGAAGAGGAGTTCTCTTTAGCCAGCTGCAGACACAAATAGCCAATAGAACACATGGAGAGTGTTAGAAGTCACAAATCGTCAATGGAAAGCAACTTACAATGTGATGTTCATTGAACATCTACTGTGTGCCAGGCCAAGGGCTAAGGTGGACACGTGCAGTGTGTCTGCACTGCGGCACTAAGGTCCTGGTGGGGAATGGATAATACAATTAAAAACAAATCACAAAGAAACCAGAAGAGGAAAAAAAGCAATTAAAAACAAATAAATGCTCCATAAAGGACAACAGCGCCAGCTGAGGGTGTGGCCATCAATGCCAGGCATCCAGAATATGTCCTTGGGGACATGGACCACTGGGAGGTGCATCCCAGGCAAAAGGAGCAGGAGGGGAAGGGTCCAGGCCAGAAACATGCTTGCCAAGTTCAAGAGCGGTGGGAAGGCCAGTGGGCTTGGGAAGGAGTGGGCTGGAAGGACAGGCCAGAGGCCAGACTGCATGGGGCCAGACTGGCCCTGATTCCAGCCTTGGACTTCACTCTGTGGTGATAGGAGACCCTCAGAGGGACTTGGGGAGGGGTTGTGTGTTTTCCTGGGAGCCACAGAAAAGTGAGTGACACTGGGCTGAGGAAGGAAGTCACAGGACCCACCAGTGTCTGCGCAGGAGTCCCAGTGGAAGAGCAGAAAAAATCCAGGAGAAGATACAAAAGTATTCAAAAGTAATTCAAAATAGCAAAAATCCAAAATATTCAATAATTTAAATGGTATTACTTAAAATAGTATTATAAATAATAAAAATATATTATTAAAAATAATAGATTACTGGCTTTAATACCAATGTACAGAAATCCGTTTTATTTCTATAGACCAGCAACAAACGGAAAATGTGATTCTTATAAAGATGCCAGATGTCTGCTTCTATTAAGGGCATACAGGGAACTCGGACCAGTTAGCAAATCTGAAAGAAGTATTTTAAAAATCTGTTTGAAGGTAATGGAGAGATACCAGAGTGGTGAATAATAGCCACCAAAGTAGCTGCCATTTGCAGTCACTTCCCCCTGAGCCCCTCCCCAAAAGCATTTGCTGATTCTGGGATAGTCAGTGAGAAGCTGAGCAGAAATCCTGACAATCTTAGAGCTAGGGAGAAAAACTCAGAGGCCAGGACTCACCAGGAGAAAGGCGCTTGGGAAGTACATGCACTTTGGATTAGAAACCCATGGACTTTCCTTATAGGAGCAAAGGTGAAGGAAATCATCCCTCACAGGAACTGCAACCAGATGCACTTTATTCAGGTCCTTAGAAAAGCTCAACCTCTACCACTGGGTTAAGTTGATCTCAGATTTTGAATTCCACCAGGAACCAGCCAGAAGCATATGAAAACCGTCTCTGGAAAATTATAACGTCATTTTAGGTTCAGTTGCTCAACCCAATACTTCTGAATACAGTATCCAGCACACAATCACAAAGAACCACACATACAAGTAGACGAAGCAACATGAGTAAGAACAGCAAAAACGGAAGATCAACAGGGACTCCAGACCTCAGCTATGGGAATTAGCACATGAAGACTTTCTTAATACTTTTTATTTCAATAGCTTTTGGGATACAAGTAGTTTTTGGTTACACGGATGAATTCTATAGTGGTTAATTCTGAGATTTTAGGGCACCCATCATCCAAGTAGTGTACACTGTACCCAATATGTAGTTTTTTATCCCTCACCTCCCCCACCCACTTGTAATCCCAGTGCTTTGAGATGCCAGGAGGTTTGGGACCAGCCTGGGCAACATGGCAAGACCCTATCTCTACAAAAAATGTTTAATAATTACCTGGGCATAGTGGTACTTGTCTGTAGCCCCCACTATCTGAGAGGTTAGGTGGGATAATCACTTGAGCCAGAAGTTTGGGGCTACAGGGAGCTGTGATTGAATCACTGCACTCCAGCTTGGGTGACAGAGTGAGGCCCCATCTCTGAAAAAAAATAAAAATAAGTAAAATTTTAAAACTGATAAAATAACAGTGCTACTAGGTTTGAAGAGTTTAAACACAATCTGAAAATTTCATCATAAATTGAAAACTATAAAACACACATAGCAGATCTTTTTTAATTCAGAATTTTAGAACAGAAGTATACAATGAAGAGCTCAAATGATGGGTTTAAGAGCAGACTTAACACAGCTGAAGAAAGAATTAGTGAATCAGAAGTTGGATCAGAAGAAAATATCTAGAATGAAGGATAGACAAAAACACAGCATGGAACTGGAGGGTTAAAAGAAGAGAGTATCCACCGATAAGGTCTAACATATAGGTAGTTAGAGTCCCAGAAGGAGAAGTGAGAAGGAAGAGAAGAAACATTTTTAAAGAGGCAATTGCAGAAATCTTCCCAAACTTAAGGAAATATCCTACCCCATCATTCATATGGAATAAAATACGTAGAAAATCTCATCTATGCCAGGCGTGGTGGCTCATGCCTGCAATCTCAGCAACTTTGGGAGGCTGAGGCAGGCAGATCACTTGAGGCCAGGAGCTTCAGACCAACCTGGCCAACATGGTGAAACCCTGTCTCTAGTAAAAATACAAAAATTAGCTGGGTGTGGTAGTACTCATCTGTAATTCCAGCTGCTTGGGAAGCTGAGGCAGGAGAATCTCTTGAACCCGGGAGGTGGAGGTTGCAGTGAGCCAAGATTGCACCACTGCACTCCAGCCTGGGTGACAGAGCAAGACTCTGAAGAAAATAAAATAAAATAAAACCACATCTATCCATAACATTATAAAACTCCTGAAGACTAAAAAAAAAAAGAGGCTATCTTAAGAGTAGCCAAGGTCGGGGAAGCTCACAATACCTTTAAAGGAGGACCAGTGAGGCTGGCAGCTAATGTCGTAACAGAAACAAGAACAGAATGAGATGCTGTCTTAGGCTGGCAGCTAATGTCGTAACAGAAACAAGAACAGAATGAGATGCTGTCTTTACAGTGCTAAAAGAAATACCTGCTAAGCCAGGGAAACTATCTTTGGAAAATAAAGATGACTTTTCTTTTTCTCTTCTTTTCAATTTTCATTCCCTAGGGCTATCCTAACAAGGACCGTAAAGAACAGAAGTGTATTCTTGCACAGCTCTGGAAGCTGGAAGTCTAAACTCAAGGTGTCAGGAGGGCTGGGCTCTCTCTAAAGCCTCTAGGGTAGGATGCTTCTTGCCCCTTCTAGCTTCTTTTTTTTTTTTTATTTCTAAAACGACTTTATTGCTAAGAACCATGATTATTACTTAAAATAGATTTTTCAGTTACTGATATAAAATATGTTCCTTTTGAGAACAAATGGACACATAGAGGGGAATGACACACACTGGGGCCTATTGGAGGGTGGAGGCCGGGAGGAGGGAGAGGGTCAGGAAAAATAACTAAGGGGCACTAGGCTTAATACCTGGGTGATGAAATCATCTGTACGACAGATCCCCATGGCACACGTTTACCTGCGTAACAAACCTGCACGTGTACCCCTGAACTCAAAATAAAAGGTTTTTTAAAAAATGTTCTTTGTGCTTCTAAAAATGTCTAAATAATCCTATATGCATTTTTCTTATTTGCCTCTTATGCGTAGCTTACAGATTTAAAAGTACAATGTTGCTTGTTTTGTATTCATCTTGGTGGATCTAATAATTTACAAATAGGACATAGGCATGCTGATACAGTCAGCAGTTAATTCCTCCTTCTGACAGTGGGGTTTGGACATACAACCAGCAATGCGTGCAGGTGGAGAGACATAGAGGATCTTTTTTTTTTTTTTTTTTTGAGATGGAATTTTGCTCTTGTTGCCTAGGCTGGAGTGCAATGGTTCGATCTCGGTTCACTGCAACCTCCGTCTCCTGGGTTCAAGCAATTCTCCTGCCTCAGCCTCCTGAGTAGCTGGGATTACAGGCATGCGCCACCACGCCCAGCTAATTTTGTATTTTTAGTAGAGATGGGGTTTCACCATGATGGTCAGGCTGGTCTCCAACTCCCAATCTCAGGTGATCCACCCGCCTCGGCCTCCCAAAGTGCTGGGATTACAGGCGTGAGCCACCACGCCCTGTACGAAGTTTTAGGTCATCTGTGATTCACAAACGACCGGCTTCGAGAAGCTCTGGAACGTGCCAAACAAGGCACTGTGGAGTAGTTTGGCTCCATGTGACCTAAGAGAGGAAAATCTGTTGTCTTTGGGAACATTACACAATTCAGGTAAGATATGTGCATATTCTCAAGGGAAATTTAAGGTGCTCATACTCAATAAATAAACACAAGAGCAGCGTTACAGATAATATTCAAAGAGACAGAGGCTTCTTCATACCTGATGTGGTGGGAAGACCACTGGATGACTGGACACTGAGATACGTGGTTGACAGTCTCGTCTCTGAAACACATGATTTGAGTTTTGAGCTTAGACAAACTTGTTTTTCTCCAGCATCAGTTTTTTCATCAGTAAACAATAATAATAATACTGTGTTTATGCCAACATCATTAGGAAGATCACTTTAAATGGTGTATATAAAAGGATCCATCAACTTTAAAGCCAGTACCCAATATACACTCATAGATATCAGCGTATTACAGAAAAATAGTATTTATTTTGTGGTCAAGCATATCTGGATTCTAATCCCAATTCTACTAATTGCTCCCTTATCTTTTGTGTCCCGTGATCATCAATGTTTTTATCATTAGAATCTTGATAATATCTAGCTCACCATGTTTTTCTGGAAATTATATGAGATAACATATGCAAAGGACTTAGTGCAGCACCAGATGTGACTCTTCCAGCTCCTGTGGTTGCCGACTGCCCTGGGTGTTCCCGGGCCTGCAGACGCATCGCTCCAGCCTCTGCCTCTGTCTTCATGCAGTGTTCTCCCTGTATCTGTGTCTAAATGTTTCTCTTCTTATAATGGCACTGGCCATAGTGGATCTAGGACCCACTCTACTGTAGAGTGGCCTCATGTTATCGTGATTATATCTGCCAAGTCCCTCTTTCCAAATAAGGCCACATTCTCAAGTTCTTGGTGGACATAAATTTGGGGGTGACTCTATTCAACCCAGTATACTTTCTCTTCCTGAGAAGAGCAGTTTGGACTCAAAGCTGTTCGGTGGGCAGATCAAGGGTTGGGGGGTGTCTGCATGGTGGGGGTAGGAGGAGAGATGCAGGGGCCCAGAGCGGGAAGCCAGTGTGGAGTCCAGGCTCGGAGCACCCACATGAGCAGAGGTGGGCAGCCTGATATAGAAAGTCAGATCTTAAGTGGGGTGAGAAGGGTTCCAGATGGGGAGGAGTGCACACTAGAATGGAGGGGGAGCCAGAATGGCAGAGGGGAAGGGAGTACTGGCAGAGAGGGCAGGTTGGTCACACAAGGGGATTGGTCAAGTAAGTAAATACACCGAAAAGAATAGAAAAGAGAGAAGGCAGTTCCAAATACCAAAAGGGAGTGATATGGTTTGGATCTGTGTCCCCACCCAAATCTCATGTCGAATTGGGTTTCAATCTGTGTCCCCACCCAAATCTCATGTCGAATTGGGTTTGGATCTGTGTCCCCACCCAAATCTCATGTCGAATTGTAATCCCCGGTGTTGGAGGTGGGGCCTGGTGGGAGGTGGTTGGATCACGGGGGTGGGTTCTCATGAATGGTTTAGCACCATCCCCCTAGTGCTGTTTTCCTTATAGAGTCCTCCCGAGATCTGGCTGTTTAAAAGCACGTGGCACCTCCCTGGTCTCCTTTTCTCCTGCTCTGGGAATGTAAGACATGCCTGCTTCCCTTCACCTTCACCTTCCACCATGATTTTAAGTTCCTGAGGCCTCCCCAGAAGCCAAGCAGAAGCCACTATGCTTCCCGGACAGCCTGCAGAACCGTGAGTCAATTAAACCTCTTTTCCTTATAAATTACCCAGCCTCAGGTATTTCTTTATAGCAGTTCAAGAACAGACTACAGGGAGAAACTGGAATGAATCCTATGGTACTGGATTGGAATTTGATCCGTAAGTTTGAATTCATGGTTTCTAACATAAATAGCCATTATATAGGAGTTGTCCTGATTTGTAGAAAACACACTAAAATATTCATGAAGGAGGAGGTGTCAGGTCAAAAAAATACTCTCTTGAATGATTCAGATAAAAATTGTTTGTACTTTTCTTGCAACTTCCAATTTTTGGCTGAAGCTAAAGAAATATTTTCAGACAAAACAGAATATTTGTTGCCAGAAGACACACATTAAAGGAACTGCTTAAAGATAGGTTTAAGAAAGAAGGAAAATGATCCCAGAGGAAGCCTCAGAGATGAAAAAAAGAATTTAAGAGTGTAAAGTACACAGGTGAGTACATTTTAAGAGTTATTAACTAATAACAATGATGATGTGATGGATAGTGAGGATAGAAAATTAAAACAATTCAGATGCATAGCAATAACATATAAGTAATGAAGGGCTAATAACACTGCATCATCATATCTGAAAAGAAGATCAAAGAATTAGTGACAAATTTCTTGATAAATTTAACTAATAGAAAAAAATGCAACTGTAAGAAAGTCCATCCAAAGGGAAGCAAGGAAAAAGGGATAAAAGAAGACCAACAAGGACAGCATTATCTCACTTATTTGTGGAATCTTAAAAGAGTTGAGCTCATAAAAGTAGATATTAGAATGGTGGTTACCAGAGGCTAGAGGCAGAGAGGGAGAGAATGGAGCGTGGTTGGTCAAAGGGTACAAAGTCTCAGGTAGACAGGAGGAATAAGTTCTGAGATCTATTGCATGACAGAGTGACTATATTCAGTAATAATGTATATTTTGAGATAACTAAGAGAGTAAATTGAAAGGGTCTCTCCACAAAAAAATAAGTAAATGAGGTAACAGATATATTAATTAGCTTGATTCAATCATTCCACGTTGTTTACATGTATGAAAATATTGTGGCTGGGCACAGTGGCTCACACCTGTAATCCCAGCACTTTGGGAGGCCAAGGCGGGTGGATCACTTGATGTCAGGAATTTGAGACCAGCCTGGCCAACATGGTGAAACCTAGTCTCCACTAAAAATACAAAAATCAGCTGGGCGTGGTGGCACATGCCTGTAATCCTAGCTACTTGGGAGGCTGAGGCATGAGAATCACTTGAACCCAGGAGACAGAGGTTGTAGTGAGCTGAGATCATGCCACTGCACTCCAGCTTGGGTGACAGAGCCAGACTCTGTCTCGAAGAAACAAACAAACAAACAAAAAACATTGCATTGAACTCCATAAATGTATCTAATTATGATTTGTCAATTAGAAATTATATTAATTTTAAAACCACATTGCTAGATAGGAGATTTAGGCTCAAATATATCAGTATTTACATTAAATGTAAATGGGCTGGGAGTAATGTCACTGAAAATGGCAGCTCCAAAAATGTGTCCCTTCACGAAAGCAACAATTAAGCTGGCAAAAAACTGACAGAATTCATTTTTTCATAACTCTAGAATATAACCAAAAACTTAAAACAAAGGGTGCTTAATGAAGAAAGAAACTGCTAAATTTGGGTAAGAGAGAATTGTGGAATTTTCTTACCTGCCTATAAAGCCCTCATTTTCCAGCTCAGAAGTAGCCAGGGCAACAGCAGCCCATCTTCCCGGTGTGGTTTGCTGGTGCCAGAGGGAGTAAAAAAGCCGTTGTCATCAAAGAATTGTGCTTGCGAATCTCAACCTATCTGACAGCTCTCTGAGGGATCAGCTCAGGATCTTGCCTTTGTTTTGCTCACCCTGCTCCTGCCCTTCCTCCCCTGTGTCCTACCCCCAACAAACACACACAGAATTCTCTACAGGATGGAACAGCCTCCTGGGCAGCATACATGGAAAGTATTTAAAGGTATATACTTGTCACAACCATCTAGGTCAACAGATAATAGAAAGGGAAAACAGTAGACAGGCTAAAACGCCTAGGAAGAAAAAGGCTAAGGAAGGAAACGTGGGGAAATTAGAACTTTAAAAAACTCCCACATATACTAAGGAATTCAAACAGCCACATGTATTTCTAGATGTATGCTCAGATAAGACCTGAGAAGACCCTAAGCTTTTACCTCTGGCTGGTCATTAGGCTTCACATGAGCAGGAAGTAAAGGCTAAGGCAGAGTTGTAAATGACCTGGTTAAGTGTTGCAGCAGTGCTCTAACCCAGAGCCAGCCTGCAAAGAACAGGAGGGTCTTCTTCCTCTTTCTTTCTTTCTTTCTTCTTTTGGCTTAAGAAATTTAAGAAGATCTGTGAAAACACTAGCTGACCACTAAACTAACATAACAAAGATTTCAGTGGCCACATATGACAAAAGTCTTCACAAAAGTAGTTTAGACAAGTCACTAAACAACTATAACACAAAACAAGCAGCAATAACAAACCCTAGGGAGAAGAAAGAATCTAGTTTCCCATATTATAATATTTATTCAAATTTTCCAGTTTTTAACAAAGAAGTATGAGACATGCAGAAAAACAAGAAATATGACCCTTTCACAGGAAAAGGTAAATTAACGGAAACTTCCCCTGAGGAAGCCCAGGCTGTGAACTTACTAGAAAAAGGCCTTAAATCAACTGTCTTAAATATTCTCAAAGAGCTAAAGGAAACCAGGAGAACAATGCCTCAGAACTAGTGATTATCAGTAAAGAGATAGAAATTATAAAATAGCGCCAAATAGAATTCTTGAAATGCAAAGTACTGTAACTAAAGTGAAAAACTCACTACAGGTTCAAGAGGAAACTTGAGCAGGTAGAAGAATCAGTGAACTTGAAGGTAGGCCAATTAAAATTCTCCCAACTAAAGAGCAGAAAAAAGATAAGGAAAATGAGCTTAATTTGAACAATATGATCAATAAATTTGATCTACTAGGCATATACAGACCTTAGAAAGAGCAGCTACAGAATGCACCTTCATTTTGAGCCAGGTGGAATATTCACACATTATACCATTTATGACCACAAAGGAAGATTTAACACATTTTGAAAGGCTAAAAGTATTTAGTTATGATGTGATCACAGTGCTAAGTCAGAAATAAATAACAAAGAGGTAAGTTAAAATACACATATGCTTGGAAAATAAGATAAAAACTGCTAAATAACCCTGAAGCTAAAGAAGAAATCATAATGGAAACATTAAAATTTTAAAAAGTTTAAAATATTTTTAACTGAATAATAAGGGAAATACTACATATCAAAACATGGTGAGATGCAGCCTAAACAGTGCTTAGAGGAAAACTTATAGCCTTAGAAGCATGTATTATGAAAGATAAAATCCTGAAAGTTGATGAACTAAAAATTCACCTGAAGAAGTTAAAAAAGAATGTAAAACCAACTGAAAATAGAAGGAAAGAGATCATTAAAATAATATAAGAAAATGATTGAACTGAGGATAATAAAGCAAAGAAATGATCAACCAAGTGAATTAACAAAATTGATAAATCTCTGATAACACTTGTTGGGGAAGAAAAGAGAAAATGCAAATAACTAATGTCAGAAATAAAAAGGGACGACACACACATCCTGCGGATGTTTAAAATGTAAAAAAGAATATTTGGGAAAGCTTTAAGCTACTAAGTGTGAACAATTGGATGAAATCTAACTGGATAAATGTAAGTATTAAAAAAGTTTAATCTACAATTTATAACCTTACCCCAGAGAAAACTGTGAACCAGACATGATTTCATAGGGGATTTCTGATCAATATTTAGGGAAATATCAACACTCTTAGACAAACTCTTCCAGGGATCTGAAGAAGAGTCCATGCCCTGTAAGCTACTGTATGAAGCCAGTGTAATCTGAGTTCCGTTGGGACTGCAACCGATAAAGTAATTCATCACAGAAATGACCTCAGGAAACTGGCCTTCAGAACGGGCTTCTGGGAAGTTGTCTCACATATTTGAGGACCACAGGCATAATTCATTGCCCGCAGGAAATGGGGCAGCCATACATGACATGTGGTGGCACCATGATGTCTCAGACTGTCACTGACAGGAGTGCATCCAAAGTACAAGGAGAGAAAAAGGCATGGGCAGGTCAAGATGCAGTAGCACTTTGTTGTCATGGCAACAAGAGGGCTGCTAAAGATTATGGAGTCACCAACTTTTTCTCATGACCATAGAGAGTGTACACAGGGGAAAAGAAACAGTGAAAGCTATGAACATAGCAAAAAGAACATATACAGAGAGCCATGGACGCTTGAAGGAGTCCCTTACCTCCTGGTCATGGGTCAGATAGAGCTGATACCCAACCAATTCACTACAGATGAAAGTCTTAGAAATTGTGGGGCTACAACATGCAAAGTTTTATCATCATCCCACATAACACTAAACAGGAGGCTCTAACTGCATTCTTGTTGGACATGTATCCAATTTCAGAATAGTGTTCCAAGAATCTGCCTCCTAGGACCACTTTTGTTGGTGTCAGGGATCCCCAGAAGCTGATCTTGAGAGAATATTTTAAGTGGACAGTTTGTTTGAGAGGTGATGCCAGGAAACACTGGTGGAAGAGTTGGGGATGAAAGGAAGCCAATAAAAAGTGCACTAATAAGCATGTTACCATGGAAATAACTGTAACTGAAATTCACCAGGGCCCTCAGGAAGCCAGTGTCAAACAAACACCTTCTCAGTACGTCCCCCCAACACACACCAGCAGCAAGGGAGTTTGGGGTATTTATATGCTAACTTATTAGTCATTGGTTGATGGCAGTTTGTGCAGAGCAAAATCCTGTGCAACTTCAGGCCTGTTGTGCACAGAAACCCTGACTACCAGAGAAAACCCTCAGGCAAGAAGATGCAGATGCTAGCAGTTTGAGGTTACACCAGTATACACTAAAGTGTAAAGGCCCAAGGCACCTGGAGTGCACCAAAAACTATTGCCACAGGTGTACAAATGTTCAAATTAACAAGAAAATGCCATGTCATCCTCCAAAGTCATGGCACCAATTCACATTCCCATCAGCAAATCTGAGACCTTATCCAATACCAATATCCTGACCTGAAACTAGATCATCATTTATTTGCATCTGTGTTTCCTTCTTTTATGTATCCTTTTGTCTCTTGATCAGAGTTAGCCACACTCTTTATTTTGTATGCATCATTCCCTCCCTTTCCATAAAAAAAATTTATCAAATATGGCCGGGCGCAGTGGCTCCCATCTGTAATCCCAGCACGTTGGGAGGCCGAGGCAGGCAGATCACCAGAGGTCAGGAGTTCAAGACCAGCCTGGCCAACATGGAGAAACCCCGTCTCTACTAAAAATACAAAAATTAGCTGGGTGTCATGGCACACACCTGTAGTCCCAGCTACTCAGGAGGCTGATGCAGGACAATCTCTTGAACCTTGGATGTGGAGGTTGCAGTAAGCCAAGATGGCACCACTGCACTCCAGCCTGGATGACAGAGGCAGACTGTCTCAAAAAAAAAAAATTATCAAATATGTATGTATATCTGAACTTGTCTGATTCTGTTTGCCCTTGAGCTATGTAAAATTATATCATACTATATGCAGTTGTCTGCATTGGCATTTTTTACCAATTTTTTTACATCTTGTTTCCAAGATTCATCTATGTTGTTGTGGGGAGTTGTAATTTATTCACTTTTACTGCTGTATAGGTTTCCAGAATTTATTTTCCTTGGATAATTGTTTCAAAATTTTTCTATTATTAGCTGCCTTACTATTGCATTCTTGTTCCTGTCTGTTGAGATCCTGTTATAGGCTGAATATGTCCTCACCTCTCCCCAAATTCATATATGGAAGCCCTAATCCTCAATGTGATGGATTTGGAGATGGGGCCTTTGGGAAGTGATTAGTTTTTGATGAAGTCAGGAGGGTGGGCCCCCACGGTGGTGGTGGTCATGAGGGTGGTCCTCATAGGAAGAGGAAGAAACGGAAGAGCCTCACTCTCTCTGCCATGTGAATGCACCATGAGAAGGTGGCCATCTTCAAGCCAGGAAGACAGCCCTCATCAGAACCCAGCCACGCTGGCACCCAGATTCTGGACTTCCAACCTCCAGAACAAAGAAAACTAAATTTTTGTTGTTTAAGCCACCCAGTCTATGGTATTTTTGTCAGGACAGCCCACACTAAGATGGATACTAGTGGGAGAGTTTCTCTATGAAATATGCACAGGAGTGGAAGTACTGAGGTATAGAATATTATCCCTATTTAGTTTTCTGGAAAGTGTTTTATCAAGCATGTTACCATGACAATTAACTAGAGTCTAACACCTCTGGGGAATTTTGATTATCGTTGTAGAATATATGCCTTAGAATTATCACCAGGGACAAGTGACCTCAGGCATTTACACACACAAGCTCCCATCAGCCATGGGTTAAGAGCTGCTCCAATGAGTACTAATTCCTGGCACTTCTGTTCTGTATTCATTTAGGCTCTGGAAGCCACAGGAAGCAATCAGACAAAAAGTTTCAGGTGTCGTGGCTGGGCATAGTGGCTTATGCTTGTAATACCAGCACTTTGGGAGGCTGAAGCAGGAGGATCACTTCAGCCCAGGAGTTCAGAACCAGCCTGGGCAATATAGTGAGACCACATTTCTACAAAAAATTTAAAAATTAGCTGAGTGTGGTGATGCATGCCTATAGTCCCTGTTACTCAGTAGGCTAAGGCAGAAGGATCGCCTGAGCCCAGGAAGTTGAGGTTGCAGTGAGCCGTGGTCTCACCACTGTGTGCATTCCAGCCTAGGTGACAGAGCAAGACTCTCTCTCTCTCTCTCTCTCTCTCTCTCTCTCTCTCTCTCTCTCTCTCTCTCTATATATATATATATATATATATATATATATATATATATATATATATATGGCTGGGTGCAGTGGCTCATGCCTAATAATCCCAGCACTTTGGGAGGCCAAGGCGGGCAGATCCCTGAGGTCAGGAGTTCAAGACCAGCCTGGCCAACGTGGTGAAACCCCACCTCTACTAAAAATACAAAAATTAGCCAAGCATGGTGGTGCATGCCTGTAGTCCCAGCTATTTGGGAGGCTGGAGTAGGGGAATCATTGAACCCAGAAGGCGGAGGTTGCAGTGAGCCAAGGTCATGCCACCACACTCCAGCTTGGGCAACAGAGCGAGACTCTGTAAAAAAAAAAAAAAAAAAGAAAAGAAAAGAAAAGAAAAAAGAAAAAAAAAGGAACACAGAAGGCACAAACAGCATCCACTACAGTCACCCCTCGCATGTCTAAGGTGCACTTGCACCCCACAGTGATGTCACCACTTCCTATTATTTCCTCTGAAAATGAACCCATTTTGAGATGGGCTTGGGCCAGAATTACCCTTACCCACTGATCCCTGTAAACACTCACTCTAACAGGTGAGGAGTGAAGAGAATAGGGAGGCTTCTATGGTATTCTGGTCCCTCAATTCATTATCTGGGTTCATGGAACAACTACAGATTCTGCTGTTGCAACTGATCCCGAGGCCTTCATTGGCCTTTGTCATCTCCCTTTTGGAGATAGGTTTCTAAGGGTTTCCCTTGACCATGGCAAGAACTTCTGCTGGGCTATGCTCTATGCCTGGTGGGATGATCCAAACCTCCATTTTCTGCAGAATTACAGACCCCAACAAAAATGTCCTTATTCCAGGTCTTGAGGTCCCACTCCTTCATTATTGGGGTGCTTTCCTTAGTGGAAGAGAACTTTGAGCTCCTGGATTCAGCCTTCTTTGTAATCCCACTACTCTTACAATCAGGTTCTGGGCCCAATTTTCAGTAGTTTCTTCTCCAGCTGCAGGAGATGGAGTTTTTTCTAATGCTGTGATGAAGGTTTTCTGAAATTTGCACCATTTCCTGAGTTGAAAGGGGTTCAACTGAGCCTGTTGTTATATTTCTTCAGTGATTCAATTTCACTAAACAACAACCAAACTATTCCACCATTCTTATGATCCTGTCTTTCTCAAAGGCCAGAGAAATTACATAAGGAGCACATCCCCCAACACTGTAACACTTTCTATCTATGTCCCATTATCATAATGCCAGGAGAAGTTATTTACAAAGGGTTATTTACAAAAGTGCAAGTGAGATGTAAGAGAACCACTAGGGATAGTGCAGTAAGCCAGGTTAGGTAACAGGAGGGCTGTTGCTGCCCACAAAACCAAATCTCAAGGTGTTTTAGACAAGACACAAACTGTAAAAGACTTATTGGTAAATTTAACTATACAAAAATTAAAAAGTCATGTCCATCAAAAGATAAAGAAAGTGAAAGACAAGTCACAACCCGGGAAAATACATATGCAACACCTAAACTTAACAAAGGAATATTATCAAAAATGTGTAAACTCCTACAAATAAAGAAGAAAAGGATAAATATCCCAATAGAAAATAAAGGCCAACAGCTTAGGCAACATGGCAAAACCCCATCTCTACAAAAAATACAAAAATTAGCTGGGCATGGTGGCACACACCTATAGTCCTAGCTACTTGGGAAGCTGAGGTGGGAGGATCGCTTGACCCCAGGAGGTCGAGGCTGCAGTCAGCCATGATTGTGCCACTGCACTCCAGCCTGGGAGACAGAGTCAGACCCTGTCTCAATCAATCAACCAATCAATCAAGTAAAATAAAGACCAAAAGACACGAACAGGTATTTCAGAGAATAAAAAAAATACATAAGGCCAATAAACAGTTTAGAAGGTGTCAGCTTCACTAGCAATCAGAAAAAAAGTCAAATCAAGAGAAGAATATTCAAGAAATCATGTTAGCAAAATGATGTTGGCAAAAATTAAGAAGTTGAACCATAATCATTAAGACATAGATTCACAGCCTCCAAGTACGAATGATCCTCCGACCTCAGCCCCCCAAGTAACTGGGACTACAGGTGCATGCCAACATGCCCAGCTAATTTTTTTTCTTTTTTGTTTTTTTCATTTATTTGTAGAGACTGGGTTTTGCCATGTTGCCCAGGCTAGTCTCGAACTCCTGTGCTCAAGCAATCCGCCCATCTTGGCCTCCCAAAGTGCTGGGATTACAGGCGTAAGCCACCCCACCGGGCCCAGAATGCTTTCTTAATCTAAAAACTCCCCTAAGTAGCCAGGCGCAGTGGCTCACGCCTGTAATCCCAGCACTTTGGGAGGCCAAGGCGGGTGGATCACGAGGTCAAGAGATGGAGACCATCCTGGCAAACATGGCGAAACCCCGTCTCTACTAAAAATACAAAAATTAGCTGGGCATGGTGGCGCGTGCCTGTATTCCCAGCTACTCAGGAGACTGAGGCAGGAGAACTGCTTGAACCCAGGAAGCAGAGGTTGCAGTGAGCCGAGATCACACCACTGCACTCCAGCCTGGGCGACAGAGCGAGACTCCGTCTCAAAACAAAAACAAAAACCAAACTCCCCTAAGTAGGGCTATTTTCCTGTCCCTGATGCCACCTTGACAACATAAGTCAACCACTGTTCCACATTTGTCTTTTAGGAACGCCCCAGGACTGTCGGCTGCTGTCCATGGTGCTGCCTTGGTCAGACACGTGGTGTCCAAGCTGCTGTCCGTGGTTCTGCTTTCATTTTTCTGTGTAGCATAATGATTTTTTTGTTTATTTCTTTGTTTAATTAATTGATTTTCTCTTTTTAGAACAGCGCTAGGTTTGCAAACAAATTGAACAAAAAGTCCATAGACTTTTTACATACCCAGCGCCTCTCTATACATATACAGTGTCACCTACTGTCATTGTGCATCTGTATGGCACATTTGTTACAAATGATGAGTCGATATTGATACATTATCATTAACTGAAATCCGTAGTTTACCTTAGGGTTCACTACTTGTGTTGTATAGTTCATGAGTTTTGACAAATGTGCAATGTCACGTATCCACCATGGCAGTGTTATGCAGAATAGTATCCCCTATATTTCACTATTCATTCCTCACCCCTCACCCCAAACCCTGGCAACTGCTGATCTTTCTACTCTCTCTGTAGTTTTGCCTTTCCAAATATATAGTTTGGAAACGTACATTATTTAGCCTTCTCCAACTGGCTGCTTTCACTTAGCAATATGTATTTAAGATTCCTCCATGCGTTCTGTGGTTTAATAGTTTTTTGTTTTTGTTTTTTGTTTTTGATAGGGTCTTCCTCTGTCACCCAGGCTGGAGTGCAGTGGTGCAATCATATTTCACTATAGCTTCAGCCTCCCAGGCTCAAGCGATCCTCTTGCCTTAGCCTCCAACACAGCTGGGATTACAGGCACCACCATCATGCTCATTTTTTAATTTTTCATAGAGATGGTATCTGGCTATATTGCCCAGGCTGATCTAGAACTCTTGGGCTCAAGTGATCCTCCTGTCTCAACCTCCCAAAGTGCTGGGATCACAGTGTGAGCCACCATGCCTGCCCTTGATAGCTCACTTTTTATTGCTGAATAATATTCCACTGTCCGGATGTACCACGGTTAACTGAACCATTCACCTGTGAATGGTATCTTAGTTACTTCCAAGTTTGGCAATTGCGAGGAAAGCTGCTATAAAAGCTCACGTGCAGATTTTTGTGTGGACATAAGTTTTCAACTCATTTGAATAAATACCTAGGAGTGTGATTGTATGGTAAGATAAGATTTAGCTTTTAAAACTGTCAAACTGTCTTCCAAAGTGGCTGCACCATTTGTATTCCCACCAGCAATGAAAGAGAGTTCTTTATGCCTCACATCCTCCACAGCATTTGGCGTTGAGAGCTTTTTGTTTCATTTGTTTTCTTTGGGATTTTCTCCATTCTAGTAGCTGGTCGTGGTAGCTCATTGTTGTTTTCATTTGCCATCCCAATGGCACACCACGTGGAGCATATTTTCATGTGCTTATTTGCCATCCGCAAGCCTTCTTTGGTGAGGTGTCTGTTCAGATCTTTTGCCCATGTTTTAATTGGGTTGCTTGTTTTCTTATTGTTTAAATTTAATAATGGTTCTTTAAGTGTTTTAGATACAAGTCTTTTATCAGATATATATTTTCTCCTCCCAGTCTGTGGCCTGCCTTTTTCATTCTCTTGACAATGTCTTTCACATGTAGACATTTTTTCATTTTAATAAAGCTCAGTTAACTAATTTTTCTTTTTATACAAATTGTGATTTTTGTGTTATATCTAAAAACTCATTGCCAAGCCCAAGATCATCTGGATTTTCTCCTGTTATCTTCTAAAATTTCATAGTTTTAGGCTTTACATTTGGGCCTATGATCCACTTTGAGTTGATTTTTGTGAAAAGCATAAGGCCTGTGTCTAGATTCTTTTTTTTTTTTTTTTTTTTTTTTTTTTTGCTTTGGTGCCATGTAGTGAAAAGATGACGCTTTCTCCATTGAACTGCCTTTGCTCCTTTGTTGAAGATCAGTTGACTATGTTTATGGGCGTCTATTATCAGAAAGTTTTGTTCTATGGATTTATTTGTCTATCCTTTCACCAATTCCACACTCCTGATTATTGTGGCTTCACAGTAAGTCTTGCATAAAAGTTGGGAAGAGTCAGTCCTCTAACTTTGTTCTTCTTCAATATTGTGTTGTCTCTTCTGAGTACTTTCCCTTCCCATATAAACTGTAGAATCAGTTTGCCAACATCCATAAAATAATGTGGTGGGAATTTGATTAGGATTGTGTTAAATCTATATATAAAGTTGGGAAGAACTGACATCTTAAGAATATTGTTTTTCTTTTCATGAACGTGGAATATCTCTCGACTGATTTAGATCTTCTTTCATTTCTTTTATCACAGTTTTATAGTTTTCCTAGTATATATCTTGTATATGTTTTATTAGATTTATACCCAAGTATTTCAGTTTCTGGTGCTAATTTAAATGGTATTCGGTTTTCCACTTTAAATCCCAATTGTTCATTGCTGGTATATAGGGAAAAAATGGCTTTTGCCCATTAAACTTAACGTCCTTCAAATTTGCTTTTAGGCCATTCTTGCGTTGCTATAAAGAAATACTTGAGGTTGGGTAATTTTTTTTTTTTTTAAAAGAGGTTTAATTGGCTCACGGTTCTACAGGCTGTACAGAAAGCATGGCAGCCTCTGCTTCTGGGGAGGCCTCAGGAAGCTTCCAATCATGGCAAACAGCAAAGGGAGAGAAGCCATATCACATGGCCGAAGCAGAAGCAAGAAAGAGACTCTGTGGAGGGGGAGGTGGCACACACTTCTAACGACTAGATCTCGTCTGAACTCTGAGCGAGAGCTCACTCATCACCAAAGGGCTGGCACAAACCATTCATGAGGATCTGCCCCCATGATTTAAACACCTCCCAGCAGGCCCCACCTCCAGCATTGGGGATTACATTTCAACATGAGATTTGGGTAGGAACAAATACCCAAACTATATCATTGCTATAATCACTTATTAGTTCCAGGAGGTTTTTTGTCGATTATTTGGGATTTTCTGCAGAGATATCATGTCATCTGATGACAAACGCAGCTTCATTTCTTCTCCTCCAATCTGTATATCTTATACTTGCTTTTCATGTTTTAATGCATTAGCTAAGACTTCCAGCATGGTGTTAATTGGGACTGGTAAGGGGACCTACTCACCTGTTGCTTCTCACCACGAAGTACAATGTTAGCAGTAGGTTTTTTGTAGATGTCCTTTATAAATTTGAGAGTATTCCCCTTTATTCAAAGTTTGCTGAGAGTTTTTATGATAAATTGAGTTGTATTTTGTCAGACACTTTTTTGTTATCTATTGATATGACCACATGAGTTTTCTTAATCTTTTGAAGAGATGGATTATATTAATTGACTTTTAGGTGGAAAGCTTATATTAATTGATTTTGAATGTCCAATCAGCCTTGTTTCTATTACTGAGAGTTCTCCAGATTAACAGAACCAATAGAATAGGGTGTGTGTGTGTGTGTGTGTGTGTGTGAGAGAGAGAGAGAGAGAGAGACAGAGACAGAGAGAGAGAGAGAATTTTAAGGAATTGGCTCACATGGGTGTGGAGGCCTGCAGGTCCAAAATCATCAAATCGGTAGTGTGGAACCTGACCTAGGGAAGAGATGATGTTCCAGCTTGAGTCCAAAGATCTTCTGGAGGCAAAATTCCATCTTCCTCAGGGGACCTCAATCTGTCTTTTTTAATAGTCTTCAACTGATTGGATGAGGCCCACCCACATTTTGGAGGATGATCTGCTTTACTTAAAGTCTAACAACTTAAATGTTAATCCTGTCTAAAAAAATACCTTCACAACATCCAGACTGATGTTTGACCAAATATTGGGTTCCAAGACCTAGCCAAGTTGACAAGTAAAATCAGCCATCATATTTGCATACCTGGGATAAATCTCAATGGGTATATTATTTTTTATACATGGTTGGATTTCATTTGCTAGTATTTCATTAACATTAGATTTTACACTGTCGATATTGAAGGTAAGCAATCTTTGAAAAAGACTACTAGAACTCACCCATAGCTGTTTTTCTCCTTCCTTTGACTCCTGCTAGACTGTGTTTCCCAGTGCCATCACATGTGGATGGAGACCTGTTACCAGTTCTGTTCAATGAGTAATGTGAATAAGTCAGACAGTACTTTGAAGAGTTGTGATGCTGTAACAAAAAATAATATTATGTGGCTCATGCCTGTAATCCCAGCACTTCGGGAAGCTGAGGCAAGAGGATGATTTGAACTGAGTAATTCAAGATCAGCCTGGGCAACATAGCAATACTCCATCTCTAGAAAAAAAATTAAAAATTAGCCAAGCATGGAGGCACATGCCTGTAGTCCCAGCCACCAGGGAGGCTGAGGTGGAAGGATCACCTGAGCCTGCAGAAGCAGAGGGTGCAGTGAGCTGAGATCATACCACTGCACCCCAGCATAGGTGACAAAGTGAGACTCTATCTCAAAAAAATAAAATAAAAAACTTGCCTTAGAATATGAGAAGCAGTTAGCAAGGAAGCTGGTGTCAGGCTGGAGGACTGCAGATCCTTGTCATGCCTTAATAAATCAGTTGTTAACATTTGGAAGGCAGAGTCCCTGCCTATTCAGCCTGCAGCTCTAGGGTAAGAGATTGCAAAATCAAGTATTAAGAGTTTGTTGGCTACTATTAGCTCCCTTCATTAATTAACTAGAGAAAAGAGGTTAGGTCAGAGAATTGGTGGCTTTGTAAGCAAAAATTTTAAAAGAATAGAGAAAATCCAAAACTTACAAGGAGGGAGTGGAAAAGCTGGCTTCTTCTAGAACCCAAACAAGACAGGACACCAAGAAAGGTTTTAGATGATGAGGATGGCCAAGGTGTGATTTGCAGTGTGGCCTTCCCATCCATGGCCTCTTTCACAGATAATCTAATTTTTAATTTATTATTTTTGTGGATACATAATAATTATATATTAATGTATTTATGGGGTACACATGATATTTTGATACATGCCTAGAATGTGTAATGATCAAATCGGGGTAGTTAAAATATCTATCACCTCAAAATTTATCATTTCTTTGTGTTGGAAACATTTCAAATCTTCTCTTCTAGCTATTTTGAAATATACAATAAATTATTGTTAACTATAGTCACCACACTGTGCTGTTAAACACTAGAACTTATTCCTTCTAACCAACTGTTTTGTGTGTGTGTGTGTGTGTTTTTTTTTTTTTTGAGACAGAGTCTTGCTCTATCATCCAGGCTGAAGTGCAATGGTGCAATCTCGACTCACTGCAGCCTCCGTCTCCCGGGTTCAAGCGATTCTCCTGCCTCAGCCTCCCAAGTAGGTGGGATTACAGGCACATGCCATATGCCCTGCTATTTTTTGTACTTTTACTAGAAACAGGGTTTCACCATGTTGTCCAGATTGGTCTCGAACTCCTGACCTCAGGTGATCCACCCACTTCAGCCTCAAAGTGCTGGGATTACAGGCGTGAGCCACAACACCCAACCTACCCAATTGTATTTTTGTATCCATTATACCAACCTCTCTTATCTCCTCCCCACAGCAGTGATCCTTCCCAGCCTCTGGTAACCACCATTCTCCTCTCTACCTCTATGAGATCCACATTTTTAGCTCCCACATATGAAAGAGGACACATGATATTTGACTTTCTGTGCCTGGCTTATTTCTCTTTAACATAATGACCTCCCTTTCCATCCATGTTGCTGGAAATTATAGGATTTCATTCTTTTTTATGGCTGAATAGTATTCCATTATGTATATATACCACATTTTCTTTATCCATTTATCCATTGATGGACACTTAGGTTGATACCCTATCTTAGCTATTGTGAACAGTGCTGCAATAAATATGGGAGTGTAGATATATCTCCAAAATATTGATTTCCTTTCTTTTGGATATATATGCATCAGTGAAATTGCTGAATTATATGGTAGTTCTATTTTTAATTTTTTGAAGAACTTCTACACTGTTTTCAATAATGGCTGTACTAATTTACATTCCAACTAGCAGTGAATGAGCATTCTCCTTTCTCCACATCCTCATCAGCATCTGTTCCTTTTTGTCTTTGGTAATAACTATTCTAAATGGGGTAAGATAATATCTCATTGTGATTTCGATTTGCATTTCCTAGATCATTAGTAATGTTGAGCATTTTTTCATGTACATGTTGGTCACACTTGCATGTCTTCTTTTGAGATATGCATATTCATGTCTTTTGTCCATTTTAATGGGATTTTTCTTGTTGTGGAGTTGAATTCCTTGTATATTCTGAATATTAGTCCCTTGTTGGATGAATTTTATCCCATCAAAAAGTTGACTCTTCACTCTGTTGACTGTTTCCTTGCTGTGCAGAAGCTTTTTAGTTTAATATAGTCCCATTTGTCTATTTCTGTTTCTGTTGCCAGTCATTTTGAGGTGTTAGCCATAAAATATTTGCTTATGACAATGTCCTGTAGTGTTTTCCCTATGTTTTCTTCTAGTAGTTTTATAATTTTTAGTCTTATGTTTAAGTCTTTAATACATTTTAGTTGTTTTTTTAATTCAGTGAGAGATTGGGACCTAGTTTTATTCTTCTGCATATGAATATCCAGTTTTCCTAGCATCATTTATTGAAGAGGCTGTCCTTTCCCAGCACTTTCATTGAAAATCAGTAGGCTATAAATATGTGGTTGTTTTGTTTCTAGGTTCTCAATTCTGTTCCATTGGTCTGTGTCTATTTTTATACCAATGTCATGCTGTTTTGTTTCCTATATCCTCATGATATATTTTGAAGTCAGGTAGTATGATGCTTCCAGCTTTATTCTTTTTCCTAAGGGTTGCTTTGGCTATACAAGCTCTTTTTTGGTTTCATAATAATTTTGGGATTGTTTTTCCATTTCTTTGAAAAAATGACATTGATATTTTAATAGCGATTACATTGAATCTGTAGATTGCTTTGGATAGTATGGTCATTTTAACAATATTAATTCTCCCAATTCATGAGCATGGAAGGTCTTTCCATTTGTTTGTGTCCTCTTCAATTTCTTTCATCAGTGCCTTGTAGTTTTCCTTGCAGAAGTCTTTCACCTCCTTGGTGAAATTTATTTATATGGATTTTTGTAGCTATTGTACATGGGATTGCCTTCTTGGTTTCTTTTTCAGCTAGTTCATTATCAGGGTATAGAAATACTACTGACTTTCATATATTGATTTGTATCTTGCAACTTTACTAAATTTATTTATCAGACCTAAGAGTTTTTGGTGGAGTCTTTGGGTTTTTTCCTTTCAGCCAGTATATATCTTTTAAGTGGAAAATTCTATCTGTTTACATTCAAGGTTATTATTGATACGTGGGGACTTATTTCTGCCATTTTGTTGGTTGTTTTCTTGTTGTTTTGTCTATCCTGTGTTCCTTTCTTTCTCTCTTATTGTTTATCATTGTGGCTTGGTGGTTCCTGTAGTGGTAACATTTGTGTCTTTTCTCTTCCTCTTTTTTTGTATTTGCCGTGCGGCTGTAAGTTTTATACATTTATGTGTTTTCACGATGGTAGAGATCATCCTTTTGCTTCCAAGTATAGAACTCCCTTAAGCATTTCTTGTAAGGCCAATATAGTGGTGATGAATTTCCCCAGGCTCCAGTGGCTCACATAGGTGCTGGCTGTGGTGGGCAGGATGGGATGATCCTTTGCCCCACCCAGTAACAGTAGCAGTGTGACGGGAGAGCCTGTCCTCAGGGCATGTGAAGTGCACAGTGGCCCTGCTATGGGGTCACTGCCCGTGGCATGTACTTCAGCCCTGGAAGCAGCAGCAGCTTCATCATAGCTTATTTAATTCAGCGGACCAAGAGCATAAACACCTGAGCTTCCTCTTTTTATCTGCTCATTCTGCTTCCCAAGTTCTCAAGGACTTATGTGGACAGTCTTCCCGCACTTGCCAAAAACTCAGTTCATTCTGTTATAAATCTCAGTGCCTCTACCTGCTACAGACACGGAGCTCACCCCGTCAGTGGCACCCCTTCTGACCCAGAAGTGTCCCTAGGTGTCTTCGTGGCCTCTGCCATGGGTGCTGGTATGCCATTGTGGGAGGTGGGGGGCAGTGGGAGTCAGGAGGTTGCTCCTCTGGGTGGAGCTGCCTGCCAATCAAGATCCTGACTCTACCTCCACCCCATGTGACCAGGCTGCAGGGGCAGGCCTTAGTGGGCACCGGTGGTGCTCTGGTCACAAGACACCCTGGAGGTGAAGGGGGCCTTCCAATTCTAAAGCTGTAGCTGCAGACTTGGGCAGTGCAAATCCTGTCAGGACCAAACACCAAATTCTATCACCCACTCAAGCTTGAAGTTAAGTGGGAGGGAGAGAGTCCCTGCAGGACCCTTGCTATAGTTGGATGTTTGTCCCCCAAGACTTCATGTTGAAATTCGACCCCCAGTGTTGGAGGTGGAGCCTGGTAGAAGGTGTTTGGATTTTGGGTGCAGATCCCAAAATGCTCTCCTTTGAGGGTGAGTTCTCACTCTTATTCCTGCTAGAGCTGGCTGGTGAAAGGAGCCTGGCATCTCCCCTCTTTCTTGCTTCCTCTCTCCCCATGTGATCTCTGCACATACCATGGTTCTTGTACAGCCTGCAGAACCATGAGCCAAATAAACCTCTTTTCTTTATAAATTACCCAGCTTCAGGAATTCCCTTATAGCAACTTAATGGACAAAGACAACACCTGACAGCCACTCTCCCACATGCCTCCAGCAATGCTCTGTGGGTTTGCACCTCCAACTAAGTCATTTAGGCAGGATTTAATGGAAGGACACCTTGCTGACACAGATCTGGGCTCAGTGCAAGAGCCCCTGGGACACTGAGGACTCCAGAGCTGGCTCCGGCAGAGTGAAGAGTAGCAGAATATGCCACTTTCAAACAAGAATAATTTTGAGCCGAAGACAATTAAAAAGAAGCATACCCAAGAAAAAAATCCCTGCCCACTCCCTTTCTACCAGGAAAAGCAGAGGATTCTTAGTCCTTGGAGACAACTCTAGATGCTTATCAGCCCAGAGAAGGCACTAGAGGAATCTACACAACAAACTAGCAAGCTATCTTCTGTTAGCTTCCCCTATATATTTACTTCCCAGAATTTGCTGCCCTACAGGTTGAAAGCCCCTTTCCTTTGTCTTGCCAATTCTGTAAAAATGATTGCCCATTTGCTAAGATGCTCCGTAAGCTCACGTTCCAACCGCCCCTTTGAATTCCTCATCTCTGACGGCTCCCACATAGAGGCATAATGCACATGTTAGTAAACTTTTGTTTGTTTTTCTCATGTTAGTATCTTGTTAATCTAATTGACAAGACCCCAGCTAATGAACCTAAGATGGGTAGAAGGGGGAAAAATGTTTCTTCCCCTACAAGAGCAAGCACCTCCCCACACACTGGAGGAGGAGAGAGAGCCGCTCCGAGATCTGCAGGAACAGAGGCTCCTTGGGCTGTCTGTTGAGGAAGGCAATAAGGTCCAGGCAACCCTGCAAGGAGAGAGCCAGGGTCACCACTTAGCATCAGCATCCCCTTCCTCTGATCTCCTGCAGGCAGCCAGCCCACCCAAAGAGCTGACCCATCCAGCACCCAAGGAGTGAGGCAGGCCAGAGTCCACTCCAAGGGCAGAGGCTGTGGGGCAGGTGGGGAGCCAGCCTGGAGGATGTTAGCAGAGCCAGGTGGGTCATGGCACCCACAGCCTCGGGGATCCAGCTTGAGAGAGACCCTGAGGGCCAGGCTGATAACAGATGAGTTGTGATGACAGGGCTCATTGTCAGACACTGTAGGCTGTCAGGCTGTCAACCTGAGCAGACTACCAAGTCTTCCCATCCGCAAAACAGCTCACCCCAGCTATCAGGGGTGGGCACCCAGAGGAGAGACCATTCTCATCTCCACCTGAACTCTTTTGGTGCTCCCAGAACATTCTGATGCTGAAGAGGAGTGTAGAATCAGATAGAAACAATTCCTCTTGTAGCTTCCATGATGGTTGGATGGTAAAGTACAACTGGCTTTGTTAGTTCATTTTGCATTGCTGTAGAGGAATACCTGAGGCTCAGTAACTTATAAAGAAAAGAGGTTTATTTGGCTCAGGGTTTTGCAGGCCATAAAAGAACCCTGGTGCCAGCATCTGCTTCTGGTGAGGGCATCAAGGAGCTTACAACCATGGCAGAAGTTGAAGGGGGAGAGAGCATGTAACATGGTGAGAGAGAGAGCAAGAGAGGGAAAGAGGAGGTGCCAAGCTCTTTTAAACAACCAGCTCTTGTGTGAACCAGTAGAGCAAAACTCACTCATCACCAAGAGGATGGCAGCAAGGCCATTCATAGGGATCCATGGCATGACCCAAACATTTCCACTAGGCCCCACCTCCAACATTGGGGATCACATTTCAACAGGAGATTTGGAGGGGACAAATATCCAAACCATGTCACTCCACACTGTCCCCCCAAATCTCATGTCCCTCTCACATTGCAAAATATAATCATCCCTTCCCAATAGTGCCCAAAAAATCTCAACTTGTTCTAGGATCTACTCAATCAAAACTCCGAAGTTTCATCTGAGACTCAAGGCATGCCCCTTCCACCTATGAGGCTGTAAGATCCAAAACAAGTTGCTACTTCCAAGATACAGTGATGGTACAGGCATTGGGTAAACATTTCCCTTCCTTCCAAAAGGAATAAATTGGCCAAAAGAAGGAGGGGGAAGAAGCAACAGGCCCCACACAATTCTGAGAGAAAGACATTAAACTTTAAAGCTCCAAAATAATCCTTGACTCCATGTCCTGCATCCAGGGCACACTGGTGTGAGGAGCGGGTTCCCAAGGCCTTGGGCTGGTCTGCCCCCATGGCTTTGCAGAGTGCAGCCCACATGGCTGCTCTCATGGGTTGTAGTTGAGTGCCTGAATCTTTTCCAGGCTCTGGGCGCAAGCTGCTGGTGGCTCTACCATTCTTGGGTATGGAGGGCAGCAGCCCCATTCCCAGAGCTCCACTAGGCAGTACCCCACTGGGGACTCTGTGAAGGGGCTCCAACCCTACATTTTCCCTCCACACTGCCCTACTGGAGGCTCTGTGGGAGAACTCCACCCCTGCGGCAGGTTTCTGTCTGGGCTCCCAGGCTTTCTTTTTTGTCTCTCTCTTTTTTTATTTTTATTTCAATAGTTTTAGGTTTTTGGTTACATAGATAAGTTCTTTCATGGTAATTTCTGAGATCTTGGCACACTTGTCACCCAAGCAGTGTACGCTGTACCCAATATGTAATCTTTTATCCCTCACCTCCATCCCCCACTTGCCCTCAAGTATCCAGAGTCCATTATATCATTCTTATGCCTTTGCATCCTTATAGTTTAGCTCCCACTTATAAGTGAGAACATATGATGTTTGTTTTTCCATTCCTGAGTTATTTCACTTAGAATAATGGCCTCCAACTCCATCCAGTTTGCTGCAAATGCCACTATTTTATTCCTTTTTATGGCTGAGTAGTATCCCATGGTGTATATATACCACATTTTTTATCCACTCATTGGTCAATGGGCATTTAGGCTGGCTCCATATTTTTGCAATTACAAGGAGTTGCAATTGCACTGCTCTAAATATGTGTGTGCAAGTGTCTTTTTCATATAATGACTTATTTTTTTCTGGATATCGAATAGTGGGACTGCTGGATCAAATGGTGATTCTACTTTTAGTTATTTAAGGAATCTCCATACTGTTTTCCAAAGTGGTTGTACTAGTTTACATTCCCAACCAGGAGTGTAAAACTGTTCCCTTTTCACCATATCCATGACAACATCTGTTAGTTTTTAATTTTTAATTATGGTCATTCTTACAGAAGTGAGGTGGTATCTCATTGCAGTTTTAATTTGCATTTCCCCAAAAATTAGTGATATTGAGCATTTCTTTATATGTTTGTTGGCCATTTGTATATCTTCTTTTGAGAATTGTCTATTCATGTCGTTCGCCCACTTTTTGATGGTATTTTTTTTATTGATGATTTGTTTGAATTCCTTGTAGATTCTGGATATTAGTCCTTTATCAGATGCATAGTTTGCAAATATTTTCTCTTATTCTGTGGGCTGTCTGTTTACTCTCTGATTATTTCTTTTGCTGTGCAGAAGTTTTTTTTGTCTAATTAGGTCACATTTATTTATTTATTTATTTATTTTTGGTTTTGTTGCACTTGCTTTTGGGTTCTTGATCATGAACTCTTTGCCTAAGCCAATGTCTAGAAGAGTTTTACCAATGTTATCTTCTAGAATTTTCATGGTTTCAGGTCTTAGATTTAAGCCTTTCATCCATCTTGAGTTGATTTTTGTATAAAGTGAGAGATGAGGATCCAGCTTCATTCTTCTACATGTGGCTTGCCAATTATCCCAGCACCATTTGTTGAATAGGACATCTTTTCCCCACTTTACATTTTTGTTTGCTTTGTCAAAGATCAGTTGGATATAAGTATTTGACTTCATTTCTGGATTCTCTGTTCTGTTCCATTGGTCTAATGCCTATTTTTATACAAGTACCGTGCTATTTTGGTAACTATAGCCTTGTAGTATAGTATGAATTTGGGTAATGTAATGCCTCCAGATTTGTTCACCTTGCTTAGTCTTGCTTTGGCTATGTGGGGTCTTTTTTGGTTCCAAATGAATTTTAGAATTGTTTTTTATATTTCTGTGAAGAATGATGGTGGCACTTTGATGGGAATTGCATTAAATCTGTAGATTGTTTTTGGCAGTATGGTCATTTTCACAATATTGATTCTACCCATCCAAGAGCATGGGATGTGTCTCCATTTGTTTGCGTCATTGATGATTGCTTTCAGCAGTGTTTTGTAGTTTTTCTTGTACAGATCTTTTACCTCCTTGGTTAGGTATGTTCCTAAGTATTTTATTTTTTGCAGGTGTTGTAAAAGGGATTGAGTTCTTGATTTGTTTCTCAGCTTGGTCATTGTTGGTGTATAGCAGTGCTGATAATTTATGTACATTGATTTTGTATCCTGAAATTTTACTGAATTAATTTAACAGATCTAGAAGCTTTTTGGATGAGCTTTAGGGTTTTCTAGGTATGTGATCATATCATCAGTGAACAGCAACAGTCTGACTTCCTTTTTACTGATTTGGATGGGCACCCAGACTTTCCTATACACCCTCTGAAATGTAGGTAGGAGCTGCCATGCCTCCTTCACTCTTGTATTCTGCCCACCTGTGGGCTTAGCACCATGTGGAAGCTACCAAGGCTTCCAGCTTGCACCTTCTGGAGTGGCAGCCTGAGCTGCACCTGGGACTCTTTGAGCCTTGGCTGAACCTGGAGCAGCAACCTCCCAAGATACCACAGGGAAGCAAGGCCCCAGCCCTGACCCCCATAACAATTTCATCCTCCTAGGCCTCTGGGCCTGTGATGGGAGAGACTGTCCCAAAGACTTCTGAAATGCCTTTAAGACCTTTTTCTCATTGTCTTTGCTATTAGCATTTAGTTGCCTTTTAGTTATGCTAATCTCTCTAGCAAGTGGTTGCTCCATAAGGCATTTGGGTTCCTTGCCTGAAAAGGCTCTTTTCTTCTCAACCTCATGGCCAGCCTGCAAATTTTCCAAATGTTTATGTTCTGCTTACCTTTTAATTATAAATTCTAATTTTAAGTCATTTTTTTTGCTCCCATATTTGATTTAGGCCATTCAAAGCAGCCAGGTTACTTCTTGGATGCTCTGCTGCTTTGAAATTTCTTCCACCAGATACCTTAGGTCATCACTGTCAATCTCAGCCTTTCAGAAAGCCCTGGAACATGGACACAATACAGCCAAGCTCCTTGCTGGGGGCATAACAAGCATCACCTTTACTCCAGTTCCTAATAAATTCCTCATTTCTACCTGAGACCTCATCGGCCTGGCCTTTACTGTCCATATTTCTATCAGCACTTTGATCACAACTATGTAACCAGTCTCTAAAAAGTTCCAAATTTCCCCTCATCTTCCTGTCTTCTTCCTGGGCCCTCCAAACTCTTCCAACCTCTGCCCATTACCCAGTTCCAAAGCCACTTCCACATTTTCAGGTATCTTTATAGCAACACCGCACTCCTTGCTACCAATTTTCTGTTTTCATCCATTTTGCATTGCTATAAAAGAATACCTGAGGCTGGATAATTTGTAAAGAAAAGGAAGTTTATTTGGCTCACTACAAGCTGTACAAGAAGCATAATGCCAGTATCTGCTTCTGGTGAGGCCTCTGGAAGTTTACAATCAAGGCAGAAGGCAAAAAAGGAGCCAGCATAGGACAGGCATGGTGGCTCATGCCTGTAATCCCAGCACTTTGGGAGGCCAAGGCAGGTGGATCACTTGAGGTCAGGAGTTCGAGACCAGCCTGACCAACATGGTGAAACCCCATCTCTACTAAAAATACAAAATTATCCGGGTATGGTGGTGCACACCTGTAGTCCCAGCTACTAGGGAGGCTGAGGCAGGAGAATTGCTTGAACCCAGGAGACAGAGGTTGCAGTGAGTGAGCCGAGATCACACCATTGCACTCCAGCCTGGGCAACAAGAGTGAAACTCCATCTCAAAAAAAAAAAAAAAAAGGAGCCAGCATGTCACATGGTGAGAATGGTGAGAGGGAGAAAGAGAGATAAGAAGGAAGTGTCAGGTTTTTTTAAACAACCAGCTCTTGTGTGAACTAATAGAGTGAGAAATCACCCATCACCAAGGGGATGGCACCAAACCATTCATGAGAGATCTGGCCTTATGACCCCAATACCTCCCACCAGGTCTCACCTCCAACACTGGGGATCATATTTCAATGTGAAATTTGGAGGGGACAAACATCTAAATCATATCAGGAACTCCATGGTACTGCTAACCCCCAAATCTCTAGGGGTGATATTGAGTGACATGCATGGTACTGAACGATACTTGGTCAGGTTCTCCCAGTGAAGCCCAAGCACCCTCAGGGTACAGGGCTGGGAGGCCCAATCACACCAGCTCAGCCCAGGACTTGGCTGAGTCTGCCCGGTATTAGAAGGTAGCAGACCTAGAACTGGGTTGAACAAGATCAGGCCACTTTGTGCATGTTGCCAAAGGAGAAACTGAAGGATCAGAAGTGGGCAGTAAGTTTTCAGTGAGCCCAGGGGTCATAAGTAGCAAAATGTGGAATTCAGTAAGGGGTAGAGGCTGGAAGAGTTTTGAGGTGTGTGTTAGAAAAAGCCTAGGTTTCCTTGAAGACTATGTTAGAAATTTGGACATTAAAGGTGATCCTGGTGGGGGCTCAGAAAGAAAGAGGAGAGCTATAGAGAAAACTCCTGTCATCTTGGAGAATACATAAATTGTCACGAACAGAATGTTGCTAGAAACGTGAATGTTAAAGATGCCTCTGCTGAGGCTCCAGACAGAAATAAGGAAGGTGTTATTGAAAACGAAGGTGACCCTTGTCATACAGTGGCAAAGCACTTGGCTGAACTGTGTTCCGTTTTGTGGAAAGTAGAAATTATACATGATGAACTTGGATGTTTAGCTGACGAAGTTCCTAAGAAAATTGTTGAAGGCATTCTTGATTTCTCCTTGCTGCTTACAGTAAAATATGAGAAGAGAGAGATCAGCTGAAGAGGGAAGTGCTGAGGTGGCTGGGTCAGCTGACCCAAGGGCCCTTCAAGCTGATTTAGGCTGCTCACCTTGGTCTCAGAATCACCACGGCCATGGCCGGTCAGTCACAGGTGATCCAGCAGCTGCTGCAGGCCGAGAAGCAGGATGCCAAGAAGGTGTCTGGGGCCCACAAGCAAAAGAACCAGAGGCTGAAGCAGCCCAAAGGAGCAGCTTAGGCTGAAATTGAACAGCACTGCCTGCAGAAGGAGAAAGAGTTCAAGGCCAAGGAAGCTGCAGCACTAGGATCTCGCAGACCCAGGATAACCATCCTCCAGACCTACTTCCAGCAGAACAGGGAAGAAGTCTTAGATAACCTTTTGGCCTTTGTCTGCAGCATCCAGCCAGAAATCCCTGAAAACTATCGCATAAGTAGATATTAAAAGAGAGAAGCACCTGTTAAATGGACTGGCACTTTAGATGCCCTCATGGAATAAGAAGCTCTAGTTATATTCTTATAAGAAGACATTAACTTATCTCTGTATATTATAGAGTAGGCCCATTCACTTTTCGGAGAGAAGCAAATCCAGTTTCTTTGTACAGACTTAGAATTTATCTAGGCTGGGCATGGTGGTTCACGCCTGTAATCCCAGCATTTTCGGGGGCCAAGGCGGGCAGATGGCTTGAGCTCAGGAGTTTGAGACCTGCCTGAACAACACAGTGAGACTGTGTCTCTACAAGGAAATATAAAAATTAGCCAGATATGGTGGTACATGCTTATAGTCCTACCTACTTGGAAGAGTGAGGCAGGAGGATCACTTGGGCCCGGAAGGCAGAGGTTATAGTGAGCCAAGATTGTGCCACTGCACTCCAGCCTGGGTGCTAGAGTGAGACCCTGTCTCAAAAAAAAAAAACTTAAAGATTTCATCTTTTTACCTCATGTTTCTTAGGAATATAATGGGTAAATATTGTCTATTTTATTATGCCTTTTGGCTCAAGCAATATATATACATATATATATATCACTGTTGATGTTTTCTTTCTTGTATCAAGTTTAAAAGAAAAAGCAAAACAATCCTTTGAAAAAAGGAAGGAATTAAATCATTTTTTCCTTAATGCTTTTTTGAAGGTCAGGGGCTTTATCTATGAAAAAGTAGTAGTTTCTGTAACCTGTGTGAAGCATCAGCCAGCCTTAAAGTAGTCCATTGCTGCTAATAATTAGAACAGTGAATATTACTAGTATAATTGTTTCAGCTTCTTAATCAAAATAACTAGATGATAGAATTCAAGAACTTGTTACATGTTATTACTCGGTGTACTACTAATCATTTAAAAGTAAAGCCTATCATGCAAATAAATAAATAAATAAATAAATAAATACATGAGACCAGATAAAATGAAGGAAGAATGACTTTGAGATCAGAGCCACAGGTGAGGAGGCTGTTGGGGCTGCTGTTGCCACCTTGGGCCCAGAGTGTGGGGCCACCCCAGTGGGCCTGGAAGATGGAGCATTAACCGAGGAGGATGAATCTTGAGACTTAAATCTAATAAAGGGCCAACTAGAAGCCCCTAGTGCTCATCATCCTCATAAAGAAAGCCAGAAAAGTCAATAGACAACTATATTTTAACGAAAATAACTGAGGGAGAGCACTGAGTGCATCAGAGGAGTAACAGAAACCCTGATAAGCACAGAAATGTGGGCTGGCCACATAGAAAACAGAAGGAAACACACGGCCTCCACCACTCCATCCCCCAACCAGGATTATCTGGGAATCAGGAGGAATTTCTGACATGAGGAGGTAAGCAAGAGGATCCCAGTGGCACCCACTAACACCTCGGACACCTGCAGACCTCGCCACTGGGGTCCCCTGCAGTTTGCACTGGAGGGAGTTGCCTGGAGGCCACATAGCTGTGCTCTCCAAAAAAGGTGCTGACACCGTACCCCACTCCCACATGGCTAGTGCTTCACCACACTGGAATAGGAACTATGGCTGGAGTGTGTCTTACCCAAGGAGTGAGTAGTCACAGCTCCCCTTCATCTCTGAGGCTAAGCTGCCACTGAACAACCCAGACTAGTGGTCCCACGTCCCCAAGTCAAGCTATGGGCATCTATTAAACCCTTCCCCACAGAGCCAAGTGGATCAGCTCTACCCACTCCTCCCCCTGACCCTTTGAGTCCAAGCTAAAGCAGTTTCTTGCCTCCTAGCAAAACAGGACTTTGGCCATGCCTTTCTAGTGTCTACGTTGAAGCAGCACCCTGCATTCCAGGAACTAATGCCTTGGCCACCCAGAAGGTCACACACTGCAGTGCTTAGGCTGAAGCAGCAACCTGTATCCTACAGAAATGGTGCCTGGGCCACTCAGAACAATCACACCCTCTGATACATAAATGCAGGACTTTCCTTACAGCAGAGAAGGCCTGAGCTGAAGCAACACATCACCTTCTAGGGAATCAGTGCCCTGGCTTAAGCTGAGCAGCAGCACATCCCAAGGCTGAGCTGATATAGTACCCTATGCCCCAGGAAAACAGAGCAGTGGCTAAGCTGAGACATCTCAGCCTACAGGCCAAACAACTGTAGTGCCCTGCTTCCCTGGAGCTTGCCTAGGCCCCTAGGGTCTGAGCTGCTGAGGCACCCTCTCCCTGGGAAGTAGAATCAGCACTGTGCTGTTCCCTGCCTACTCCCCACCAAGGCCCAAATTACAGCTATGCTCTGCCATCTTGGGATACTTGCTGACACTGTACCTGGTCTCACATAGTCTGGGATCCTGCTGAGCCCTACCATCCTAGGGTCTAGAGTCAATACCATACAGTGCCTCATCCCCTGGGACCAAAGTTTCCATTGTGCCCTATTGGCTCAGCTTCCCAAATTGCAGCCATACCATACTCCCCAGGTCCACACCTCCAGAACACCCCTTCTTCCCCAGAGTTGGACAAATGCTGCACCCCCCAGGAATAGACTCACAGCTACAACCTGGCCCCTTGAGCAAAACCTGTTAAAGGGTACCTCAGAGTCACAGATCCTAGCACTGTGAGCCACCTAATCCAAACCTGCCACAGAAACTGAACCTACACCCCAAGACCCAGATGCCACAGTAGATTCTTGAAACCAGGAGACTAGGACTCCAGTTGCACAGCTACTCTAATTTTCTGCACCTGGAATCCAGCACCATTGCAGCTGCACGTTGGCCACATTAGACCTGCTACCAAGAGAGAGCCCCTTGACTAAATCTCCTCATTGTGGGGAAACAAGAAGAGGAGGACTACAAAAGCCCTTGACACTGAGTACATTAACCTGTGCCACCACTACATCCACAAACTTCTACAGCCTAGTCCACTGAGGTGCCCACAGTTATTGCTGAGGTTGAATGCAGTTGAAGAAGACGCATGGAAGCTATGCCACTGCACCTATTCAGAAACAGAGTCATCACACTTTCCCAACCAAAACACTAAACCCAACTGCAGGTGAAATTGTTTCTCTAAAAAACCCACTCTTGAAAGTTTGGAAGAGGTGACTATTTCGCCAGATGCACAGACATCAATGCAGGAACACAATAAACATGAGAAAGCAAGGAAATATGACACCACCAAAGGAACATAACTCTCATTAATAGACCTCAATGGAAAAAGAAATCAATGTATTGCTGGAAAAGGAATTCAAAATAATGATCTTAAGATAACTCAATAAGATACAAGAAAACAGATAAACAATTCAATGAATTCAGGAAAGTAATTTACAGTATGAATGAAAATTTCAACAGAGATAGAAATAAAAAAGAAGCAAACTAAAATTCTGCAGGTGAAGAATTCAATGAATAAAATTAAAAAATACAGTAATGAGCTTCAACAGCAGATATGATGAAGCAGAAGAAAGGAAGAGATAGATCCCAATACAATAATAGTTGATAACTTCAACACCACTCTCAGCACTGGACAGATAATCCAGACAGAAAGTCAACAAAGAAGCATTCAATTTAAAAAGCACTTTAGACCAAATGCATCTAACAGATATTTACACAACATTTCATCCAACAGCTGTGAAATACACATTCTTTTCATCAGCACATGGAATATTCTCCAGGATAAACCATACAGTAAGTCACAAAACAAGTCTCAACAAATTTGAAAGAATTAAAATTATATCAAATATCATTTATGACCACAATAAAACTCGAAATCAATAAGAGGAACTTTTAAGACTGTACAAAGACATGGGAAATTAAATAATGTACTCCTGAGTGACCAATAGGAATTAAGAAGGGAATTTTAGAATGTCAACAAAGAAAATGAAAATAGAAATGCAACGTACTAGAATTTATAAGATATAGCAAAAAGCAGCATTAAGATGGAAGTTTATGGCAATAAATACCTACATCAAAAAAGCAGAGAGATTTCAAATAAATCTCATCCTTGAAAATGCATGTCAAGGAACTAGGAAATCAAGAATAAACCAAACCCAAAATTAGTAGAAAGAAAGAAATAATAAAGATCAGAGCAGAAATAAATGAAATTCAGACTAAAAAAAAAAAAGATCAACAAAATGAAAAATTGAATTTTTCAAAAGATAAACAAAAATGACAAATAATTAGCTAGACTAAACAAAAAAGACCCAAAAGAATGAAATCAGAAATGAAAACAGAAACATTACAACTCATATCACAGAAACACAAAGGATAATTAGAGACCATACACCAACAGATTAGAAAACCTAGCAGAAACAGGTATATTTCTGGACAATACAACCTACCAAGACTGAACCCAGAAGAAATAGAAAGCCTGCACAAACCAGTCATGAGCATTGAGATTGAATCTGTAACAAAAAGTCTCCCATCAAAGGAAAGCCCAAAGAAATTCCTGTTGAAATACCAATGACATTCCTATCAAAATGCCAATTCTACAGTAATCCAATGGCTTCAGTGGGGAATTCTACCAAACACTAAAAAAACTAATACCTATTCTTCTGAAAATCTTCCCGAAAATTGAAGAGGAGGGAATTCTTCTAAATTCCTTGTATGAGGCCACTATTATGGTAATTATGATTATGATTATGATTATGTGATTATTATTATGATTCCAAAACCAGACAAGGACACAACAAAAAAAGCAAACTATAGGCTAAATACTCTGATGAAGATAATAGATGAAAACCTTCAACCAAATACTAGCAAATTGAATCCAGCAGCATATTAAAAACATTATTTATCATGATCAAGTGAGATTTATCCCAGGAATGCAAGGATGGTTCAACATATGCAAATCACATCAACAGAATGAAGGACAAAAACCGTATTATCATCATAACAGACACAGAAAAAGTATTTGATAAAATCCAACATCCCTTCATAAAAATTCTCAGCAAGTTAGGTATGAAAGGAATATACCTCAACACAATAAGAGCTATATGTGACAAACCCACAGCCAACATCATACTGAACATGCAAGAGTTGAAAGCTTTTCTCTAAAATCTGGAACAAGCCAATGATATCAGGCCAGATGTAGTGGCTCATGCCTCTAATTCTAGCACTTTGGGAGGCCAAGGCAGGAGGATCACTTGAGCCCAACAAAGGAAACAATCAACAGAGTGAAAAGACAATCTACAGAATGTTAGAAAATATTTGCAAACTCTCCATCCAACAAGGGACTAATATTTAGAATACATTGGAAACTCAAACAACTAAACAGAAAAGAAAACAAATTTTTTTATTAAAAATAGGCAAATGAAAAAATATTTAAAAGTTTTTAAAACCAAAAAAGGAACTGAATAGACGTCTCTAAAAGGAAGATATACGAATGGCCAACAGACATATGAGAAAATGCTCAACATTACTAATCATAAGGAAAATGCAAATTGAAACCACAATAAGATATAATCTCACCCCAGTTAAAATGGCTATTATTAAAAAAGGCAAAAAACAATTGCTGTCAAAGATTCAGAGAAAGGGGAGCTTTAATGCATTATTGGTTGAAATCTTGTCTTTGGAATTAGCACAGCCATTGAAAAACAATAAAGAGCTTCCTCAAAAAATGGAAATGAGTACTGCCCCATGATCCCACCATCCTCTACCGGGTATTTATCCAAAGGAAATCTATGTCAAAGAGACATCTACACTACATGTTCATTGCAGCACTATTCACAATGCCAGTGTTGGAATCAACCTACGTGTCCATCAACAGATGAATGCATAAAGAAAATGTAGTGTTTATACACAAACACACACAGAGAGAGAGAGAGAGAGGAATTCTATTCTGCCATGAAAAAGAATGAAATCTTGTCATCTGAGGTAACATGGATGAGCTTGGAGGACATGTTAAGTGAAATAAAGCTAGACACAGACAGCCAAATATCACATGTTCTCACTCATATATGGAAGCCAAATAAGTTGATCTCATAGAAATAGGGAGTAGAATAGTGGTAACCAGAGGCTGGGAATGGGAGGGGATAGGATAGCTAGAAGTCGATTAATAAATAAAAAATTACAGTCAGGTAGGAGGAATAGGCCCCGGTGTTCTCTAACACCATAGGGTGACTATAACTAACAACAATTTATTGTATATTTTCATACGGCTAGAAGAGCAAATTTTGATTGTTCCCAGCACAAAGAAGTGATAAATGTTTGAGGTGATGGATATGCTAATTGTTGCAGGAAGTCAGGGACCCCGAATGGAGGGACCAGCTGGAGCCATGGCAGAGGAACATAAATTGTGAAGATTTCATGGACATTTATCAGTTCCCAAATAATACTTTTATAATTTCTTATGCCTGTCTTTACTTTAATCTCATAATCCTGTTATCTTCATAAGCTGAGGATGTACGTCACCTCAGGACCACTGGGATAATTGTGTTAACTGTACAAATTGATTGTAAAACATATGTGTTTGAACAATATGAAATCAGTGCACCTTGAAAAAGACAGAATAACAGCGATTTTTAGGGAATAAGGGAAGACAACCATAAGGTCTGACTGCCTGAGGGGTTGGGCAAAAAGAGCCATATTTTTCTTCTTGCAGAAAGCCTATAAATGAACGTGCAAGTAGGGAAGATATCGCTAAATTATTTTCCTAGCAAGGAATATTAATACTAATACCCTGGGAAAGGAATGCATCCCTGGGGGAGGTCTATAAACGGCCGCTCTGGGAATGTCTGTCTTATGTGGTTGAGATAAGGACTGAGATAAGGACTGAGATACGCCCTGGTCTCCTGCAGTACCCTCAGCTTATTAGGGGGGTGAAAAACTCCACCCTGGTAAATTTGTGGTCACACTGGTTCTCTGCTCTCAAACTCTGTTTTCTGTTGTTTAAGATGTTTATCAAGATAATATATGCACTGCTGAACATAGACCCTTATCAGTAGTTCTGTTTTTGCCCTTTGCCTTGTGATCTTTGTTGGACCCTTATCAGTGGTTCTGCTTTTGCCCTTTGTCCTGTTCCCTCAGAAGCATGTGATCTTTGTTAGACCCTTATTAGTAGTTCTGCTTTTTGCCTTTGAAGCATGTGATCTTTGTACCCACTCCCTGTGCTTACACCCCCTCCCTTTTTGAAACCCTTAACAAAAAACCTGCTGGTTTGAGGCTCAGGCGGTCATCACAGTCCTACTGATATGTGATGTCACCCCCGGCTGCCCAGCTGTAAAATCCTCTCTTTATACTGTCTCTCTTTATTTCTCAGCTGGCCAACAATTATGGAAAACAGAAAGAACCTACATTGAAATATTGGGGGCAGGTTCCCCCAATACTAATTATCCTGATTTGATCATCACCCATTGTATATATGTATCCAAATATCACAATGTACCCCAAAATATATACAATTATTATGTGTCAATTAAAAACAATCATAAAACTTTTAAACAGCTAAAATAAAAGTATATTGTTTTCTTCAAAAAAAATCTAATGCAGTTTTCCCTACTAGGTTTTGGGCTTGCTTAGGACCCATGGCTCCTCTCTCCCTTCCAATGTATCCCTTTTGGAATAGGAATGTCCATCCTATGCCTGCCCCATCATTGTACTTTGGAAGCAGATAACTTCTTGTCAAGTTACAAAGGTCCACAGATGGAGAGGAATTTCACCCCAGAATGAATCACCCTGCATTTCTCCCACACTTGATGCAGGTGATATGTCGCTGAGATTGTGGACTAAGAGTTGGTGCTGGAAGGGGTTAGCCATCGTGGAGATGTTGCTATGGGATGCAGGGATTTTGCCTGTGAGAAGGACATGATTATGGGGGGAGCGGAGGGCAAACTGTCATGGGTTAAAATGTGTCCCCTATAAATTCATGTGTTGAAGTCCTAACCCCCAGGACCACAGAATGTGACCTTGTTTGGAAACAGTCTTTGCAGCTGCAATCAAGTTCGGATGAGGTCACCCTGGAGTAGGGCAAGCCTCTGATCCAATATGACTGCTGTCCTCATGAAAAGGGGGAATCTGGGCACAGACGCACGTGTGGAGAACGCCCTGTGAAGATGGTGCTGCTTCCACAAGCCAAGAGCAGCAGAGACGGCCGGCAAAGCCCAGCAGCAAGGAGAGAGCCTGGAACAGAGTCTCCATGACACAGAGGAGCCAGCCCCACCGAGACCTCCATCCCAGATGACCGGCCTCCAGAACCAGGACGGAATAAACGTCTGTTGTTTAAGCCACGCAGTCTGGGGTGCAGTGTTGCCAGGGCCGCACTTAACGGATACGAGTGTTGTCCTGAGCTGCCAGCCCCACAGACTGCACAAGGCCTCCCTGCCCCAGCCAAGTGCAGTCTCCCCAGCCCCCTGGGTGTGCCATGGGCAGTGTGGGGCCCATCACTCCGTCCTCCCCCAGGCTGGGAGGTTGAGCCCATTATGAGCTCCATGGGGTGAAGCTGGAGCGAGAGGCTGGGAGCCGACTGGGAGCCCGCGGCTGGAGGATGGATTTCCCCAGGGACCCACACGTGCACCTCCACCTGTCTCCTGGACGTTCTCTCTGAGGGCAGGGCTGGTGCCAGCTCAGGGATCCAGCAGGGACAGAAGGGCGGGCCGGGTCCTTGTGGAGAGCACATTTAGTGGGAGGGACATGATTTCCCCTCACAAGTGTCCATTCTTCCTGTTCCTTGCTGGACGCTTCCTCTTCCATTCTGGACACTTCCTGTGCGACACCTCCTCGGGCTTTCCCGAGGCCCTCTGGCCTCATTCCGTTCCCTGCTACCTCCCACTTCCACGTACGTCCTTGCCCAGCTCTTCCCTCTATCCAGAGCTTCTGCCTGGCAAGGTCCCTGCTGAGATCAGTCCAGGCTCCCCCAGCACAGGTAGGAGCCTTGCACATGCCCTTGGACCTCCCCACCCTGCATGATGCCAGCATCCCCAGGCCCCAGGGAGGCCCCATTTCTCTCTCTGCTGGTAGTCCAGTGGCCCTGGAGTCCCACTGCAGGTGGGGTGTGCCCCTGAACTCTGAGGAAGCTAAGTACCCTGCCCTCAGACAGGCTATCCCCCCTGCTCAGCCCCAGGGCCCTGCCCCCTACCCCTTCCCCTCACCTGCACCACAGGCTCTGGCCAACTCTGCCCAGGCCCTGAATGGGCCCCTCTGGCTCCCCTCTGCTGCTACACTGCCCTGCACCACCTCCACTCAGCCTCAGTGTGTTCATCCGCCTGTCCCACGTCCCCTCGGCCCCCAGGAGCACAGCTGGTGGCCCTGGCTCCTCGCAGCCCATCTTGTTCCTTCTGGAGCACCAGCCTCAGAGGCCTTCCTGTGCAGGGTCCACTCGGCCAGCCCTGGGACCCTCCTGGTCTCAAGCACACACATTCTCCCTGCAGCCAGACCTGCCCCTGCCTGTGAGCTCAGACCTGAGCCTTGGAACGCCTTCCCTTCTCCATCCCAGCTCGCCTTTGCCAGCTGCTCAGCAGGATGAACTCACACTCCCCTCCCTGCACCATGAGTGAGAGTCAGCTGGAGAGATGCCCAGGCAAAAGCAGCCACCAGGGCCCAGTGGGGGCCAGAAGCTTCAGATGAGAGGCCCAGGTATTGAGAGGCTGAGACCACGGGCAGAATGGTCATAATCGTTGCCAGTCTCAGTCCAGCCCCAGGGACTCAGAGACAGAGAAAAGAGCAGCACACAAGGTCCGGGCTCCCCACCTTCTCCCGTGAGTACGGGGGAGTATGGGGGCAGCCACCACCCCCATCCCCACACACCCATGAGGCAGCCTCAGCTGTGTCTGGACTCCCCCTCGCCCTCTGACACAGAAACCACCAGAAGAAAAGGGAACTTCAGGAAGTAAGTGGTGCCGCCGGTTTCAATCCTGTTCTTAGTGTTTGCAGCGTGGAGTTCACACCCCTGGGGACCTGGGGGCCGAGCTGTGATTTCCTAGGAAGACAAGTGGCAGCTGACAGCGTGGGCAAGGCTGCCCACATGTACCTCGCCACAACAGGAAGGGCTGAGACCCCCACCTCGGTGAGTGGGGTCAGCACAGGGCAGGAGCACAGGCTCAGGAGAAGGACAGAGCCTGGGCGCAGCCATCGGCGCTTCTGGACCTGAGCTGCTGAACAGGCTGCAAGAGGCTGGGGAGAGGCTGGGGCGAGGCCAGCCCCACATGGAAGCCTAAGCGGAGCCAGCACAGGGGAGGTGGGCAGCCTTCAGGCACCGATGCCCACCCAGTGCGAGACGACAGGGACCGTGGGCAGGGGCTTCCAAGCCAACAGGGCAGGACACACCAGAGGCTGACTGAGGCCTCCAGGACGACCGGGCTGGGAGTGTGAGGAACATGACGGGATGGGGCAGAGCCAGCCATGGGGTGATGCCAGGATGGGCATGACCGACCTGAGCTCAGGAGGCAGCAGAGAGAGGGAGGAGGAGAGGCCCCAGGTGAACCGAGGGGCTTGTCCAGGCCGGCAGCATCACCGGAGCCCAGGGCAGGGTCAGCAGAGCTGGCCGTAGGGCCCTCCTCTCAGCCAGGACCAAGGACAGCAGGTGAGCTGGGAGCAGAGCAGGGAGGGTGAGTGTGGCAGCAGGACAGGAGGGTGGAAGCCAAGGAGCCCAGAGGCAGAGGCAGGGACAGGGGAGGCACAGGGGCTGGGCTCAGAGCCAGCTGATGGGGTTGGGGCACCTGCTGGCCGGGAGCAGGGCTGTGGTCAGCAGCGGAGAGGAGGGGAGAGCTGTGCTGAGTGCACGGGCGGGAGGAGGGAAGAGTCCAGGGAGGCCCAGAAAGGCCCAGAGTGCAGCAGGCCTGGGGCGAGGGGAGGGGCTGAGGCTCCGTGCGTTCAGGGAACTGACCCAGCAGAGCAGAGGCCACTGAGGAGCTGAGGTTCTGGAGAGGCTTCCAGAGCAGGAGCAGTGCAGGGACGGGAGGATCCGGGAGCTCATCCAGGAGGGGCACATGGGCAAGGGCAAGGGGCTCTGTTGGGGAGACCTGACTGGACACTGGGGCTGCTCCACAGCATAGGGAACACGCCAAGTGCTGCAAAAACAAAAATGAGGCAAGAAAAACAGCCTAAACCTGGACAGAGGGTGCCAGGACAGGCAGGGGGGCAACAGTGGACCGAGTGACGTTGCTGCCCCAGGTTGAGGGAGGGCAGAGTGAGCAGGGGGCAGGCATTGGAGTTCAGGGGACCAGGACCAAGCAGCCACAGGTGCACAGGGCAGGTGGGAGGCAGGAAGAACAGGGGGCAGCTCCTGGAGCTCAGGGGACCACGGGAGAGCATCTGAAGGTGAACAGGAGCCGGTGGAGGGGCAGGATGAGCAGGAGGAAGACCCTGGAGCTCAGGGGACCAGGGCAGAGCAGCCACAGGTGAGGAGGCAGCCACAGGTGCGCAGGGCAGGTGGGAGGCAGGACCAGCAGGGGGCAGCCCCTGGAGCTCATAGAGCCAGGGCAGAGCAGTTGCAGGTGAGCAGGGCTCAGTGGAAGATGGGCAAGCAGGGGGCAGCTCCTGGAGCTCAGGGCACCAGGGCAGTGTAGCCACAGGTGAGCAGGGGCTGGTGGGAGGCAGGACAAGCAGGCGGCAGCTCCCGGAGCTCAGGGAACCAGGGCAGTGTAGCTGCAGGTGAGCAGGGGCTGGTGGAAGGCAGGACAAGCAGGTGGCAGCTCCTGGAGCTCAGGGAACCAGGGCAGTGTAGCTGCAGGTGAGCAGGGGCTGGTGGGAGGCAGGACGAGCAGGGGGCAGCCCCTGGAGCTCAGGGGACCAGGGGAGGGCATCAGAAGGTGAGCAGGGGCTGGTGGGAGGCAGGATGAGTAAGGGGCAGCCCCTTTAGCTCAGGGGACCAGGGCAGAGCAGCCTCAGGTGAGCAGGGGCAGGTGAGGGGCAGGACGAGCAGGGGGCAGTCCTGGAGCTCAGGGGATCAGGGCAGAGCATCAGAAGGTGAGCATGGCTGGTGGGAGGTGGGCGAGCAGGGGGCAGCCCCTGGAGCTCAGGGGACCAGGGCAGAGCAGTCGCAGGTGAGCACGGGTTGGTGGGAGGTAGAACGAGTAGGGGGCAGCTCCTGGAGCTCAGGGAACAGGGGAGAACATCAGAAGATGAGAAGGGCCGGTGGGAGGTTGCAGAGCAGGGGGCAGCTTCTGCAGCTCTGCCAGCCAGGGCAGAGCAGCTGCAGGTAAGCAGGGCTGGTGGGAAGCAGGGGTAGCAGGTGGGCAGCCCCTGGAGCTCAGAGAGCCGGGGAAGATCATCGGTAGGTGAGCAGGGGCTGGTGGAAAGCAGGAGGAGCAAGGGGCAGCTCATGGAGCTCAGAGGACCAGGGAAGAGCAGCCACAGGTGAACAGGGGCAGGTGGGCGGCAGAATGAGCAGGGGCAGCTCCTGGAGCTCAGGGGACAAGGGCAGAGCAGCCATAGGCAAACAGGAGCAGGGTCAGGGGACAGGAGGAGCAGGGGGCAGCTCTTGGAGCTCAGGGGACCAGGGCAGAGCCGCTGCAGGTGAGCAGGGGCAGGTGGGGGGCAGGAGGAGCAGGGGGCATCTCCTGGAGCTCAGAGCACCAGGGCAGAGCAGCCACAGGTGAGCAGGGACGGTGGGAGGCAGCACGCAGCTCCTAGACTTTGGCAGGAGCTGGGTAGTTGCCGGCAGCAGACAGCTGAGGGCTGGTGAAAGTGCAGTGCAGCCTCCTGGTGCCGGGAAGGGAGTGTGAGTCCATCCCACTGAGCAGTTGGCAAGGGCGAGCTGGGATGGAGAAGGGAAGGCGTTCCAGGGCTCGGGGCTGAGCTCTCAGGCAGGGGCAGGTGTGGCTGCAGGGGGAACGTGTGCTTGAGACCAGGAGGGTCCCAGGGCTGGCCCCAGCGGACCCTGGGCAGGAAGGCCTCTGAGGCTGGTGCCCCAGAAGGAGCAAGATGGGCTGCCAGGAGCCAGGACCATCAGCACAATGAAGCTGAGTGGAGGTGGTGCAGGGCAGTGTAGCAGCAGAGGGCAGCCAGAGGGGCCCATTCAGGGCCTGGGCAGAGTCAGCCAGAGCCTGTGGTGCAGGTGAGGGGAAGGGGTGGTGAGCGGGGCCCTGGGGCTGAGCAGAGGGGATGGCCTGGCTGAGGGCAGGGCGCTTAGCTTCCTCAGAGGTCAGGGGCACACCCCACCTGCAGTGGGACTCCAGGGCCACTGGGCCAGCAGCAGAGAGAAATGGGGCCTCCCTGTGGCCTGGGGGTCCTGGCACCACGCAGGGTGGGGAGGGCCAAGGGCAGGTGCAAGGCTCCTACCTGTGCTGGGGGGCCTGGGTTGAGCCCAGCAGGGACCTTGCCGGGGGAAGCTCTGGAGAGAGGGAGGAGGTGGGCTGGTGGCTGAGAAGGCCAGGCCAGGGCTGGGAGGGTGACGGTGTGGTGACTGAGCCTCCAGAAGTAATGCAGGACACTGGGAGGCAGGGGGCATCCAGGCACTCAGGGCCCTGACCTGGGCTGCTGCACACTGGGGCTAAGGGGAAAGGAGGGGAGAGGCTGAGGAGGAGGCTCCCGGGGCGATATTCCAAGGCAGGGGGTTCCGGGGCCCTGGGGCTGAAGGGCGCCGACCCTATGCAGTGTCTGGCCCCTCTGCTGCACAGAAGAAAAGGGCCTTGGAGGGCAGAGGGCAGGCTATGACCAGGGCCCTGGGCAAGTCAGGCCCACTCACTAGCGGAGGGCCACGCTGGGGCGGCAGGGTCAGGAGCTTCAGGGGACTCAGGGGACCCACGAGAAGCCATCTGAGAACAGTGTCCACTGGTCAAGCCAGGCACCCATAAAAGGCTGGAGTGGGGCCAATGGGCATGAGCCGTCCCTGAGGTGGCACCGATGGCCAGAGCTGAGGCCAAGCTAGAGGCCCTGGACTGTGCTGACTCCCGGCAGACACAGAGCGCTGACCTGGCTGCCGAGCCCCGCCTCCTAGGCTGCAGGGGTGCCTGCAGAAGGGCACCACAGGGCCACCGGTCCTGCAAGCTTTCTGGGGCGGGCCGGGCCTGACCTTGGCTTTGGGGCAGGGAGGGGGCTAAGGTGAGGCAGGTGGCGCCAGCCAGGCGCACACCCAATGCCCGTGAGCCCAGACACTGGACCCTGCCTGGACCCTCGTGGATAGACAAGAACCGAGGGGCCTCTGCGCCCTGGGCCCAGCTCTGTCCCACACCGCAGTCACATGGCGCCATCTCTCTTGCAGCTTCCACCAAGGGCCCATCGGTCTTCCCCCTGGCGCCCTGCTCCAGGAGCACCTCTGGGGGCACAGCGGCCCTGGGCTGCCTGGTCAAGGACTACTTCCCAGAACCGGTGACGGTGTCGTGGAACTCAGGCGCCCTGACCAGCGGCGTGCACACCTTCCCGGCTGTCCTACAGTCCTCAGGACTCTACTCCCTCAGCAGCGTGGTGACCGTGCCCTCCAGCAGCTTGGGCACCCAGACCTACACCTGCAACGTGAATCACAAGCCCAGCAACACCAAGGTGGACAAGAGAGTTGGTGAGAGGCCAGCGCAGGGAGGGAGGGTGTCTGCTGGAAGCCAGGCTCAGCCCTCCTGCCTGGACGCATCCCGGCTGTGCAGTCCCAGCCCAGGGCACCAAGGCAGGCCCCGTCTGACTCCTCACCCGGAGGCCTCTGCCCGCCCCACTCATGCTCAGGGAGAGGGTCTTCTGGCTTTTTCCACCAGGCTCCGGGCAGGCACAGGCTGGATGCCCCTACCCCAGGCCCTTCACACACAGGGGCAGGTGCTGCGCTCAGAGCTGCCAAGAGCCATATCCAGGAGGACCCTGCCCCTGACCTAAGCCCACCCCAAAGGCCAAACTCTCTACTCACTCAGCTCAGATACCTTCTCTCTTCCCAGATCTGAGTAACTCCCAATCTTCTCTCTGCAGAGCTCAAAACCCCACTTGGTGACACAACTCACACATGCCCACGGTGCCCAGGTAAGCCAGCCCAGGCCTCGCCCTCCAGCTCAAGGCGGGACAAGAGCCCTAGAGTGGCCTGAGTCCAGGGACAGGCCCCAGCAGGGTGCTGACGCATCCACCTCCATCCCAGATCCCCGTAACTCCCAATCTTCTCTCTGCAGAGCCCAAATCTTGTGACACACCTCCCCCGTGCCCACGGTGCCCAGGTAAGCCAGCCCAGGCCTCGCCCTCCAGCTCAAGGCAGGACAAGAGCCCTAGAGTGGCCTGAGTCCAGGGACAGGCCCCAGCAGGGTGCTGACGCGTCCACCTCCATCCCAGATCCCCGTAACTCCCAATCTTCTCTCTGCAGAGCCCAAATCTTGTGACACACCTCCCCCATGCCCACGGTGCCCAGGTAAGCCAGCCCAGGCCTCGCCCTCCAGCTCAAGGCGGGACAAGAGCCCTAGAGTGGCCTGAGTCCAGGGACAGGCCCCAGCAGGGTGCTGACGCATCCACCTCCATCCCAGATCCCCGTAACTCCCAATCTTCTCTCTGCAGAGCCCAAATCTTGTGACACACCTCCCCCGTGCCCAAGGTGCCCAGGTAAGCCAGCCCAGGCCTCGCCCTCCAGCTCAAGGCAGGACAGGTGCCCTAGAGTGGCCTGCATCCAGGGACAGGTCCCAGTCGGGTGCTGACACATCTGCCTCCATCTCTTCCTCAGCACCTGAACTCCTGGGAGGACCGTCAGTCTTCCTCTTCCCCCCAAAACCCAAGGATACCCTTATGATTTCCCGGACCCCTGAGGTCACGTGCGTGGTGGTGGACGTGAGCCACGAAGACCCCGAGGTCCAGTTCAAGTGGTACGTGGACGGCGTGGAGGTGCATAATGCCAAGACAAAGCCGCGGGAGGAGCAGTACAACAGCACGTTCCGTGTGGTCAGCGTCCTCACCGTCCTGCACCAGGACTGGCTGAACGGCAAGGAGTACAAGTGCAAGGTCTCCAACAAAGCCCTCCCAGCCCCCATCGAGAAAACCATCTCCAAAACCAAAGGTGGGACCCGCGGGGTATGAGGGCCACATGGACAGAGGCCAGCTTGACCCACCCTCTGCCCTGGGAGTGACCGCTGTGCCAACCTCTGTCCCTACAGGACAGCCCCGAGAACCACAGGTGTACACCCTGCCCCCATCCCGGGAGGAGATGACCAAGAACCAGGTCAGCCTGACCTGCCTGGTCAAAGGCTTCTACCCCAGCGACATCGCCGTGGAGTGGGAGAGCAGCGGGCAGCCGGAGAACAACTACAACACCACGCCTCCCATGCTGGACTCCGACGGCTCCTTCTTCCTCTACAGCAAGCTCACCGTGGACAAGAGCAGGTGGCAGCAGGGGAACATCTTCTCATGCTCCGTGATGCATGAGGCTCTGCACAACCGCTTCACGCAGAAGAGCCTCTCCCTGTCTCCGGGTAAATGAGTGCGACGGCCGGCAAGCCCCCGCTCCCCGGGCTCTCGGGGTCGCGCGAGGATGCTTGGCACGTACCCCGTGTACATACTTCCCGGGCACCCAGCATGGAAATAAAGCACCCAGCGCTGCCCTGGGCCCCTGCGAGACTGTGATGGTTCTTTCCACGGGTCAGGCCGAGTCTGAGGCCTGAGTGGCATGAGGGAGGCAGAGCGGGTCCCACTGTCCCCACACTGGCCCAGGCTGTGCAGGTGTGCCTGGGCCGCCTAGGGTGGGGCTCAGCCAGGGGCTGCCCTCGGCAGGGTGGGGGATTTGCCAGCGTGGCCCTCCCTCCAGCAGCAGCTGCCCTGGGCTGGGCCACGGGAAGCCCTAGGAGCCCCTGGGGACAGACACACAGCCCCTGCCTCTGTAGGAGACTGTCCTGTCCTGTGAGCGCCCTGTCCTCCGACCCGCATGCCCACTCGGGGGCATGCCTAGTCCATGTGCGTAGGGACAGGCCCTCCCTCACCCATCTACCCCCACGGCACTAACCCCTGGCAGCCCTGCCCAGCCTCGCACCCGCATGGGGACACAACCGACTCCGGGGACATGCACTCTCGGGCCCTGTGGAGAGACTGGTCCAGATGCCCACACACACACTCAGCCCAGACCCGTTCAACAAACCCCGCACTGAGGTTGGCCGGCCACACGGCCACCACACACACACGTGCACGCCTCACACACGGAGCCTCACCCGGGCGAACCGCACAGCACCCAGACCAGAGCAAGGTCCTCGCACACGTGAACACTCCTCGGACACAGGCCCCCACGAGCCCCACGCGGCACCTCAAGGCCCACGAGCCGCTCGGCAGCTTCTCCACATGCTGACCAGCTCAGACAAACCCAGCCCTCCTCTCACAAGGTGCCCCTGCAGCCGCCACACACACACAGGCCCCCACACACAGGGGAACACACGCCACGTCGCGTCCCTGGCACTGGCCCACTTCCCAATACAGCCCTTCCCTGCAGCTGGGGTCACATGAGGTGTGGGCTTCACCATCCTCCTGCCCTCTGGGCCTCAGGGAGGGACACGGGAGACGGGGAGTGGGTCCTGCTGAGGGCCAGGTCGCTATCTAGGGCCGGGTGTGTGGCTGAGTCCCGGGGCCAAAGCTGGTGCCCAGGGCGGGCAGCTGTGGGGAGCTGACCTCAGGACACTGTTGGCCCATCCCGGCCGGGCCCTACATCCTGGGTCCTGCCACAGAGGGAATCACCCCCAGAGGCCCGAGCCCAGCAGGACACAGCACTGACCACCCTCTTCCTGTCCAGAGCTGCAACTGGAGGAGAGCTGTGCGGAGGCGCAGGACGGGGAGCTGGACGGGCTGTGGACGACCATCACCATCTTCATCACACTCTTCCTGTTAAGCGTGTGCTACAGTGCCACCGTCACCTTCTTCAAGGTCGGCCGCACGTTGTCCCCAGCTGTCCTTGACATTGTCCTCCATGCTGTCACACACTGTCCCTGACACTGTCCCCAGGCTGTCCCCACCTGTCCCTGACACTGTCCCCCACGCTCTCACAAACTGTCCCTCACACTGTCCCCCATGCTGTCACAAACTGTCACTGACACTGTCCCCCATGCTATCCCCACCTGTCCCTGACACTGTCCCTGACACTGTCTCTCATGCTGTCCCCACTCATCTGCGACACTGTACCCCACGCTGTCCCCACTTGTCCTCAACAATGTCCCCCATGCTGTCCCCACCTGTCCCTGATGCTGTCCCCCACACTGTCCCAATCTGTCCCCACCACTCTCCCCCACGCTGTCCCCACCTGTCCCTGACACTGTCCCCCATGCCATCCCCATCTGTCCCGACAATGTCCCCAGGGTGTCCCCAGCTGTCCCTGATGCTGTCCCCCACACTGTCCCCACCTCTCCCTGACGCTGTCCCCCACGTGGTCCCCACTTGTCCCTGATGCTGTCCCCCACACTGTCCCCACCTGTCCCTGACACTGTCCCCCATGCCATCCCCATCTGTCCCGACAATGTCCCTATGGTGTCCCCAGCTGTCCCTGATGCTGTCCCCCACACTGTCCCCACCTGTCCCTGACGCTGTCCCCCACACTGTCCCCACCTCCCCCTGACACTGTCCCCCACACTGTCCCCACCTCTCCCTAACACTGTCCCACACACTGTCCCCTCCTGTCCCCAACACTTTCCCCCATGCTGTCCCCACCAGTCCCCAACACTGTACACCATGCTTTTCCCACCTGTCCCCAACACTGTCCCCCATGCTGTCCCCTCCTGTCCCCAACAATGTCCCCCATGCTGTTTCCTCCTGTCCCCAACACTGTCCGCCACTCTGTTTCCTCCTTTCCCTGACACTGTCCCCCACTCTGTCCCCACCTGTAGCCAACACTATCCCCTACGCTGTCTCCACCTGTCCCTGATGCTGTCCCCCACACTGTCCCCACTCCTCCCTGACACTGTCCCCTATGCTGTCCCCACCGGTTCCTAACACTGTCCCCCACACTGTCCCTACCTGTCCCCGACACTTTCTCCCATGCTGTTCCCACGTGTCTCCAACACTGTCCCCCACACAGTCTCCACCTGTCCCTGACACTGTCCCCCATGCTGTCCTCACCCATCTCTGACACTGTACACATACTGTCCCCACCTGTCCCTGATGCTGTCCTCCATGATGTCCCCACCTCTCCCTGACACTGTCACCCATGCTGTCCCCACCTGCCCCTGACACTCTCCTCCACGCTGTTCTCACCTGTCCCCAACACTCTCCCCCACACTGTCTCCACCTGTCCCTGACACTGTCCTCCACGCTGTCCCCACCTATCCCTGACACTGTCCCCCATGCTGTCCTCACCTGTCCCCAACACTCTCCTCCACACTGTCCTCACCTGTCCCCAACACTCTCCCCCCACACTGTCTCAACCTGTCCCTGACACTGTCCCCCATGCTGTCCTCACCTGTCCCTGACACTGTCCCCCATGCTGTCCTCACCTGTCTCTGACACTGTCCCCCGTGCTGTCCCCACCTGACACTATCTTCTGTGCTGTCCACATGCTGTTGCTGCCCTGGCTCTGCTCTCCATGTCCAGGCCTCAGAGCAGGCAGTGGTGAGGCCCTGGCACATGGGTGGCATGAGGGGCCGGATAGGCCTCAGGGGCAGGGCTGTGGCCTGGGTGGCCTGAGGGGTGAGCAGGCCTCGGGGGCAGGGCTGTGGCCTCGCTCACCCCTGTGCTGTGCCTTGCCTACAGGTGAAGTGGATCTTCTCCTCGGTGGTGGACCTGAAGCAGACCATCATCCCCGACTATAGGAACATGATTGGGCAGGGGGCCTAGGGCCACCCTCTGCGGGGTGTCCAGGGCCACCCAGATCCCACACACGAGCCGTGGGCCATGCTCAGCCACCACCCAGGCCACAACTGCCCCCGACCTCACCGCCCTCAACCCCATGGCTCTCTGTCTTTGCAGTCGCCCTCTGAGCCCTGACACGCCCCCCTTCCAGACCCTGTGCATAGCAGGTCTACCCCAGACCTCCGCTGCTTGGTGCATGCAGGGAGCTGGGGACCAGGTGTCCCCTCAGCAGGATGTCCCTGCCCTCCAGACCGCCAGATGCTCACACAAAAGGAGGCAGTGACCAGCATCCGAGGCCCCCACCCAGGCAGGAGCTGGCCCTGGAGCCAACCCCGTCCACGCCAGCCTCCTGAACACAGGCGTGGTTTCCAGATGGTGAGTGGGAGCATCAGCCGCCAAGGTAGGGAAGCCACAGCACCATCAGGCCCTGTTGGGGAGGCTTCCGAGAGCTGCGAAGGCTCACTCAGACGGCCTTCCTCCCAGCCCGCAGCCAGCCAGCCTCCATTCCGGGCACTCCCGTGAACTCCTGACATGAGGAATGAGGTTGTTCTGATTTCAAGCAAAGAACGCTGCTCTCTGGCTCCTGGGAACAGTCTCGGTGCCAGCACCACCCCTTGGCTGCCTGCCTACACTGCTGGATTCTCGGGTGGAACTGGACCCGCAGGGACAGCCAGCCCCAGAGTCCGCACTGGGGAGAGAAGGGGCCAGGCCCAGGACACTGCCACCTCCCACCCACTCCAGTCCACCGAGATCACTCAGAGAAGAGCCTGGGCCATGTGGCCACTGCAGGAGCCCCACAGTGCAAGAGTGAGGATAGCCCAAGGAAGGGCTGGGCATCTGCCCAGACAGGCCTCCCAGAGAAGGCTGGTGACCAGGTCCCAGGCGGGCAAGACTCAGCCTTGGTGGGGCCTGAGGACAGAGGAGGCCCAGGAGCATCGGGGAGAGAGGTGGAGGGACACCGGGAGAGCCAGGAGCGTGGACACAGCCAGAACTCATCACAGAGGCTGGCGTCCAGCCCCGGGTCACGTGCAGCAGGAACAAGCAGCCACTCTGGGGGCACCAGGTGGAGAGGCAAGATGCCAAAGAGGGTGCCCGTGTTCTTGCGAAAGCGGGGCTGCTGGCCACGAGTGCTGGACAGAGGCCCCCACGCTCTGCTGCCCCCATCACGCCGTTCCGTGACTGTCACGCAGAATCCGCAGACAGGAAGGGAGGCTCGAGCGGGACTGCGGCCAGCGCCTGCCTCGGCCGTCAGGGAGGACTCCCGGGCTCACTCGAAGGAGGTGCCACCATTTCAGCTTTGGTAGCTTTTCTTCTTCTTTTAAATTTTCTAAAGCTCATTAATTGTCTTTGATGTTTCTTTTGTGATGACAATAAAATATCCTTTTTAAGTCTTGTACTTCGTGATGGGAGCCGCCTTCCTGTGTCCACGCGCCTCCTGCCCCCGGTGGGAAGCACATTCAGGAGGAGGCTGGTCCAGCTGCACCTCGGGGGCTCCCTGCATACGCCCCCCGCCTCCTGCAGCCACACGCATTGCCCGAGCGACCCTCCCTGGCCCCTGTCGCTACATGGACCCCCGGGGCTTCTCCTCTTTTCTACATGGATGCAGTTTCTCCTCCTGCTGGGCACGGTGCTGCCTGCCCTGGTCACTCTGCGGGGGACAGGGCCTCCAGGGAAAGCTGGGTCGAGGCTGGGAGCTGGCTCAGGCTGGCCAGGCAGAGCCACAGGGAGGGCCTTCCAGAACCAACCATGGTCCGAAGCGAGAGGTGGGTGTCAGATCTGTGTGCGTCAGCTCAGGACCACAGCGGGGCGGCTCCCACAGCAGACATGGATCCTCCCAGGCCTAGAGACCAGGAATCTGAGATCAGGATGCAGGCAGGGCTGGTTTCTCTCAAGCCCTCTCTCCTTGGCTTGTAGACACCGTCTCCTCCCTGGTCCTCACGTGGCCATCCCTCTGTGTGCCCGTGTCCTAAGCTTCTCTTCTTATAAGAACACACATCAGATTAGATTAGTGACCCCCTATGAACTTAATGACCTCTGTAAAGACCCCATCTCCAAATAGTCACATTGTGAGGCCAGGGATTAAGACTTGAATATATGAATTTGTAGGGGCCACGATTTAACCCATCACAGTCCAGACTCTGGCCCCCAAAATTCATGTTCTTCTCACATGCAGAATACATTCATCCTGTCTCAGCATCCCCCTGGGCACTAGGTCATGTAGCAAGGACGGATTTTCAACAGAAATAACTATTGCAACAGAAGAAAGAGTCCGGCATGACCTGGACTCACCTTCATCTGTGCAGAGGCCACAGCCTTGTAAAGGGAGGTGGTAGGGGGAGCAGGGTGGGTGCTCGGGGCTCAGTCGTCGGGGAAGGGAAAAGTTGCCCAGCGCTGGTCAGCGTCCCCGGGATGGGACCCGCTGTGTCCGTGCCGGCCACTGTTGAGGTCAGGATTCTGTCCTCCCAGAGCCTGGAGACACAGGCCCCATCCTTCCCAATGGGGACACTTCAGGGAGCGGCTCTCAGGTCCCGAGAAAGACCCTCCTGGGTCACAGGAAATGCACAGACATCGGGAACAGACAGAAGGACGTGTGGTTGCGGCCCTCTCAGCAGATACCCTGAGAAAGGGAGGTCGGGGTTGGTCCAAACGGTGAGTTCTGGTGCACGGAGCTTTCTCAGGCAGGTGTTGACGGGGCAGGGGTCGGCCTAGGGGTACGGCCAGAAGCTGTTAGAAACTGTTAGTGTCTGCTCAAGTCTTTACAAGCCAAGGTTGAGGCCGAGTGGAGAGGCTCCGAGGAGCCTGGCTGGAACTCAGTCAAGGACAGGGTCTTGTTACTGCAGTGGCTGCGGTGGCTGCGGTGGCTGGAAAATGCCGTCGGAGTTGCCTGTGGCAGGAGAGAGACCATCTCACCCAGGAAGGAGGAGTGGTTGGATTCGTTTGTGTGGCATCGAGCAGCTGGAGCTTCACCAAACACAGAGTTGGGGACTAAATCCCCAGACTCCAGGCCCTGCCATGCCGTGGGAAGGCTCGCCACTGGAGGGTGGGCTCCAGGGGGCCTGGCCTGAACTGGGTGCTGAAGCCCAGCCCTTTAACTCTCAGGACACGCTGCTGCAGCCCCGCGGGGGGTGAGGGAGACAGCACCTGGGGTGCAGGGCGGGCAGCTGCTGCATCACCGGCTCTATCCCAAGCCCAAGGATGGCGTCCCAGAGATGCAGGAGAGCTTTGTCCAGAGAAGGTGCCAGCCCTCAGGGACCCTGCTGGAGAGATCTCCACCCTCTGCCCTTCAAGGGGCCCTACGGGCTTCCGGGTGCCCTGGTGGGGTGGGCTCCAGTCCACTGTCTGAGGATGGACGGCCTGGCCAGGATAAGGAAAGGAAACCCAGGACGGTGCCGGGCTCCGGGTCATTCCGTGCACTGAGCAGGCTGAGTTGGGAAGAAGCAGATGCTTCCTGCAGCTCCTGCCCCTGCAGGGCCTGGCGCCTGGACCAGGTTCCCCTGGGGAAATTGGGCCCCTCCCTGAGCCACCCGGGGCCCACCGCCCCCTTTCCACCTGGGACCGAGCATCCTCCAGAGGGTCAGCCCTCCTGAGGGAACACCATGCCCAGCCCCAGGACCCTCCCTCAACTCTCCAGCAAGGCTGCACTGTGGGCGGCCCCTGCACATACCCCAGCAGTCCATGCTGTGATGTAACATGACATGGTGTGACGTGGTGTGATGTCTCTGGTGTGACGTGGATGTCATGTGGCATGATGCGACAGGACATGGTGTGATGTTGTATGATGTGGTATGACGGTGTGATATCCGAGGGGTGATGTGATGTGGTGTGACATGGTGTAATGTCCCTGGTGTGAGGTGGCGTTGGACATGCTGGGATGTGGTGTGACACAGTGTGACATCCCTGGTGTGATGTGGTGTGATGAAGCGTAACAGGCTGTGACATAGTGTGACGTGGTGTGATATAATGTGATGTGGTGTGAGGTGGCGTGACATGGTGGGATGTGGTGTGACATGGTATAATGTCCCTGGTGTGAGGTGGTGTGATGTGGTATGATGGGGTGTGGCAGGGTACGACATCCCTAGTGTGATGATAAGTTTCATGGTATGATGTGGCGTGACATCCCTGGCGTGACATAATGAGATGTGGTGTGACATGGTGTGGCATTCCTGGTGTGACTCCTGTGTTCTGACATTTGTGGCCACCCCAGGATACAGAGGTCCCTGTAGCCAAGGGAAGGGGGAGAATAGAACCATCTGAGCATGTTGACCTGGAGGAATTGGTGGCCCTTGAGTCCACGAAGCCCACCCTGCCAGGTGCCCCTGCCCCACGTGACCCAAGTGGGCTTGCAGAGCAGCAAGCAGGACTCTGGTTAGACTGCAAGAAGGACCTGCCACCACGTGGCCTTGTGAGGAGACACAGAGCAAGGCAGTGACCTCAGCGTCCACCCAGCACAGGGTGCTGCTGAAGCTCCTCCTGTCCTCTCAGCAGCGGTCTCAGAGCAAGGCCCAAGGCAGGCTGAAGAGAGGGGCAGAGGGAGGATGCTGGGGAGGCAGGGGTGAGGGGAGTGAGAGCCCAGGTTTCAGCTGAGCCCCTGCACAGGGAAGGAGGCTAGCTGAACACCCATCTCCCCACACACTCCCAACCCTGCCTCTGCCCGAACACCTCCCAGAAGGCACCTCAAACTCTGCTACCCACACTCAGCAAGGGGTATGGTGTCCCCACCGAGTCCAGCCAGTGAGGCCCGGCACAGCCATGCCTGTGCCGACCACTCCCATGGCCAAGCTCCCTGCTAACATGGTAGGACAGAGCCAGGCCTGGAGGAGACAGAACATCAGTCCCATGGGGAAGCTCCCTGCTCACATGGCAGGGCCGGGCCTGGAGGAGACAGAACGCCCCGTCTGGTATGGTACTCAGGCTGCACATGCCTGCCACGCACGGGGGCCATGTGGCACACACGGGTACTCACACGGTCCTCACACAGGGACACACGCACTTGCAACCCCAGCACCCACCCAGTGCACTCATGCACGGGCTCCCCAGGTGGGTCACAGTCTCACGCCTTGAGCTACTCCATGTGCCAGGCCCTTCACCCACATTCCCGTCCCCGGTGCCAGCTGTTGAGCCACACCGTCTTCTCTGTGGATCCCTCCCAGCCCGCTCAGCACAATGGACATGCTCTCTCCAGTCCAGCAACTGCACTGGCCTCTTCCCCTCAGAATCCACGTCTGGCCATCTCCCAGGAAACCCGGACCACCACGGGCAGGGACCACCTTCTCACTGTCCATGTGGACCACCCCACACCTGACCCCAGGCAGAGTCACACTACGACCTGCTTCAATATTGAAAAGGGGAAAAGCTGGAGGAGGGGAAAGATGAAAGAGAAAAAAGCAAGAGGGGAGGGTCACATTCTTGTGAGGCTTTGATTAGAGTTCACTGAGCCCCCACGTTGCATGAAAAGGAGGGGTGGAGGGAGCAATTACGCATTCGCCTTGTGCTCAGTAAATCTGCACTTTATAAGCAAATAAACAGAGTAGAGGAAGAAGTCAAATATGCATTCGTCTCAGGGGTAGGAGGAACGATTTCTTGTCTCATTTTGTCCCATGTCATGAAGACCGGCCTGTTAATTTATATTCTCAGGGTGAGGGAGGCCACCTGGGTAGACCTGGCCTATCTGCTGCTGCTATCACTTTGGAAACAAAAGGAAAGGCATGACTTTTTTTTTTTTTCATGACTCAGCTTCCCACCTCAACTGTTCATTTTGGCATAGTGAGTTTGGAGTCCTGAGATTTTATTTTCCTTTCACAATGGTCAAGGTCGCACCCTCAGTATTCAGGAGAGCTGGTCCAACCCAGACCCCTGCCGTCCCTGGACGCTTTTCAAATACGTGCTGCAGTCTCTGACACTCTCTCACCATGGTAGAAACTGAGGTCTTGGTGAGCCTGCAAGCCCCTGCTCATGGGGACAATGCAGGCTGAAACCCGCATTTCTGACCCCAAAGCTCCTGTTCCTTTCACTCACCCCCACACCAGCTCTTTGAGTCCAGAGCTTTGTCCTTGCCTGAGTCCTACCCTCAGGGACAGGGGCCCAACCCAGACACCAACACATCATACCCTGAGAGGGTGCCAGGAGCCCAGAGATGTTTGGAGAGCACAGAAGCCCTGGAGGCTCTGTGGAGATGCTGCACATTTCTCTATTCAACAGATACTCACCAGGTGGCCAGCGGCAGAGATGCCACATGGCATGGAGCTCGCCTTGGCCAACAGGACAGGTGTGGGGTTGGGAGGCCTTCCCAGGGCACTCCTTGAAGCAGAGCTGTGGGGAAAAGTTGGGGCCAACCTCAGATCTCCTCATCAACACCGGTTCTCCTGCCCTCCTGGGCCACAGAAAACTAAGCTCCCTGGATACTGCGGCTGGGTGGGGCCATGAGGGAGAAGAAATCACAACGAGTTAAAAGATCATTTTCTAAAACTGTTATGATCAGGACTCACATAAACATATGACGACACATTTCAGAGATGCTCTTTATCTCATTAATTAAGGTGTCGTAACCAGTTCAAAGTGGAATTCTAAGTACTACACTTACATAATTGATTCAGGAATGCTAAAAGGAGTTCATAGATAGATGCAAAACTGGCCTTTTCCCTGGAAGATGAGGAGCAATTCATTGTCCTTCCAAAGGTGAGAACTTGAATTTCTACCAACTCAAAGAGCTTTTGCATTGCTATCAATTATGTACAACTTAGAGCAGTAGTCCCCAACATTTTTGGCACCAGGAACCAGTTCCATGGAAGACAATTTTTCCACAGACCAGGATCGGGGGATGGCTTGGGGACAAAGCTGTTCTACCTCAGATCATTAGGCATTAGGATTTCACGAGGAGTGTGCAACTTAGATCTGGGAATGTGCAGCTCGCAATAGGGTTCGCTCCTATGAGAATCTAATGCTGCCACTGATCTGACGGGAGGTGGAGCTCAGGCAGGAATGCTCACACACCCCTCACCTCCTGCTCTGTGGCCCAGTTCCTAACAGGCCATGAGCAGATTCCAGTGCATGACCCAGGGGTTGGGGACCCCTGGCTTATAGAGGTGTAAAATAGTTCAAAGGAAATAAAAGATGCAGAGCTCCATAGAATGAAATAACTTGGAAGAGTGTACAAGACGATGCCTTGCTTTCCATGGAAGGCACCTACTAATCTTTTGGTCCATTTCAGTTCTTCTTAATGCTTCCTATAAACATATATAACTGACTGACACAAACAGATCCATAATATAAAGAAGACCACTGTAAACCAATGAGAAAAAAAATCAAATAATCCAACAAGGAATAGGCAAGAGAATTGAACAGATGTTTTACAGAAGATATCCAAATAGCCACTAAACATATGAAAAGATGTTGAACCACACTAGTCAACAGGGAAATGAAAATGAAAAACCACATGAGAGAAAGTAGTTCTGATTCCAATAATTCTGGAGCAGCTAATATCAGACTAGCCCTTTGGCAGATGGCAATTATAAACACTAGAAACGCTGTAAGCACACACAACACCCACACACACCAATTGCAGGCACTGGAACATGACCAGAAGTAGGCAAACACTAGTAAGGATTATTCCGTTAAATATTCGTCTGAAGTCACACTCCAGGGCATGTAATGGGTACAGCTAGAGTTCAAGCAGGAAACTGCAGCCCTCCTGGTGAGGAGTGGGATGCCGGGCTACATTTTCAGAGCAGCTGGAAATGAAGAGAAGATGTCCATAAAGGAGAAGGTCACCGAAGGGAAACCCCACAATCTGCAAGTAAACTCCACTGAAACCTCTGGCTGATCCCTTAGGTGTGCATGGGTAGGGAAAACTCCAAAGGGCCCAGCAGAAAGCAACACGTGTAAGGTCAAGAGAACTGAGATTCCAGCTACTGCCAACTGCCAGGCAGACAGACTGGGGAGTTTGAGTCAACTCAAGCTAACTGCTTGCTAACATTGAAAAAAACAATTAATGTTCTGCTAAGGAAGAATGCAAACCCCATAGCCTGTACACATGTTAACAACATCAGGTGCACATCCAAAATTACCAGGTATGCAAAGAAATATGAAAATGTGATCCATAGTTAAAAGAAAAAGGGATCAATGGAGATCAACTCCAAGATGACCTAGATGCAGATACAGTTATCAGACAAGGACTTTAAAGAAGTTATGTTAAATATGTTCAAAGACTTAAAGGAAAATATGGTTATCATGAGTGACTAGATGAGGTATCTCTATAAAAAACTGAAAATAGTTACAAGAAGCAAATGAAAATTCTAGAACTAAGAGTATGATTCGGAAATGAAAAACATCATTTGACCAGGCCCAGTGGCTCATACCTGTAATCCTAGCACTCTGGGAGGCCAAACATGGAAGGATCACTTGATCTCAGGAGTTTGAGACCACCCTGGGCAACATGGTGAAACCCCATCTCTATTTTATTAAAGAAGAAAAGAAAGAGAAAAACATTACCCAAGTTTAATAACAGATTGGACAAGACATAAGAAGGAACTGAAAACTTAAAGATGCATCAATAGAATATGTCAATTCTTTTTAATCCAATCCAAAGAAGAGAGAGAAAAATACTAAAAAATGAAAAGAGACTCATCCTGCTGGACAAGGTGAAGCATTCTAAAACATGTGAAACTGGAGTCCAGAGGGGGATGTAATACTTCCATGGGAAAGGTCAACCCTAAGCTATATGCAAATGTACCTGCGTAGGCTGGTGTGGTGGGCTGATGGCATCTCCCTGGCCAAATGTATGCCCACCTGGAACCTCAGAATGTGACCTTATTTGGAAATGGGGTCTTTACAAATTAGGTTAAGGACTTGAGATGATATCATACTAAATTTTGGATGGATCCCAAGTCCAAACACTGGTGTCCTCATAAGAGGAGAGGACAAAGACATACATGGAGGTAAGCCATATGATGACAAAGGAGAAGATGAGCGGTGTGTCAGGAGCCACCTGTGTTTGTCCATTTGCATTACTGTAAAGAAATACCTGAGGCTGAGTAACTTATGAAGGAAAGAGGTTCAATTGGCTCACAGTTCTGCAGGCTGTATAGGAAGTATGGCACCAGCATCTGCTTCTGGCGAGGACCTCAGGAAACTTACAGTCATAGCAGAAGGTGAAGGGAGAGCAGGTATGCCACATGGCAAGAATGGGAGCAAGAGGCTGAGGGGGGGCCCCAGACTTAAACAACTAGACTGTGTGTGAGCTGACTGGGGCAGAATTCACTCATCACCAAGGGGATGATTCTAAATCATTCATGAGGGATCTTCCCCCTTGATCTAATCACCTCCTACCAGGCCCCACTTCCAACACTGGGAATCATATTACAACATGAGATTTGGAGGGGACAAATATATAAACCATATCCTTCCACCCCTGGTCCCCCAAATCTCATGTTGCAAAATACAATCATGCCTTCTCAACAGTCCCCCAAAGTCTTACCTCATTCCAGCATCAACCCAAATTTCCCAAGTCCCAAGTCTCATCTGAAGATGAGTCCCTTCCACCTATCAGCCTATGAAATCAAACACAAATTATTGACTCCCAAAATACAATGAGAGTGCAGACATTGCGTAAACATTCCCATTCCACAAGGGAGAAGTTGGCAAAAAGAAAGGATCTACATGCCCCATATATGTCAGAAATCCAGCAGGGCAGTCATTAAATCTTAAAGCTCCAAGGTAATCTCCTTTGACTTCATGTCCCATATCCAGGGCACATTGGTGCAGGGGGTGGGCTCCCAAGGCCTTGGAAAACTCTACCCTTGTGGCTTTGGAGGATGTTGCCCCTGTGGCTTCTCTCACATGATAGAGTTGAGTGCCTGTGGCTTTTCCAGATTCAGGGTGCAAACTGCCAGTGGATCCACCATTCTGGGGTCTGGAGGACAGTGGCCCCCTTCCCACAGCTCCACTAGGCAGTGCCCTGGTGGGGACATTATATGGGGGTTCAACCCCACATTCTCTTTGGCACTGCTCTAGTAGAGGTTCTCTGTGAGGGCTCCATGCTGGCAGGAGGCTTCTGTCTGGGCACCTAGGCTTTCTCATACATTTCTGAAATCTAGAGGGAAGATGCCAAGCTTCCTTCACTCGTGTATTCTGGGGGCCTACAGGCTTAACACCAGATGGAAGTCACCAAGGCTTATAGTGGCTTGCACTCTCCAAAGAAGCAGCCTAAGCTATACTTGGGGCCCTTTGAGCCAAGGCTGGAGCCAGAGGAACCAGGATGTGGAGAGCAGTGTCCCAAGGCTGCACAGGCAGCAGTGGCCATGGCCATGGCCCACAAAACCATCCTTTCCCTCTTGGCCTCTGGGCCTGTGATGGGAAAGACCACCTCAGAGATTTCCAAAATGCCTTCAAGGCCTTCTTCCCTTTGTTCTGGATATGAGCACTTAGCTCCCTTTTAGTTATGCTAATCTCTCTAGCAACTGGCTGCTCCATAGCCTACTTATATTTGTCTCCTGAAAATACCTTTTCTTTTCTACCATATGGCCAGGCCATGAATTTTCCAAATTTTTTATGCTCTGCTTCCCTTTGTTGATGAAAAAAGCCAAACTCTATAAAACACTTGACGAGATTGATTCTGAGCCACATGTGAGAGCCATGAACTGTGGCACAGCCTCAAAAGGTCCTGAGAACATGTGTGCAAGGTGCTTGGGTTGCGGCCTGGTTTTATGTTTTAGGGAGACATGAGACATCAATCAATACATGTAAAGTATACATTCGTTTGGTTTGGAATGGCAGGACAATTCAAAGTGGGGAATTCCAAATCATAGGTGGATTTGAAGATTTTCTGATTGGCAATTGGCTGAAAAATTTAAATTATCTAAAAAGTTGAAGTCAGCAAAAAGCAATGCTTAAGATAAAGCAGGTTGTGGAAGCCAAGGTTCTTGTTATGTAGATGAAGCCTCCACGTTCCAGAGAGAAGAGATGGTCAATGTCTCTTATCAGAACCTAAAAGGTGCCAGACTCTTGGATAAATCTCTCCTGAATCAGGAAGAGACCTGGAAAGGGAAAAAGATTCTCGACAGAATATACATTTCCTCCACAAGAGACGGCTTTGCAGGGCCATTCCAAAATGTGTCAGAGAAATATATTCTGGCATAAAATACTTTAATTTCCTTCCATGCCTGCCAACTGTCATGTGATGCTATACCAGAGTCAGGTTGGAATTTGATATCTTATTGCTACAAAGAGTCTGCTTTGTCAGTCTTAAGCTCCCTGTTTTAATGTTAACACCGGTCAGCTGAGCCTAAACTCCAACAGGGAGAGGGTATAGTGAGGGAGTCCAAACCACCCTCCCCTTCCTGTCATGGCCTGAACTGGTTTTCCAGGTTTCTTTGGAATCCCCTTGCATTAGCATTTTATTTTTTCATTTGCACCTTTTAAATATCAGTTCCAACTTTAAGTCATTCCTTTGCTCCCATATCTTACCATAGACTGTTAGAAGCAACCAGGTCACACCTTAGAAATGTCTGCTTAGAAGTATCTTCCACCAGATGTCCTAAGTCATCACTCTTAAGGTCAAACTTCCACAGATCCCTAGGGCATGAATACAATGCAGCCAAGTTGTTTCTTAGGATTTAACAAGCGTGACCTTTACTCCAGTTCCCAATAAGTTCCTCATTTCCATCTGAGATTTCATCAGCCTGGCTTTCACAGTCCATATGTCTATCAGCATTTTGGTGACAACCATTTAATCAGTCTCTAAGAAATTCCAAACTTTCCCTCATCTTCCTGTCTTCTTCTGAGTCCTCCAAATTCTTCTAACTTCTCTGCCTGTTACCTGATTCCAAAGCTGCTTCCAAATTTTCAGGTATCTTTATAGCAATGTTCCACTCCTCAATACCAAATTTCTGTGTTAGTTTGTGTTACTAGAAAAAAAAATACATGAGGCTAGTAATTTATAAAGAAAAGAGGTTTAGGCCAGGCACTGTGGCTCATACCTGTCATCCTAGCATTTTGGGAGGCAGAGGCAGGAGGATCACTTGAGCTCAGAAGTTTGAGACCAACCTGGGCAACATAGTGAGAACTTGTCTTGAAAAGACAAGAAGAAGGGAAGGGTGGGGAAGAGCAGAAGGGCAGAAGGGCAGGGCAGAAGGGAAGGGCAGGGAAGGCAGAAGAGAAGGAAGGAAGGGAGGTTTAATTAGTTCATATTTCTGCAGGCCGTTCTGGAAACACGGCCCTGGCATCTGCTTCTGGCGAGGCCTCAGGGAGATTGCAATCACAGCAGAAGGCGAAGGGGGAGCAGGCATGTCACATGGCAAGAGGGAGCAAGAGAAGAAAGTGGCACGTCCCAGACTTTTAAACAACCAGCTGTCACAGGGACTAACTGAGGGAGAACTCGCTCATCACCTGGGAGATGGTGCTAGGCCATTCATGAGGGGTCCAGCCCCATGATCTAATCACCTCCCACCAGGCCCACCTCCAACACTGGGAATCACATCTCAACATGAAATTTGGAGAGACGCACATCCAAACTATTGCACCACAGGAAGCTGGAAGAGGTGGACGGTCCTCCCCTGGAGCACTCAGAGACAGCCACCAACACCTTGATCTCAGATTTCTGACTCCCAGAACTCTGAAAAAATTTTTGTTGTTTTAAGCCACATTTGTGATATTTTGTTACGGCAGCCACAGCACGGATATAGCTGGTAACAGAGTTCTTTAGCCTCCAAAATACAAGCCTGGGGTAAATAACTATTGAATTTGGCCACATGGAAATCAGGAAGAATGTAATAAGCATCATCGATGGACGGGATGACCTGGGAGATCGTGGCAAGTTTAAAGCTAATTGGAAGTTGGCAACCAAAAAATCCTGTCTTGCAAATGGCCAGGAAATTGCCAAGAAAACCTTTAGAAAACATGGTTAAAGATGGAGAAACCCGGATGACTCCCTGGTTTCTGAAGAGGTGCTTAGGCATTGAAGTGAGACTGATGAGACTTCACACTGTACCCTTCAGAAGGGCAGACACTCACGAGATAATCAACCACGGCTCCCTCGCTGGGAGGCAGACACAGAGCTGGAGGCGGCGGCCACAAACTAGGTGGGCAGAGAGGCGTCAGCATCGGGACTTGCGGGAGGCCCTGGGAAGGAACAGGCAGCGGTGGGGCCTGGACAGCCCTGGGGAAAGGAAGTTACTTGGAGGAGACCAGGGGCTTGCATTTGGGCCAAAACCAAGGACAAGAGATCAGCTGGTCCCAGGGAACTCTGGAGCCCAACACCCCACCACGGGTGCAGGGGCCTGACAACCCAACAGAGGGCTGTGGGCACCGGGCACCAGCCTGTGGGGGGTCTGAAGGCTGCTGCCCAGCCACACATGTCCTGGTTCTGAACAAAGGGTTCAAGAGACACCTGGAAACCTACCCTTCTGAGAGCAGCCTCTTAGCCTCAGCTGGTATTGGCCCCTGGTCACCCCACATGCCCCGACAGTGGGGCCTGGCCTCAGAAAGGGGCCCCTCCATTTGTACTTTCTATCTGATCCTTGACACAGTGCTAACACCAAAGACCAAACCCGAATCTTGGTTCACATACTCTGCAAAGAAATGACTAAGACAAGTTCTTCCGGAGGTCAGTTTTAGAACATTATTCTGACTTAATTCTGCCTTATCTCTGTGCAACAAGAAAACTATCTGCACATCTGTAGTAAAATGTGAAGGTACCTTCATTTTGTTTGTATACTAAACTTTTAAGAAATACCTCACTTTTTAAAACTTGGTTTTGTGTTTTGTATGCTTATAATATTTTCCATAATAGATCATTTTAATGATAAACTCTGAATCTTCTGACAGAATGCAGATCAATGGATTCCTGGCCATCAGGGAGGCGTTGATTGCAAAGGGGCCTGGTGGAATATTTGGAGAGATTCTACATCTTCTTGCAACTGTTCATCTGGATTACGGTGGTGGTTGCATGAGTGTGCATTTGTTGAAACTCACATGTCACAGGATGGATTATACTGAATGTAAACTACACTTGCGTAAATATGACTTTTAAAACTTTAAAAAGTTGGGGGATGGTTCACTGCCCCGGCTCGAAGCCCCCTGGCCACGCTGCCTGGCCAGCCCACCCGCATCCCTGCCAGCGCTTGCCTCCAGCGTCCCAACAGCCTCCTGACCCCCTGGGCTGCTCTAAACCCTCAGGAGCGCAGCCATCCGGGATCAGCTGGATGGAGATGGGGAGCCCGAGACTCGTGCCACACCACGTCCTCCCACCCCCACCAGCCACACGCAGACGTCAAAGCAGCACTGTCCTCGCACGCGCTGCTCCCACCCACCCTGGCATGGCCATTCCAGGCCTGGGGCAGGAAGGCAGATGCTCCCCCTGCCCCCAGACACAAGCATTCCTGCACATACCCCCAGCACACACACACACTCCCATGCGCACACTGACACACACAGGTGTGTGCAGCTGAGACACAGCCCATTCCCAGGCAGTCCAGCCCCCGTCACTGAGGGAAAGGGGCAGCACCACGGGGCCACAGGAGTGGCAGCTGGACACAGAGCCAGGCGCTGGCGAAGGCCCAGGCCACTGAGGCGGGCTGCCGGCATGGCTGGGCGTGAAGGCCAGAAGAGGGCAGGAGGGGCCGTAGGCACTGTGCCTATTGGGCCTAGGTGGGCACACGCCTGGCAGGAGAGGAACAGCCCAGCCCCTGAGGAAGGGGTGGGGGCAGGGGCCATTTCTGGAGGCCAGGGCAGGGCCAGCACCCCAAGGAAAAGCAGAGCAGGGTGAGAACGGACATGGGGCTCAGAGCTGAGCAGGCCTGCTGGGCCCCAGGAGGGAGACACAGACGACCGGGGATCTCAAGGCTGGCAGAGGCCAGAGATGGAGCCCCACCTGGGATGCCATCCTCCTTCCTGGGGGCCCACCCTGCCCGGCCCCTCCAGCCCAGCACAGCTTGGGGCATTGGATAGAACCGGGAGAGAGCCGACCAGGCACTGAGGCCCCTGCCCCAAATGCCCACAGCCTGGGGAAAATGAGCAGGTACATGGGAGGGGCAAGTGGAGCCCCAGGCACACCCACACAGTGCACACGGCCTCACCTGGGCCGGAGGGGGCAGGAGGCTCGCCACCCCGCTGTGGTTTCTCTCCTAATCTCACCCTGGGTTTCTGCCACACTTGATGCAGGTGATGTTTCTCTGACATTGTGGACTAAGAGTTGGTGCTGGAAGGGGTTAGCCATCTTGGAGATGTTGCTATGGGGTGCAGGGATTTTGCGTGTGAGAAGGACATGATTATGGGGGGAGCGGAGGGCAAACTGTCATGGGTTAAAATGTGTCCCCTATAAATTCATGTGTTGAAGTCCTAACCCCCAGGACCACAGAATGTGACCTTGTTTGGAAACAGTCTTTGCAGCTGCAATCAAGTTCAGATGAGGTCACCCTGGAGTAGCGCAAGCCTCTGATCCAATATGACTGCTGTCCTCATGAAAAGGGGGAATCTGGGCACAGACAGCACGTGGGGAGAACGCCCTGTGAAGATGGTGCTGCTTCCATAAGCCAAGAGCAGCAGAGACGGCCGGCAAAGCCCAGCAGCAGGGAGAGAGCCTGGGACAGAGTCTCCCATGACACAGAGGTGCCAGCCCCACCGAGGCCTCCATCCCAGATGCCCGGCCTCCAGAACCAGGACGGAATAAACGTCTGTTGTTTAAGCCACGCAGTCTGGGGTGCTGTGTTGCCAGGGCCACAGTTAACGGATACGAGTGTTGTCCTGAGCTGCCAGCCCCACAGGCTGCACGAGGCCTCCCTGCCCCAGCCCAGTGCAGACTCCCCAGCCCCCTGGGTGTGCCATGGGCAGTGCGGGGACCCCTCACTCCGTCCTCCCCCAGCCTGGGAGGTTGAGCCCATTATGAGCTCCATGGGGTGAAGCTGGAACGAGAGGCTGGGAGCCGACTGGGAGCCTGCGGCTGGAGGATGGATTTCCCCAGGGACCCACACGTGCACCTCCACCTGTCTCCTGGACATTCTCTCTGAGGGCAGGGCTGGTGCCAGCTCAGGGATCCAGCAGGGTCACAAGGGCAGGCCGGGTCCTTGTGGAGAGCACATTTAGTGGGAGGGACATGATTTCCCTTCAAAGTGCCCATTCTGGACGCTTCCCGTTCCATGCTGGACGCTTCCTCTTCCACGCTGGATGCTTCCTGTTCCACACTGGATGCTTCCTGTTCCACGCTGGATGTTTCCTGTTACACTCTGGATGCTTCCTGTTCCACACTGGATGCTTCCTGTTCCATCCTGGATGCTTCCTGTTCCATGCTGGACATTTCCTGTTCCACTCTGGATGCTCCCTGTTCCATGCTGGATGCTTCCTGTTCCATGCTGGATGCTTCCTGTTCCATGCTGGACATTTCCTGTTCCACTCTGCATGCTTCCTGTTCCACTCTGGATGCTTCCTGTTCCATGGTGGACGTTTCCTGTTCCACTCTGCATGCTTCCTGTTCCATGCTGGATGCTTCCTTTTCCATTCTGGATGCTTCCTGTTCCATGTTGGATGTTTCTTGTTCCACTCTGGATGCTTCCTATTCCATTCTGGATGCTTCCTGTTCCATGCTGGACATTTCCTGTTCCATGCTGGATGCTTTCTGTTACATCCTGGATGCTTCCTGTTCCATGCTGGATGTTTTTTGTTTGACTCTGGATGCTTCCAGTTCCATTCTGGATGCTTCCTGTTCCATGCTGGATGCTTCCTTTTCCATTCCGCACAATTCCTATTCCATTCTGGACACTTCCTGTGCGACACCTCCTTGGGTTTTCTGTCTGCCCAGTCCCTCTATCCTCATCCCGTTCCCTGCTACCTCCCACCTCCACAATCGTCCTTGCCCAGCTCCTCCCTCTCTCTAGAGCTTCGGCCTGGCAAGGTCCCTCCTGATCTCAGTCCAGGCTCCCCCAGCACAGGTAGGAGCCTAGCACCTGCCCTTGGACCTCCCCACCCTGCATGGTGCCAGCATCCCCCGGTCCCCAGGGAGGCCCCATTTCTCTCTCTGCTTGTAGTCCAGTGGCCCTGGAGTCCCACTGCAACTCGGGTGTGCCCCTGACCTCTGAGGAAGTTAAGTGTCCTGTCCCTAGCCAGGCTATCCCGTCTGCTCAGCCCCAGGGCCCTGCCCCCAACCCCTTCCCCTCACCTGCACCACAGGCTCTGGCCAACTCTGCCCAGGCCCTGAATGGGCCCCTCTGGCTCCCCTCTGCTGCTACACTGCCCTGCACCACCTCCACTCAGCTTCAGTGTGTTCATCCACCTGTCCCAAGTCCCCTCGGCCCCCAGGAGCACAGCTGGTGGCCCTGGCTCCTGGCAGCCCATCTTGTTCCTTCTGGAGCACCAGCCTCAGAGGCCTTCCTGTGCAGGGTCCACTTGGCCAGCCCTGGGACCCTCCTGGTCTCAAGCACACACGTTCTCCCTGCAGCCAGACCTGCCCCTGCCTGTGAGCTCAGCCCTGAGCCTTGGAATGCCTTCCCATCTCCATCCCAGCTCGCCTTTGCCAGCTGCTCAGCAGGATGAACTCACACTCCCCTCCCTGCACCATGAGTCAGAGCCAGCTGGAGACACGCCCAGGCCAAAGCAGCCACCAGGGCCTAGTGGGGGCCAGAAGCTTCAGATGAGAGGCCCAGGTATTGAGAGGCTGAGATCACGGGCAGAATGGTCATAATCGCTGCCAGTATCAGTCCAGCCCCAGGGACTCAGAGACAGAGAAAAGAGCAGCACACAAGGTCTGGGCTCCCCACCTTCTCCCGTGAGTACGGGGGAGTATGGGGGCAGCCACCACCCCCATCCCCACACACCCATGAGGCAGCCTCGGCTGTGTCTGGACTCCCCCTCGCCCTCTGACCCAGAAACCACCAGAAGAAAAGGGAACTTCAGGAAGTAAGTGGTGCCGCCGGTTTCAATCCTGTTCTTAGTCTTTGCAGCGTGGAGTTCACACACCTGGGGACCTGGGGGCCGAGCTGTGATTTCCTAGGAAGACAAATAGCGGCTGACGGCAGGGGCGGGGCTGCCCACATGTACCTCGCCAGAACAGGAAGGGCTGAGACCCCCACCTCGGTGAGTGGGGTCAGCACAGGGCAGGGGCACAGGCTCGGGAGGAGGACAGAGCCTGGGGGCAGCCGTGGGCGCTCCTGGACCTGAGATGCTGAACAGGCTCCAAGAGGCTGGGGAGACATGGGGTCGAGGCCGGCCCCACATGGAGGCCCAAGCGGAGCCAGCACGGGGGAGGTGGGCAGCCTTCAGGCACCGATGCCCACCCAGTGCGAGACGACGGGGACCGTGGGCAGGGGCTTCCAAGCCAACAGGGCAGGACACACCAGAGGCTGACTGAGGCCTCCAGGACGACCGGGCTGGGAGCACGAGGAACATGACTGGATGCGGCAGAGCCGGCCGTGGGGTGATGCCAGGATGGGCACGACCGACCTGAGCTCAGGAGGCAGCAGAGCGAGGGAGGAGGAGAGGCCCCAGGTGAACGGAGGGGCTTGTCCAGGCCGGCAGCATCACCGGAGCCCAGGGCAGGGTCAGCAGTGCTGGCCGTGGGGCCCTCCTCTCAGCCAGGACCAAGGACAGCAGGTGAGCCGGGAGCAGAGCAGGGAGGGTGAGTGTGGCAGCAGGACAGGAGGGTGGAAGCCAAGGAGCCCAGAGGCAGAGGCAGGGACAGGGGAGGCACAGGGGCTGGGCTCAGAGCCAGCTGATGGGGTTGGGGCACCTGCTGGCGGGGAGCAGGGCTGTGGTCAGCAGTGGAGAGGAGGGGAGAGCTGTGCTGAGTGCACGGGCGGGAGAAGGGAAGAGTCCAGGGAGGCCCAGAAAGGCCCAGAGTGCAGCAGGCCTGGGGCGAGGGGAAGGGCTGAGGCTCCGTGCGTTCAGGGAACTGACCCAGCAGAGCAGAGGCCACTGAGGAGCTGAGGTTCCAGAGAGGCTTCCAGAGCAGGAGCAGTGCAGGGACAGGAGGATCCGGGAGCTCATTCAGGAGGGGCACATGGGCAAGGGCAAGGGGCTCTGTTGGGGAGACCTGACTGGACACTGGGGCTGCTCCACAGCATAGGGAACACGCCAAGTGCTGCAAAATCAAAAATGAGGGCAGAAAAACAGCCCAAACCTGGACAGAGGGTGCCAGGACAGGCAGGGGGGCAACAGTGACCTGAGTGACATTGCTGCCCGGGTTGAGGGAGGGCAGAGTGAGCAGGGAGCAGGCATTGGAGCTCAGGGACCAGGACCAAGCAGCCACAGGTGAGCAGGGCAGGTGGGGGCAGAAGGAGCAGGGGGCACCTCCTGGAGCTCAGGGGACCAGGGCAGAGCAGCCTCAGGTGAGCAGGGGCTGGTGGGCGGCAGGATGAGCAGGGGGAAGACCCTGGAGCTCAGGGGACCAGGGCAGAGCATCAGAAGGTGAGCATGGCTAGTGGGAGATGGGCAAGCAGGGGGCAGCCCCTGGAGCTCAGGGGACCAGGACAGAGCATCAGGAGGTGAGCATGGCTAGTGGGAGGTGGGCGAGCAGGGGGCAGCCCCTGGAACTCAGGGGACCAGGGCAGAGCAGCCGCAGGTGAGCACGGGCTGGTGGGAGGCGGGAGGAACAGGGGGCAGCTCCTGGACTTCAGGGGACCAGGGAGGGCATCTGAAGGTGAACAGGGGCCAGTGGGGGGCAGGATGAGCAGGGGGAAGCTCCTGGAGCTCAGGGAGCCAAGGCAGAGCAGCCGCAGGTCAGCAGGGGCAGGTGGGAAGCATGGGGAGCAGGTGGGCAGCCCCTGGAGCTCAGAGAGCCAGGGCAGATCATCCACAGGAGAGCAGGGGCTGGTAGGAAGCAGGAGGAGCAAGTGGGCAGCTTTTGGAGCTCAGAGCACCAGGGCAGAAGAGCCTCAGGTGAGAAGGGGCAGGTGGGAGGCAGAATAAGCAGGGGACAGCCCCTGGACCTCAGGAGACCAGGGCAGAGCATCACAACGTCAGCATGGCTGGTGGGAGGTGGGCGAGCAGGGGGCAGCCCCTGGACCTCAGAGAGCCAGGGCAGATCTGCAGGTGAGCAGGGGCAGGTGGGAGGCAGGAAGAGCAGGAGGCAGCTCCTGGAGCTCAGGGGATCAGGGCAGAGCAGCCACAGGTGAGCAGGGGCAGGTAGGAAGCAGAAAGATCAGGGGTCAGCCCCTGGAGCTCAGGGGACAAGGGGAGAGCATCAGAAGGTGAGCAGGACTGAGGCTCAGCCTCAGGGAGCCAGGGCAGAGCAGCTGCAGGTGAGCAGGGCCGGTGGGAAGCAGGAGGAGCAGGTGGGCAGCCCCTGGAGCTCAGAGAGCCAGGGAAGATCATCCGCAGGTGAGCAGGGGCTGGTGGGAAGCAGGAGGAGCAAGGGGCAGCTCCTGGAGCTCAGGGGACCAGGGCAGAGCAGTCGCAGGTGAACAGGGGCAGGTGGGGGGCAGGAGGAGCAAGGAGCAGCTCCTGGAGCTCAGGGGACCAGGGCAGAGCAGTCGCAGGTGAACAGGGGCAGGAGGAGCAAGGGGCAGCTCCTGGAGCTCAGGGGACCAGGGCAGAGCAGCCGCAGGTGAGCAGGTGCAGGTGGGGGGCAGGAGGAGCAGGGGGCAGCTCCTGGAGCTCAGGGGACCAGGGCAGAGCAGCCGCAGGTGAGCAGGGGCAGGTGGGGTGCAGGAGGAGCAGGGGGCAGGCACTGGAGCTCAGGGGACCAGGGCAGAGCAGTCGCAGGTGAACAGGGGCAGGTGGGGGGCAGGAGTAGCAAGGGGCAGCTCCTGGAGCTCAGGGGACCAGGGCAGAGCAGTCGCAGGTGAACAGGGGCAGGTGGGGGGCAGGAGGAGCAGGGGGCAGCTCCTGGAGCTCAGGGGACCAGGGCAGAGCAGCCGCAGGTGAGCAGGTGCAGGTGGGGGGCAGGAGGAGCAGGGGTCAGGCACTGGAGCTCAGGGGACCAGGGCAGAGCAGCCGCAGGTGAGCAGGGGCAGGTGGGGGGCAGGAGGAGCAGGGGGCAGGCACTGGAGCTCAGGGGACCAGGGCAGAGCAGCCGCAGGTGAGCAGGGGCAGGTGGGGGGCAGGAGGAGCAGGGGGCAGGCACTGGAGCTCAGGGGACCAGGGCAGAGCAGCCGCAGGTGAGCAGGGGCAGGTGGGGGGCAGGAGGAGCAGGGGGCAGGCACTGGAGCTCAGGGGACCAGGGCAGAGCAGCCGCAGGTCAGCAGGGCCGGTGGGAGGCAGGACGAGCAGGGGACAGGCACTAGAGCTCAGGGCAAGGCAGCCACAGGTGAGCAGGGCTGGTGGGAGGCATCACTCAGCTCCTAGACTTTGGCAGGAGCTGGGTAGTTGCTGGCAACAGACAGCTGAGGGCTGGTGAAAGTGCAGTGCAGCCTCCTGGTGCCGGGAAGGGAGTGTGAGTCCATCCCACTGAGCAGTTGGCAAGGGCGAGCTGGGATGGAGAAGGGAAGGCGTTCCAGGGCTCAGGGCTGAGCTCTCAGGCAGGGGCAGGTGTGGCTGCAGGGGGAACGTGTGCTTGAGACCAGGAGGGTCCCACGGCTGGTCCCAGCGGACCCTGGGCAGGAAGGCCTCTGAGGCTGGCGCCCCAGAAGGAGCAAGATGGGCTGCCAGGAGCCAGGGCCACCAGCACAATGAAGCTGAGTGGAGGTGGTGCAGGGCAGTGTAGCAGCAGAGGGCAGCCAGAGGGGCCCATTCAGGGCCTGGGCAGAGTCAGCCAGAGCCTGTGGTGCAGGTGAGGGGAAGGGGTGGTGAGCGGGGCCCTGGGGCTGAGCAGAGGGGATGGCCTGGCTGAGGGCAGGGCGCTTAGCCTCCTCAGAGGTCAGGGGCACACCCCACCTGCAGTGGGACTCCAGGGCCACTGGGCCAGCGGCAGAGAGAAATGGGGCCTCCCTGTGGCCTGGGGGTCCTGGCACCATGCAGGGTGGGGAGGGCCAAGGGCAGGTGCAAGGCTCCTACCTGTGCTGGGGGGCCTGGGTTGAGCCCAGCAGGGACCTTGCCGGGGGAAGCTCTGGAGAGAGGGAGGAGGTGGGCTGGTGGCCGAGAAGGCCAGGCCAGGGCTGGGAGGGTGACGGTGTGGTGACTGAGCCTCCAGAAGTAATGCAGGACACTGGGAGGCAGGGGGCATCCAGGCACTCAGGGCCCTGACCTGGGCTGCTGCACACTGGGGCTAAGGGGAAAGGAGGGGAGAGGCTGAGGAGGAGGCTCCAGGAGGCTATTCCAAGGCAGGGGGTTCCGGGGCCCTGGGGCTGAAGGGCGCCGACCCTATGCAGTGTCTGGCCCCTCTGCTGCACAGAAGAAAAGGGCCTTGGAGGGCAGAGGGCAGGCTATGACCAGGGCCCTGGGCAAGTCAGGCCAACTCACTAGGGGAGGGCCACGCTGGGGCGGCAGGGTCAGGGGCTTCAGGGGGCTCGGGGGACCCACGAGAAGCCATCTGAGAACAGTGTCCACTGGTCAAGCCAGGCACCCATAAAAGGCTGGAGTGGGGCCAATGGGCATGAGCCGTCCCTGAGGTGGCACCGATGGCCAGAGCTGAGGCCAAGCTAGAGGCCCTGGACTGTGCTGACTCCCGGCAGACACAGAGCGCTGACCTGGCTGCCGAGCCCCGCCTCCTAGGCTGCAGGGGTGCCTGCAGAAGGGCACCACAGGGCCACCGGTCCTGCAAGCTTTCTGGGGCAGGCCGGGCCTGACCTTGGCTTTGGGGCAGGGGGTGGGCTAAGGTGACGCAGGTGGCGCCAGCCAGGCGCACACCCAATGCCCGTGAGCCCAGACACTGGACGCTGAACCTCGCGGACAGTTAAGAACCCAGGGGCCTCTGCGCCCTGGGCCCAGCTCTGTCCCACACCGCGGTCACATGGCACCACCTCTCTTGCAGCCTCCACCAAGGGCCCATCGGTCTTCCCCCTGGCACCCTCCTCCAAGAGCACCTCTGGGGGCACAGCAGCCCTGGGCTGCCTGGTCAAGGACTACTTCCCCGAACCGGTGACGGTGTCGTGGAACTCAGGCGCCCTGACCAGCGGCGTGCACACCTTCCCGGCTGTCCTACAGTCCTCAGGACTCTACTCCCTCAGCAGCGTGGTGACCGTGCCCTCCAGCAGCTTGGGCACCCAGACCTACATCTGCAACGTGAATCACAAGCCCAGCAACACCAAGGTGGACAAGAAAGTTGGTGAGAGGCCAGCACAGGGAGGGAGGGTGTCTGCTGGAAGCCAGGCTCAGCGCTCCTGCCTGGACGCATCCCGGCTATGCAGCCCCAGTCCAGGGCAGCAAGGCAGGCCCCGTCTGCCTCTTCACCCGGAGGCCTCTGCCCGCCCCACTCATGCTCAGGGAGAGGGTCTTCTGGCTTTTTCCCCAGGCTCTGGGCAGGCACAGGCTAGGTGCCCCTAACCCAGGCCCTGCACACAAAGGGGCAGGTGCTGGGCTCAGACCTGCCAAGAGCCATATCCGGGAGGACCCTGCCCCTGACCTAAGCCCACCCCAAAGGCCAAACTCTCCACTCCCTCAGCTCGGACACCTTCTCTCCTCCCAGATTCCAGTAACTCCCAATCTTCTCTCTGCAGAGCCCAAATCTTGTGACAAAACTCACACATGCCCACCGTGCCCAGGTAAGCCAGCCCAGGCCTCGCCCTCCAGCTCAAGGCGGGACAGGTGCCCTAGAGTAGCCTGCATCCAGGGACAGGCCCCAGCCGGGTGCTGACACGTCCACCTCCATCTCTTCCTCAGCACCTGAACTCCTGGGGGGACCGTCAGTCTTCCTCTTCCCCCCAAAACCCAAGGACACCCTCATGATCTCCCGGACCCCTGAGGTCACATGCGTGGTGGTGGACGTGAGCCACGAAGACCCTGAGGTCAAGTTCAACTGGTACGTGGACGGCGTGGAGGTGCATAATGCCAAGACAAAGCCGCGGGAGGAGCAGTACAACAGCACGTACCGTGTGGTCAGCGTCCTCACCGTCCTGCACCAGGACTGGCTGAATGGCAAGGAGTACAAGTGCAAGGTCTCCAACAAAGCCCTCCCAGCCCCCATCGAGAAAACCATCTCCAAAGCCAAAGGTGGGACCCGTGGGGTGCGAGGGCCACATGGACAGAGGCCGGCTCGGCCCACCCTCTGCCCTGAGAGTGACCGCTGTACCAACCTCTGTCCCTACAGGGCAGCCCCGAGAACCACAGGTGTACACCCTGCCCCCATCCCGGGATGAGCTGACCAAGAACCAGGTCAGCCTGACCTGCCTGGTCAAAGGCTTCTATCCCAGCGACATCGCCGTGGAGTGGGAGAGCAATGGGCAGCCGGAGAACAACTACAAGACCACGCCTCCCGTGCTGGACTCCGACGGCTCCTTCTTCCTCTACAGCAAGCTCACCGTGGACAAGAGCAGGTGGCAGCAGGGGAACGTCTTCTCATGCTCCGTGATGCATGAGGCTCTGCACAACCACTACACACAGAAGAGCCTCTCCCTGTCTCCGGGTAAATGAGTGCCACGGCCGGCAAGCCCCCGCTCCCCAGGCTCTCGGGGTCGCGCGAGGATGCTTGGCACGTACCCCGTGTACATACTTCCCAGGCACCCAGCATGGAAATAAAGCACCCAGCGCTTCCCTGGGCCCCTGCGAGACTGTGATGGTTCTTTCCACGGGTCAGGCCGAGTCTGAGGCCTGAGTGGCATGAGGGAGGCAGAGTGGGTCCCACTGTCCCCACACTGGCCCAGGCTGTGCAGGTGTGCCTGGGCCGCCTAGGGTGGGGCTCAGCCAGGGGCTGCCCTCGGCAGGGTGGGGGATTTGCCAGCGTGGCCCTCCCTCCAGCAGCAGCTGCCCTGGGCTGGGCCACGAGAAGCCCTAGGAGCCCCTGGGGACAGACACACAGCCCCTGCCTCTGTAGGAGACTGTCCTGTTCTGTGAGCGCCCTGTCCTCCGACCCGCATGCCCACTCGGGGGCATGCCTAGTCCATGTGCGTAGGGACAGGCCCTCCCTCACCCATCTACCCCCACGGCACTAACCCCTGGCAGCCCTGCCCAGCCTCGCACCCGCATGGGGACACAACCGACTCCGGGGACATGCACTCTCGGGCCCTGTGGAGAGACTGGTCCAGATGCCCACACACACACTCAGCCCAGACCCGTTCAACAAACCCCGCACTGAGGTTGGCCGGCCACACGGCCACCACACACACACGTGCACGCCTCACACACGGAGCCTCACCCGGGCGAACCGCACAGCACCCAGACCAGAGCAAGGTCCTCGCACACGTGAACACTCCTCGGACACAGGCCCCCACGAGCCCCACGCGGCACCTCAAGGCCCACGAGCCGCTCGGCAGCTTCTCCACATGCTGACCTGCTCAGACAAACCCAGCCCTCCTCTCACAAGGTGCCCCTGCAGCCGCCACACACACACAGGGGATCACACACCACGTCACGTCCCTGGCCCTGGCCCACTTCCCAGTGCCGCCCTTCCCTGCAGCTGGGGTCACATGAGGTGTGGGCTTCACCATCCTCCTGCCCTCTGGGCCTCAGGGAGGGACACGGGAGACGGGGAGCGGGTCCTGCTGAGGGCCAGGTCGCTATCTAGGGCCGGGTGTCTGGCTGAGCCCCGGGGCCAAAGCTGGTGCCCAGGGCGGGCAGCTGTGGGGAGCTGACCTCAGGACATTGTTGGCCCATCCCGGCCGGGCCCTACATCCTGGGTCCTGCCACAGAGGGAATCACCCCCAGAGGCCCAAGCCCAGGGGGACACAGCACTGACCACCCCCTTCCTGTCCAGAGCTGCAACTGGAGGAGAGCTGTGCGGAGGCGCAGGACGGGGAGCTGGACGGGCTGTGGACGACCATCACCATCTTCATCACACTCTTCCTGTTAAGCGTGTGCTACAGTGCCACCGTCACCTTCTTCAAGGTCGGCCGCACGTTGTCCCCAGCTGTCCTTGACATTGTCCCCCATGCTGTCACAAACTGTCTCTGACACTGTCCCACAGGCTGTCCCCACCTGTCCCTGACGCTGTCCCCCATGCTCTCACAAACTGTCCCTGACATTGTCCCCAATGCTGCCCCCACCTGTCCAACAGTGTCCCCCAGGCTCTCCCCACATGTCCCCGACACTGTCCCCCATGCTGTCCCCATCTGTCCCCAACACTGTCCCCCACCCTGTCCCCCTTTGTCCCCAACACTGTCCCCCACAGTTTCCACCTGTCCCTGACACTGTCCCCCATGCTTTCCCCACCTGTCCCTGACACCATCCCCCACTCTGTCCCCTATAGTTCCTGGCCCTGTCCCCCACGCTGTCCCCTACAGTACCTGGCACTGTCCCCCATGCTGTCCCCTCCTGTATGAAACCCTGTCCCACATGCTGTCCCCACCTGTCCGTGACAATATCCCCCACACTGTCCCCACCTGTCCCCGACACTCTCCTCCACGTTGTTCTTACCTAAACCCGACACTTTCCTCCATGCTGTCCCCACCCATCTCCGACACTGTACCCCACGTTGTCCCCACCTGTCCTCAACACTGTCCCCCATGCTGTCCCCACCTGTCCCCAACACTCTCCTCCATGCTGTCCCCACCTGTCCCTGATATTGTCCCCCATGCAGTCTCCACCTGTCCCCAATGCTGTCCCCCAGGCTGTACCTACCAGTACAACACTGTCCCCCATGCTGTCCCCACCTGTCCCTGACACTGTCCCCCACGCTGTCCCCTCCTGTCCCCGACACTGTCCCCCACACTGTCCCCACCTGTCCCCAACACTATCCTCCATGCTGTCCCCTCCTGTCCCCACCTGTCCCCTACACTGTCCCCCATGCTGTCCCCACCAGTCCCCAAAACTTTCCTCCACACTGTCCCCACCTGTCCCCAACACTGTCCCCCACGCTATCCCCCCTGTCCCCGACAATGTCCCCACTGTTTCCTCCTGTTCCCTCCTATCCCTGACACTGTCCGCCATGCTGTCCCCACCTGTCCCTGACACTGTCTCCCACTCTGTCCCCTATAATCCCTGACACTGTCCCCCACGCCGTCCCCTCCCGTATGCACCACTGTCCCCCAAGCTGTCCCCACCTGTCCTCAACACAGTCCCCCATGCTGTCCCCACCTGTCCCCAACACTCTCCTCCATGTCCCCACCTGTCCCTGATATTGTCCCCCATGCAGTCCCCACCTGTCCCCGATGCTGTCCCCCGGGCTGTACCTACCAGTCCAACACTGTCCCCCACACTCTCCCCACCTGTCCCTGATACTGTCCCCCATGCTGTCCCCACCTGTCCCGGACACTGTTCTCCACGCTCTCCCCTCCTGTCCCTGACACTGTCCCCCACACTGTCCCCACCTGTCCCCAACACTATCCTCCATCCTGTCCCAACCTGTCTCCTACACTGTCCCCCATGCTGTCCCCACCAGTCCCCAACACTGTCCTCCATGCTGTCCCCCATGTCCCCAACACTGTCCCCCATGCTATCTCCCCTGTCCCTGACAATGTCCCCACTGTTTCCTGTCCCCTCCTATCCCTGACACTGTCCCCCATGCTGTCCCCACCTGTCCCCCACATGGTCTCCACCGGTCCCTGACACTGTCTCCCACTCTGTCCCCTATAATCCCTGACACTGTCCCCCACACCGTCCCCTCCTGTATGCACCACTGTCCCCCATGCTGTCCCCACCTGTCCCTGATGCTGTCCTCCACACAGTCCCCACCTCTCCCTGACACTGTCCCCATCTCTCCCCAACACTCTCCTCCATGCTGTCCTTAACTGTCCCCAACACTCTTCCACACTCTGTCTCCACCTGTCCCTGACACTGTCCCCCACACTGTCCTCACCTGTGTCTGACACTGTCCCCCACGCTGTCCCCACCTGTCCCTGACGCTGTCTTCTGTGCTGTCCACATGCTGTTGGTGCCCTGGCTCTGCTCTCTATCACCAAGCCTCAGAGCAGGCAGTGGTGAGGCCATGGCACCTGGGTGGCATGAGGGGCCGGATGGGCCTCAGGGGCAGGGCTGTGGCCTGCGTGGACTGACGGGTGGGTGGGCCTTGGGGGCAGAGAGGTGGCCTCAGTGCCCTGAGGGGTGGGTGGGGCTCGGGGGCAGGGCTGTGGCCTCGCTCACCCCTGTGCTGTGCCTTGCCTACAGGTGAAGTGGATCTTCTCCTCGGTGGTGGACCTGAAGCAGACCATCATCCCCGACTACAGGAACATGATCGGACAGGGGGCCTAGGGCCACCCTCTGCGGGGTGTCCAGGGCCGCCCAGACCCCACACACCAGCCATGGGCCATGCTCAGCCACCACCCAGGCCACACCTGCCCCCGACCTCACCGCCCTCAACCCCATGACTCTCTGGCCTCGCAGTTGCCCTCTGACCCTGACACACCTGACACGCCCCCCTTCCAGACCCTGTGCATAGCAGGTCTACCCCAGACCTCCGCTGCTTGGTGCATGCAGGGCACTGGGGGCCAGGTGTCCCCTCAGCAGGACGTCCTTGCCCTCCGGACCACAAGGTGCTCACACAAAAGGAGGCAGTGACCGGTATCCCAGGCCCCCACCCAGGCAGGACCTCGCCCTGGAGCCAACCCCGTCCACGCCAGCCTCCTGAACACAGGCGTGGTTTCCAGATGGTGAGTGGGAGCGTCAGCCGCCAAGGTAGGGAAGCCACAGCACCATCAGGCCCTGTTGGGGAGGCTTCCGAGAGCTGCGAAGGCTCACTCAGACGGCCTTCCTCCCAGCCCGCAGCCAGCCAGCCTCCATTCCGGGCACTCCCGTGAACTCCTGACATGAGGAATGAGGTTGTTCTGATTTCAAGCAAAGAACGCTGCTCTCTGGCTCCTGGGAACAGTCTCAGTGCCAGCACCACCCCTTGGCTGCCTGCCCACACTGCTGGATTCTCGGGTGGAACTGGACCCGCAGGGACAGCCAGCCCCAGAGTCCGCACTGGGGAGAGAAGGGGCCAGGCCCAGGACACTGCCACCTCCCACCCACTCCAGTCCACCGAGATCACTCAGAGAAGAGCCTGGGCCATGTGGCCGCTGCAGGAGCCCCACAGTGCAAGGGTGAGGATAGCCCAAGGAAGGGCTGGGCATCTGCCCAGACAGGCCTCCCAGAGAAGGCTGGTGACCAGGTCCCAGGCGGGCAAGACTCAGCCTTGGTGGGGCCTGAGGACAGAGGAGGCCCAGGAGCATCGGGGAGAGAGGTGGAGGGACACCGGGAGAGCCAGGAGCGTGGACACAGCCAGAACTCATCACAGAGGCTGGCGTCCAGCCCCGGGTCACGTGCAGCAGGAACAAGCAGCCACTCTGGGGGCACCAGGTGGAGAGGCAAGACGACAAAGAGGGTGCCCGTGTTCTTGCGAAAGCAGGGCTGCTGGCCACGAGTGCTGGACAGAGGCCCCCACGCTCTGCTGCCCCCATCACGCCGTTCCGTGACTGTCACGCAGAATCTGCAGACAGGAAGGGAGACTCGAGCGGGAGTGCGGCCAGCGCCTGCCTCGGCCGTCAGGGAGGACTCCTGGGCTCACTCGAAGGAGGTGCCACCATTTCAGCTTTGGTAGCTTTTCTTCTTCTTTTAAATTTTCTAAAGCTCATTAATTGTCTTTGATGTTTCTTTTGTGATGACAATAAAATATCCTTTTTAAGTCTTGTACTTCGTGATGGGAGCCGCCTTCCTGTGTCCACGCGCCTCCTGCCCCCGGTGGAAAACACGGTCAGGAGGAGGCTGGTCCAGCTGCACCTCGGGGGCTCCCTGCATACGCCCCCCGCCTCCTGCAGCCACACGCATTGCCCGAGCGACCCTCCCTGGCCCCTGTCACTACATGGACCCCCGGGGCTTCTCCTCTTTTCTACATGGATGCAGTTTCTCCTCCTGCTGGGCACGGTGCTGCCTGCCCTGGTCACTCTGCGGGGGACAGGGCCTCCAGGGAAAGCTGGGTCGAGGCTGGGAGCTGGCTCAGGCTGGCCAGGCAGAGCCACAGGGAGGGCCTTCCAGAACCAACCATGGTCCGAAGCGAGAGGTGGGTGTCAGATCTGTGTGCGTCAGCTCAGGACCACAGCGGGGCAGCTCCCACGGCAGACATGGATCCTCCCAGGCCTAGAGACCAGGAATCTGAGATCAGGATGCAGGCAGGGCTGGTTTCTCTCAAGCCCTCTCTCCTTGGCTTGTAGACACCGTCTCCTCCCTGGTCCTCACATGGCCATACCTCTGTGTGCCCGTGTCCTAAGCTTCTCTTCTTAGAACACACATCGGATTAGATTAGTGACCCCCTATGAACTTAATGACCTCTGTAAAGACCCCATCTCCAAATAGTCACATTGTGAGGCCAGGGATTAAGACTTGAATATATGAATTTGTAGGGGCCACGATTTAACCCATCACAGTCCAGACTCTGGCCCCCAAAATTCATGTTCTTCTCACATGCAAAACACATTCATCCTGTCTCAGCATCCCCCTGGGCACTAGGTCATGTAGCAAGGACGGATTCTCAACAGAAATAACTATTGCAACGGAAGAAAGAGTCCGGCATGACCTGGACTCACCTTCATCTGTGCAGAGGCCACAGCCTTGTAAAGGGAGGTGGTAGGGGGAGCAGGGTGGGTGCTCGGGGCTCAGTCGTTGGGGAAGGGAAAAGTTTCCCAGCGCTGGTCAGCGTCCCCGGGATGGGACCCGCTGTGTCCGTGCCGGCCACTGTTGAGGTCAGGATTCTGTCCTCCCAGAGCCTGGAGACACAGGCCCCATCCTTCACAAAGGGGACACTTCAGGGAGTGGCTCTCAGGTCCCGAGAAAGACCCTCCTGGGTCACAGGAAATGCACAGACATCAGGAACGGATAGAAGGTCGTGTGGTTGCGGCCCTCTCAGCAGATACCCTGAGAAAGGGAGGTCGGGGTTGGTCCAAACGGTGAGTTCTGGTGCACGGAGCTTTCTCAGGCAGGTGTTGACGGGGCAGGGGTCGGCCTAGGGGTACGGCCAGAAGCTGTTAGAAACTGTTAGTGTCTGCTCAAGTCTTTACAAGCCAAGGTTGAGGCCGAGTGGAGAGGCTCCGAGGAGCCTGGCTGGAACTCAGTCAAGGACAGGGTCTTGTTACTGCAGTGGCTGCGGTGGCTGCGGTGGCTGCGAAATGCCGTCGGAGTTGCCTGTGGCAGGAGAGAGACCATCTCACCCAGGAAGGAGGAGTGGTTGGATTCGTTTGTGTGGCATCGAGCAGCTGGAGCTTCACCAAACACAGAGTTGGGGATGAAATCCCCAGAGCCCGGACCCTGCCATGCCGTGGGAAGGCTCGCTGCTGGAGGGTGGGCTCCAGGGGGCCTGGCCTGAACTGGGTGCTGAAGCCCAGCCCTTTAACTCTCAGGACACGCTGCTGCAGCCCCGCGGGGGGTGAGGGAGACAGCACCTGGGGTGCAGGGCGGGCAGCTGCTGCATCACCGGCTCTATCCCAAGCCCAAGGATGGCGTCCCAGAGATGCAGGAGAGCTTTGTCCAGAGAAGGTGCCAGCCCTCAGGGACCCTGCTGGACAGCTCTCCACCCTCTGCCCTTCAAGGGGCCCTACGGGCCTCCGGGTGCCCTGGTGGGGTGGGCTCCAGTCCACTGTCTGAGGATGGACGGCCTGGCCAGGATAAGGAAAGGAGACCCAGGACGGTGCCGGGCTCCGGGTCATTCCGTGCACTGAGCAGGCTGAGTTGGGAAGAAGCAGATGCTTCCTGCAGCTCCTGCCCCTGCAGGGCCTGGCGCCTGGACCAGGTTCCCCTGGGGAAATTGGGCCCCTCCCTGAGCCACCCGGGGCCCACCTCCCACTTTCTACCTGGGACCGAGCATCCTCCAGAGGGTCAGCCCTCCTGCGGGAACACCATGCCCAGCCCCAGGACCCTCCCTCAACTCTCCAGCAAGGCTGCCCCTGCACGCCCCCAGCAGCCCATGCTGTGATGTAGCATGACATCATGTGATGTGGTGTGATGTCCTATGACAGGGTGACATCCCTGGTGTGATGTGGTGTGATGTGGCGTGATGTCCTTTGTGTGATGTGGTGTTGGACTACATGGTTGGACATAGTGTGATGTGGTGTGACCGAGTGTGACATCCCTGGTGAGATGTGGTGTGACATGGTGTGAGGTGTTGTGACATGGTGTAATGTCCCTGGTGTGAGGTGGTATGACATGGTGTGAGGTGTTGTGACATGGTATAATGTCCCTGGTGTGAGGTGGTGTTGGACATGATGTGATGTGGTGTGACAGAGTGTGATGGGTATGACATCCCTGGTATGATGCGGTATGAGATTATGTGGTATGGTGTGACATGATGTGATGTGGCGTAACATCCTTGGGGTAATGGGGTATGATGTCGTTTGACGGGTGTGGTGGTGTGGGGTGTGATGAGGTGTGGTGTGACATGATGTGACCTGTGACGTGCTGTGTCAGGGTGCCACATCCTTGCTGTGATGTGATGCGGTGTGACACGGTGTGATGTGGCATGATGGGGTGTGACCCGGTACGACATCCCCAGTGTGATGAGTTAATGGTGTGATGTGTGACATCCCTAGTGTGACATAGTGTGATGTGGTGTGATGAAGAGGGCCTCGCCCTCCACAGCTGTGGGTATTTCTCATCAGGTGGAAACACGAGACTGAGAAAAGAAATAAGACACAGAGACAAAGTGCAGAGAAAGAACAGTGAGCCCAGGGGACCGGCACACTCAGCACGCGAGGACCTGCACCGGCACCGGTCTCTGGGTTCCCTCAGTATTTATTGATGACTATTTTCACTATCTCCATACGGGGAGTGCGGCAGGAGAACAGCGTGAACAGGGTGATGATGGGGAGAAGGTCAGCAGGAAAACATGTGAGTAAAGGAATCTGCATCATAAATAACTCCCAGGGAAGGTACCGTGCTGGGATGTACACATAGACTAGATTTATGTTTCTCTTTACCCAAACATCTCAGTGTAGTGAAGAGTAACAGAGCCGTATCACCGCTAGCATATCTTGTCTCCAGCCTTAGGGCGGTTTTCTCCTACCTCAGAATAGAATGAATGGTGGGTGTAAAGCCCAGACATTCCATTCCCAGGGACGTGCAGGAAACAGAGGCCTTCTTCTTATCTCAACCGTAAAGAGGCCTTCCTCTTTTACCAATCCTCCTCAGCACAGACCCTTTACAGGTGTCAGGCTGGGGGACAGTCAGGTCTTTCCCTTGCCATGAGGCCATATCTCAGGCTGTCTCAGTGAGGAGAAACTGGGACAATACCTAGGCTTTCTCCGGCAGAGGTCCCTTCAGCTTTCCGCAGCGTATTCTGTGCCTAGTTAACAGAGAATGGAGAATGGCGATGACTTCTACCAAGCACACTGCCTGCAAACGTATCGTGAACCAGGCACGTCCTGCGCAGCCCTAAACCCCTTAAACCTTGATTCCATGCAGCACAGGTTTCTGTGAGCACAGTGTTGGGGCTAAAGTTACAGGTTAACAGCGTCTCAAAGCAGAACAATTTTTCTTTGTACAGATCAAAATGGAGTTTCTTATGTGTTCCTTTTCTACATAGGCACAGTAACAGTCTGATCTTTCTTTTCCCCAGTGTGACATGGTGTGACGTTCCTGGTGTGATTCTTGTGTTGTGACATTTGTGGTCACCCCAGGATACAGAGGTCTCTGTGGCCAAGGGAAGGGGGAGAATGGAACCATCTGAGCATGTTGACCTGGAGGAATTGGTGGCCCTTGAGTCCACGAAGCCCACCCTTCCAGGTGCCCCTGCCCCACGTGACCCAAGTGGGCTTGCAGAGCAGCAAGCAGGACTCTGGTTAGACAGGAGGAAGGACCTGCCACCACGTGGCCTTGTGAGGAGACAGAGCGAGGCTGTGACCTCGGCGTCCGAGGCAGGCTGAAGAGACGGGCAGAGGGAGGATGCTGGGGAGGCAGGGGTGAGGGGAGTGAGAGCCCAGGTTTCAGCTGAGCCCCTCCACAGGGAAGGAGCCTAGCTGAACACCCATCTCCCCACACACTCCCAACCCTGCCTCTGCCCGACCACCTCCCAGAAGGCACCTCGACCCCTCTGCTACCCACACTCAGCAAGGGGTATGGTGTCCCCACCGAGTCCAGCCAGTGAGGCCCGGCACAGCCACGCCTGTGCCCACCACTCCCATGGCCAAGCTCGCTGCTAACATGGCAGGACAGGGCCAGGCCTGGAGGAGACAGAACATCAGTCCCATGGGGAAGCTCCCTGCTCACACGGCAGGGCCGGGCCTGGAGAAGACAGAACACCCCATCCGGCATGGTACTCAGGCTGCACATGCCTGCCACGAACGGGGGCCACGCGACAATGCTGCCACGCACGGGGGACACACGACAATGCCTGCCATGCATAGTGGCCACACAACAATGCCTGCCACGCGTGGGGGACACGCGACGATGCCTGCCATGCATGGGGACACGTGACACACACATACACACACGGGCCTCACAGGCACACGAATGTTTGCAACCCCAGCACCCACCCAGCACACTCAGGCACAGGCTCCCTGGGCGGGTCACAACCTCACACCTTGAGCTACTCCATGTGCCAGGCTCTTCACCCACGTTCCCGTCCCCGGTGCTAGCTATTGAGCCACACTGTCTTCTCTGTGGATCCCTCCCAGCCCACTCAGCACAATGGACATGCTCTCTACCATCCAGTGACTGCACCGGCCTCTTCCCCTCAGCACCCACGTCTGGCCATCTCCCAGGAAACCCGGACCACCACGGGCAGGGACCACCTTCCTCACTGTCCACATGGACCACCCCACACCTGACCTCAGATGCAGTCACACTACGTCCTGCTTCAATATTGAAAGGGGGAAAAGCTGGAGGAGGGTAAAGATGAAAGAGAAAAAAGCAAGAGGGGAGGGTCACATTCTTCTGAGGCTTTGATTACATCTCACTGAGCCCCCCACGTTGCATGAAAAGGAGGGGTGGAGGGAGCAATTACGCATTCGCCTTGTGCTCACTAAATCTACACTTTATAAGCAAATAAACAGAGTAGAGGAAGAAGTCAAATATGCATTCGTCTCAGGGGTAGGAGGGACGATTTCTTGTCTCATTTTGTCCCATGTCATGAAGACCAGCTGTTAATTTATATTCTCAGGGTGAGGGAGGCCACCTGGGTAGACCTGGCCTATCTGCTGCTGCTATCAGTTTGGAAACAAAAGGAAACGCATGACTTTTTTTTTTTTTCATGACTCAGCTTCCCACCTCAACGGTTCATTTTGGCATAGTGAGTTTGGAGTCCTGAGATTTTATTTTCCTTTCACAATGGTCAAGATCGCACCCTCAGTATTCAGGAGAGCTGGTCCAACCCAGACCCCTGCTGTCCCTGGACACTTGAAATACGTGCTGCAGTCTCTGACACTCTCTCACCATGGTAGAAACTGAGGTCTTGGCGAGTCTGCAGCCCCTGCTCATGGGGACAATGCAGGCTGAAACCCGCATTTCTGACCTCAAAGCTCCTGTTCTTTTCACTCACCCCCACACCACCTCTTTGAGTCCAGAGCTTTGTCCTTGCCTGAGTCCTACCCTCAGGGACAGGGGCCCAACCCAGACACCAACACATCATACCCTGAGAGGGTGCCAGGAGCCCAGAGATGTTTGGAGAGCACAGAAGCCCTGGAGGCTCTGTGGAGATGCTGCACATTTCTCTATTCAACAGATACTCACCAGGTGGCCAGCGGCAGAGATGCCACATGGCATGGAGCTCGCCTTGGCCAACAGGACAGGTGTGGGGTTGGGAGGCCTTCCCACGGCACTCCTTGAAGCAGAGCTGTGGGGAAAAGTTGGGGCCAACCTCAGATCTCCCCATCAACACCGGTTCTCCTGCCCTCCCGGGCCACAGAAAACTAAGCTCCCTGGATACTGCGGCTGGGTGGGGCCATGAGGGAGAAGAAATCACGAGTTAAGAGATCATTTTTTAAAAGTATTATGATCAGGACTCACATAAACATATGACGACACATTTCAGAGATGCTCTTTATCTCATTAATTAAGGTGTTGCAACCAGTTCAAAGTGGAATTCTAAGTACTACACTTACATAATTGATTCAGGAATACTAAAAGGAGTTCATAGATAGATGCAAAACTGGCCTTTTCCCTGGCAGAGGAGGAGCAATTCATTGTCCTTTCAAAGATGAGAACTTGGATTTCTACCAACTCAAAGAGTTTTTGCATTGCTATCAATTATGTACAACTTAGAGCCGTGGTCCCCAACATTTTTGGCACCAGGAACCAGTTCCATGGAAGACAATGTTTCCACAGACCAGGATCGGGGGATGGTTTGGGGACAAAGCTGTTCCACCTCAGATCATTAGGCATTAGGGTGTCATAAGGAGCATGCAACTTAGATCCCGGGAATGTGCAGCTCGCAATAGGGTTCGCTCCTATGAGAATCTAATGCTGCCACTGACCTGACGGGAGGTGGAGCTCCGGCAGGAATGCTCACACACCCCTCACCTCCTGCTCTGTGTCCCAGTTCCTAACAGGCCATGAACTGGTTCCAGTGCATGACCCAGGGGTTGGGGACCCCTGGCTTATAGAGGTGTAAAATAGTTCAAAGGAAATAAAAGATGCAGAGCTCCATAGAATAAAATAACTTGGAAGAGTCTACAAGACGATGCCTTGCTTTCCATGGAAGGCACCAAGTAATCATTTGGTCCATTTCAGTTTTTCTCAATGTTTCCTATAAACATATATAACTGACTGACACAAACAGATCCATAATATAAAGAAGACCCCTGTAAACCAATGAGAAAAAAAAATCAAATAATCTAATGAGGAATAGGCAAGAGAATTGAACAGATGTTTTACAGAAGATATCCAAATAGCCACTAAACATATGAAAACATGTTGAACCACACTAGTCAACAGGGAAATGAAAATGAAAAACCACGTGAGAGAAAGTAGTTCTGATTCCAATAATGCTGGAGCAGCTAATATCAGACCAGCCCTTTGGCAGAAGGCAATTATAAACACTGGAAATGCTGTAAGCACACACAACACCCACACACACCAATTGCAGGCACTGGGACATGACCAGAAGTAGGCAAACACTAGTAAGGATTATTCCGTGAAATATTCGTCTGAAGTCACACCCCAGTGCAGGTAATGGGTGCAGCTAGAGTTTAAGCAGGAAACTGCAGCCCTCCTGGTGAGGAGTGGGATGCAGGGCTGCATTTTCAGAGCAGCTGGAAATGAAGAGAAGATATCCGTAAAGGAGAAGGTCACCGAAGGGAAACCCCACAATCTGCAAGTAAACTCCAGTGAAACCTCTGGCCGATTCCTTAGGTGTGCATGGGTAGGGAAAACTCCAAAGGGTCCAGCAGAAAGCAACACCTGTAAGGTCAAGAGAACTGAGATTCCAGCTACTGCCAACTGCCAGGCAGGCAGACTTGGGAGTTTGAGTCAACTCAAGCTAACTGCTTGCTAACATTGAAAAAAACAATTAATGCTCTGCTAAGAAAGAATGCAAACCCCATAGCCTGTACCACATGTTATCAACAACATCAGGCACACATCCAAAATTACTATGTATGCAAAGAAACATGAAAATGTGATCCAAAGTCAAAAGAAAAAGGGATCAATGGAGATCAACTCCAAGATGACCTAGATGCAGATACAGTTATCAGACAAGGACTTTAAAGAAGTTATGTTAAATATGTTCAAAGACTTAAAGGAAAATATGGTTATCATGAGTGACTAGATGAGGTATCTCTATAAAAAACTGAAAATAGTTACAAGAAGCGAATGAAAATTCTAGAACTAAAAGTATGATTCGGAAATGAAAAACATCATTTGACCAGGCCCAGTGGCTCATACCTGTAATCCTAGCACTTTGGAAGGCCAACAAGGAAGGATCACTTGACCTCAGGAGTTGGAGACCAGCCTGGGCAACATGGTGAAACCCCATCTCTATTTTATTAAAAAAGAAAAGAAAGAGAAAAACATTACCCAAGTTTAATAACAGATTGGACAAGACATAAGAAGGAACAGAAAACTTAAAGATGCATCAATAGAGTATATCAATTCTTTTTAATCCAATCCAAAGAAGAAAGAGAAAAATACTAAAAAATGAAAAGAGATTCATCCTGCTGGAGAAGGCGAAGCATTCTAAAACATGCAAAACTGGAGTCCAGAGGGGGATGTAATACTTCCATGAGAAACGTCAACCCTAAGCTATATGCAAATGTACCTGCGTAGGCTGGTGTGGTGGGCTGATGGCATCTCCCTGGCCAAATGTATGCCCACCTGGAACCTCAGAATGTGACCTTATTTGGAAATGGGGTCTTTACAAATTAGGTTAAGGACTTGAGATGATATCATACTAAATTTTGGATGGATCCCAAGTCCAAACACTGGTGTCCTCATAAGAGGAGAGGACACAGACACACATGGAGGTAAGCCATATGATGACAAAGGAGAAGATGAGGGGTGTGTCAGGAGCCACCTGTGTTTGTCCATTTGCATTACTGTAAAGAAATACCTGAGGCTGAGTAACTTATGAAGGAAAGAGGTTCAATTGGCTCACAGTTCTGCAGGCTGTATAGGAAGTATGGCACCAGCATCTGCTTCTGGCGAGGACCTCAGGAAACTTACAGTCATAGCAGAAGGTGAAGGGAGAGCAGGTATGCCACATGGCAAGAATGGGAGCAAGAGGCTGAGGGGGGGCCCCAGACTTAAACAACTAGACTGTGTGTGAGCTGACTGGGGGAGAATTCACTCATCACCAAGGGGATGATTCTAAATCATTCATGAGGGATCTTCCCCCTTGATCTAATCACCTCCTACCAGGCCCCACTTCCAACACTGGGAATCATATTACAACATGAGATTTGGAGGGGAGAAATATATAAACCATATCCTTCCACCCCTGGTCCCCCAAATCTCATGTTGCAAAATACAATCATGCCTTCTCAACAGTCCCCCAAAGTCTTACCTCATTCCAGAATCAACCCAAATTTCCCAAGTCCCAAGTCTCATCTGAAGATGACTCCCTTCCACCTATCAGCCTATGAAATCAAAGACAAATTATTGACTCCCAAAATACAATGAGAGTGCAGACATTGGGTAAACATTCCCATTCCACAAGGGAGAAGTTGGCAAAAAGAAAGGATCTACATGCCCCATATATGTCAGAAATCCAGCAGGGCAGTCATTAAATCTTAAAGCTCCAAGGTAATCTCCTTTGACTTCATGTCCCATATCCAGGGCACATTGGTGCAGGGGGTGGGCTCCCAAGGCCTTGGAAAACTCTACCCTTGTGGCTTTGGAGGATGTTGCCCCTGTGGCTTCTCTCACATGATAGAGTTGAGTGCCTGTGGCTTTTCCAGATTCAGGGTGCAAACTGCCAGTGGATCCACCATTCTGGGGTCTGGAGGACAGTGGCCCCCTTCCCACAGCTCCACTAGGCAGTGCCCTGGTGGGGACATTATATGGGGGTTCAACCCCACATTCTCTTTGGCACTGCTCTAGTAGAGGTTCTCTGTGAGGGCTCCATGCTGGCAGGAGGCTTCTGTCTGGGCACCTAGGCTTTCTCATACATTTCTGAAATCTAGAGGGAAGATGCCAAGCTTCCTTCACTCCTGTATTCTGGGGGCCTACAGGCTTAACACCAGATGGAAGTCACCAAGGCTTATAGTGGCTTGCACTCTCCAAAGAAGCAGCCTAAGCTATACTTGGGGCCCTTTGAGCCAAGGCTGGAGCCAGAGGAACCAGGATGTGGAGAGCAGTGTCCCAAGGCTGCACAGGCAGCAGTGGCCATGGCCATGGCCCACAAAACCATCCTTTCCCTCTTGGCCTCTGGGCCTGTGATGGGAAAGACCACCTCAGAGATTTCCAAAATGCCTTCAAGGCCTTCTTCCCTTTGTTCTGGATATGAGCACTTAGCTCTCTTTTAGTTATGCTAATCTCTCTAGCAACTGGCTGCTCCATAGCCTACTTATATTTGTCTCCTGAAAATACCTTTTCTTTTCTACCATATGGCCAGGCTGTGAATTTTCCACATTTTTAATGCTCTGCTTCCCTTTGTTGATGAAAAAAGCCAAACTCCATAAAACACTTGAAAAATTGATTCTGAGCCAAATATGAGAGCCATGAACTGTGGCACAGCCTCAAAAGGTCCTGAGAACATGTGTGCAAGGTGCTTGGGTTGCGGCCTGGTTTTATGTTTTAGGGAGACATGAGACATCAATCAATACATGTAAAGTATACATTGGTTTGGTTTGGTTTGGAAAAGCAGGACAATTCAAAGTGGGGAATTCCAAATCATAGGTGGATTTGAAGATTTTCTGATTGGCGATTGGCTGAAAAAGTTAAATTATCTAAAAAGTTGAAGTCAGCGAAAAGCAATGCTTAAGATAAGGGGGTTGTGGAAGCCAAGGTTCTTGTTATGTAGACGAAGCCTCCACGTTCCAGAGAGAAGAGATGGTCAATGTCTCTTATCAGAACCTAAAAGGTGCCAGACTCTTGGATAAATCTCTCCTGAATCAGGAAGAGACCTGGAAAGGGAAAAAGATTCTCAACAGAATATACATTTCCTCCACAAGAGACGGCTTTGCAGGGCCCTTCCAAAATGTGTCAGAGAAACATATTCTGGGATAAAATACTTTAATTTCCTTCCATGCCTGCCACCTGTCATGTGATGCTATACCAGAGTCAGGTTGGGATTTGATACCTTATTGCTACAAAGAGTCTGCTTTGTCAGTCTTAAGCTCCCTGTTTTAATGTTAACACTGGTCAGCTGAGCCTAAGCTCCAACAGGGAGAGGGTATAGTGAGGGAGTCCAAACCACCCTCCCCTTCCTGTCATGGCCTGAACTGGTTTTCCAGGTTTCTTTGGAATCCCCTTGGATTAGCATTTTATTTTTTCATTTGCAACTTTTAAATATAAGTTCCAACTTTAAGTCATTTCTTTGCTCCCATATCTTACCCTAGACTGTTAGAAGCAACCAGGTCACACCTTAGAAACGTCTGCTTAGAAATGTCTTCCCCAGATGCCCTAAGTCATCACTCTTAAGGTCAAACTTCCACAGATCCCTAGGGCATGAACACAATGCAGCCAAGTTGTATCTTAGGATTTAACAAGCGTGACCTTTACTCCAGTTCCCAATAAGTTCCTCATTTCCATCTGAGATTTCATCAGCCTGGCTTTCACAGTGCATATGTCTATCAGCATTTTGGTGACAACCATTTAATAGTCTCTAAGAAATTCCAAACTTTCCCTCATCTTCCTGTCTTCTTCTGAGTCCTCCAAATTCTTCTAACCTCTCTGCCTGTTACCTAATTCCAAAGCTGCTTCCACATTTTCAGGTATCTTTATAGCAATGTTCCACTCCTCAATACCAATGTTCTGTGTTAGTTTGTGTTACTAGAAAAAAAAATACATGAGGCTAGTAATTTATAAAGAAAAGGTGTTTAGGCCAGGCACTGTGGCTCATACCTGTCATCCTAGCATTTTGGGAGGCAGAAGCAGGAGGATCACTTGAGCTCAGAAGTTTGAGACCAGCCTGGGCAACATAGTGAGAACTTGTCTTGAAAAGACAAGAAGAAGGGAAGGGCGGGGGAGAGCAGAAGAGCAGAAGGGAAACACGGCCCTGGCATCTGCTTCTGGTGAGGCCTCAGGGAGATTGCAATCATGGCAGAAGGCGAAGGGGGAGCAGGCATGTCACATGGCAAGAGGGAGCAAGAGAAAAGAAGTGGCACGTCCCAGAATTGTAAACAACGAGCTGTCACAGGGACTAACTGAGGGAGAACTCACTCATCACCTGGGAGATGGTGCTAGGCCATTCATGAGGGGTCCAGCCCCATGATCTAATCACCTCCCACCAGGCCCACCTCCAACACTGGGGCCTGAGAGAGAAGAGAACCTCCCCCAGCACTCGGTGTGCATCGGTAGTGAAGGAGCCTCACCTGAGCCCCCGCTGTTGCTCAATCGAATTCCCAAGAACAGAGAGAAAAGGGAACTTCCAGGGTGGCCCGGGCCTCCAGGGGTTCCCACTCCATTTTTAGCTGAAAGCACTGAGGCAGAGCTCCCCCCACCCAGGCTCCACTGCCCGACACAGAAATAACAACCACGGTTACTGATCATCTGGGAGCTGTCCAGGAACCCGACAGGGAGCCGGACGGGCCACACCAGCCACAGGCACCAAATGGACGACCCGGCGCTTCAGGTATCCCAGCCCACCGGGAGCCCCAATCAAGGGGCCGGCCCAGGCAGCAGTGAGGGAGAGGCTGCCTGGGTCCCTGACAGCGAGGGGACTCCTGGGCCACCCTCACAGCATCAACCAAGCTTCTTAGTTACTGCATGGACTCCAGACGTCCCTTCCCTGCATGGGGACACAGGAAAGCTAGAAACAGCCTAACGCCGACCTGGAGAAGGCAGGGGGCTGGGAATCTTGGCTGGGCCCAAGACTAAGAAGGTCAGAGGCCCCATGCTGGGCAGGGCTAGGCTGGGTGCAGACTGCCTGTCACCCCCAGGACAGGGACAGCCAACCCAGAGCCGGGAGGGAGGGTGGGGAGGCGGCAGCAGGGAGCTGTCCTGAGCTCCACTGCGCAACTGGCTGATCTTGGCAAGTCCGAGCTGGGTGGACTGAGGGGGGCTTGGCTGAGTGGACTAGACTGAGACGGGCCTAACAGACTGAGCTGAGGCGAGCTGGGTGGGCTGAGAGGGCTACCCTGTCCCTTAGAGGACAGGTGGCCAAGCTGGGCTGTCCTGAGCCAGGGCGATCGGGGCTGGCCCGGGCCAGGCGGGTTTAGCTGAGTTGAGTGAGTGGACTGGGTAGAGGGAAATGAGCTAGGCTCAGCTGAGCTAGGCTTGAGCTGGGTTATCCTAAGCCCTAAGGTGGACTGAGCTGGGCTGAGCTGGACTTATCTGGGGAGCAGGGCAAAGTCAGGCTGAGCTGAGGTGGCCTGCCCTGGGTGGTCCAGGATTGAGTTAAGCTGAATTAGGCTGACCTGGACTTGACTGGACTTGGTTGAAATAAGCTGGGCCGACACAGGAGTAGGGACAAGCTACAGTTCTCTACTTAGGATAAAATGGGTGCTCGTGGACTATCCGGGCTGAAGGAGACCAAGCTGGGGTATTACCTGCTGAGCTTACCTGACCTGGCCTGAGTTCAGCAGGGCTGCGCTGAGCTGGACAGACCTGAGCCAAGCTTAGCTGGTTGGGCTGAGTAAGCTGGGCTGAGCTAAATGGGATTGAGCTGAGGAGGGCTAGGCTGGGGGAGAGACCTGACGACGGACAGGGTTAAAAGCTGGAGTGAGCAGGCCTTAAATTATTGAACTAAATTGGGCTGGGGTGATCTGAATTTAGCTGGGATGAGCTGGGCTGGGCTGAACTGTGCCCACGTGAACTGGGCTAAACTAGGCTCGCCTGAGTGGACTCAGCTGGGTTGGTCTCAACTGGGTTCAGCTGAGCTGGGCTCGGCTAGACTACACTGGGTTCAGCTGACACTACACTGGGTTCAACCCGAGAGGGGTGAGCGCCTACCTAAGCCGGCCCAGCCCGTTCGACCTGTTCATCCGCAAGTCGCCCACGATCACCTGTCTGGTGGTGGACCTGGCACCCAGCAAGTGGACCGTGAACCTGACCTGGTCCCGGGCCAGTGGGAAGCCTGTGAACCACTCCACCAGAAAGGAGGAGAAGCAGCGCAATGGCACGTTAACCGTCACGTCCACCCTGCCGGTGGGCACCCGAGACTGGATCGAAGGGGAGACCTACCAGTGCAGGGTGACCCACCCCCACCTGCCCAGGGCCCTCGTGCGGTCCACGACCAAGACCAGCGGTGAGCCACGGGCAGGCCGGGGTCGTGGGGGGAGGGAGGGAGCGAGTGAGCGGGGCCTGGGCTGACCCCACGTCTGGCCACAGGCCCGCGTGCTGCCCCGGAAGTCTATGCGTTTGCGACGCCGGAGTGGCTGGGGAGCCGGGACAAGCGCACCCTCACCTGCCTGATCCAGAACTTCATGCCTGAGGACATCTCGGTGCAGTGGCTGCACAACGAGGTGCAGCTCCCGGACGCCCGGCACAGCACGACGCAGCCCCGCAAGACCAAGGGCTCCGGCTTCTTCATCTTCAGCCGCCTGGAGGTGACCAGGGCCGAGTGGGAGCAGAAAGATGAGTTCATCTGCCGTGCAGTCCATGAGGCAGCGAGCCCCTCACAGACCGTCCAGCGAGCGGTGTCTGTAAATCCCGGTAAATGACGTACTCCTGCCTCCCTCCCTCCCAGGGCTCCGTCCAGCTGTGCAGTGGGGAGGGCTGGCCAGACCTTCTGTCCACTGTTGCAACGACCCCAGGAAGCTACCCCCAATAAACAGTGCCTGCTCAGAGCCCAGGGTACACCCGTTCTTGGGAGCGGGCAGGGCTGTGGGCAGGTGCATCTTGGCACAGAGGAATGGGCCCCCCAGGAGGGGCAGTGGGAGGAGGTGGGCAGGGCTGAGTCCCCCCAGGAGAGGTGGTGGGAGGAGGTGGGCAGGGCTGAGGTGCCACTCATCCATCTGCCTTCGTGTCAGGGTTATTTGTCAAACAGCGTATCTGCAGGGACTCATCACAGCTACCCCGGGCCCTCTCTGCCCCCACTCTCGGTCTACCCCCTCCAAGGAGTCCAAAGACCCAGGGGAGGTCCTCAGGGAAGGGGCAAGGGAGCCCCGACAGCCCTCTCTCTTGGGGGCTTGGCTTCTACCCCCCTGGACAGGAGCCCCTGCACCCCCAGGTATAGATGGGCACACAGGCCCCTCCAGGTAGAAAAACAGCCCTAAGTGAAACCCCCACACAGACACACACGACCCGACAGCCCTCGCCCAAGTCTGTGCCACTGGCGTTCGCCTCTCTGCCCTGTCCCACCTTGCCGAGTCCTGGCCCCAGCACCGGGGCCAGTGGAGCCGAGCCCACTCACACCCCGCAGCCTCCGCCACCCCGCCCTGTGGGCACACCAGGCCCAGGTCAGCAGCCAGGCCCCCTCTCCTACTGCCCCCCACCGCCCCTTGGTCCATCCTGAATCGGCCTCCAGGGGATCGCCAGCCTCACACACCCAGTCTCGCCCACTCACGCCTCACTCAAGGCACAGCTGTGCACACACTAGGCCCCATAGCAACTCCACAGCACCCTGTACCACCACCAGGGCGCCATAGACACCCCACACGTGGTCACACGTGGCCCACACTCCGCCTCCCACCCTGCCTCCAGCGAGGCTACTGCCAAGCCCTTCCTCTGAGCCATACCTGGGCCGCTGGATCCCAGAGAGAAATGGAGAGGCCCTCACGTGGTGTCCTCCAGTCCAACCCTCCCTGTCACCCTGTCAGCAGCACCCCACAGCCAAACACAGGATGGATGCGTGGGCTCCATCCCCCACTCACCCACACCGGAACCCCAGAGCAGGCTACGTGCCCCTCACAGACCTCAAACCCACATGTGCATCTGACACCCCAGATCCAAACGCTCCCCCCGGTCATGCACACCAAGGGCACAGCACCCACCAAATCCACACGGAAACACGGGCACCGGGCACCCCATGAGCACAAAGCCCCTCCATGTCTGAAGACAGTCCCTGCACACCGTCACAGCCATACATTCAGCTTCACTCTCACGTCCCAGCCCACCTGCACCCAGCTCTGGGCCTGGAGCAGCAGAAAGAGGTGTGAGGGCCCGAGGCCGGACCTGCACCTGCTGATGACCCGGGACCAGCAGGCAGCTCACGGTGTTGGGGAAGGGAGTGGAGGGGACTCAGGGCAGGAGCCAGAGGGACCAGGCTGGTGGGCGGGGCCGGGCCGGGGTAGGGCCAGGAGGCAGCTCTGGACACCCACAGGCCTGGGCTCATAGTCCACACCAGGACAGCCCCTCAGAGCACCCATGCAGTGAGTCCCAGGTCTTGGGAGCCAGGCCGCAGAGCTCACGCATCCTTCCGAGGGCCCTGAGTGAGGCGGCCACTCCTGTGCCGAGGGGTTGGGTCCTTCTCTGGGGAGGGCGTGGGGTCTAGAGAGGCGGAGTGGAGGTAACCAGAGGTCAGGAGAGAAGCCGTAAGGAACAGAGGGAAAATGGGGCCAGAGTGGGGGCCCAGGGACGAGAGGTCAGGAGTGGTCGGCCTGGCTCTGGGCCGTTGACTGACTCGGGACCTGGGTGCCCACCCTCAGGGCTGGCTGGCGGCTCCGCGCAGTCCCAGAGGGCCCCGGATAGGGTGCTCTGCCACTCCGGACAGCAGCAGGGACTGCCGAGAGCAGCAGGGGGCTCTGTCCCCCACCCCCGCTGCCACTGTGGAGCCGGGAGGGCTGACTGGCCAGGTCCCCCAGAGCTGGACGTGTGCGTGGAGGAGGCCGAGGGCGAGGCGCCGTGGACGTGGACCGGCCTCTGCATCTTCGCCGCACTCTTCCTGCTCAGCGTGAGCTACAGCGCCGCCATCACGCTCCTCATGGTGGGCACCCACCTCCAGGGGCCCGGCCAGGGCAGGGGGTTGGGCAGAGCCAGCAGAGCGCCCTGACCCACGCCCTCCCCTCAGGTGCAGCGGTTCCTCTCAGCCACGCGGCAGGGGAGGCCCCAGACCTCCCTCGACTACACCAACGTCCTCCAGCCCCACGCCTAGGCCGCGGGCCACTCACGCTCCACCAGGCCCAGCTTTTTCTCTGCCAGCGCCTGAGCCTCCCTCGGGCTGCGCCCTGCCCTGGGTGGGAAAAGGGAAGCAGACAAGAAAAGGGGGCACAAGGTCACTACTGTGGGCTGATGGCCAGTGAACCTGAGCCCAGAGGGGGCCGGCTCAGCCGCAAGGTTAAAGGCGCCGAGAGAACCACCAGTCGCAGCCCCCACCCGAAAACCGTGTCTGTCCCTTCAACAGAGTCATCGAGGAGGGGTGGCTGCTAGCCGTTCTGAGCTCATCCCAGGCCCCTGGGTCTCCGGGTCACTCCCATTCTGACTGTACAATCACCAAAAGCCAAGGAGGGCCCAGCACCCAGCCCAGGACACAGCTGAGTCTGCGTCCAGCCCAACACCAGCCCACGGCCTCACTCCCCAGCCTCGGTCTGACCCTTCTAGCCCTGAGATCCAAGTGCCTGGCATCCCCGTCCCCCAAGCCTCACCCAGACCTTCTTTCCCTTCACCCACCCCTCCTGCCACCCATCCACAGCCCCCATCCCTTCACCCACCCCTCCTGCCATCTATCCTCAGCCCCCATCCCTTCACCCACCCCTCCTGCCATCCATCCACAGCCCCCATCCCTTCACCCACCCCTCCTGCCATCTATCCTCAGCCCCCATCCCTTCACCCACCCCTCCTGCCATCCATCCACAGCCCCCATCCCTTCACCCACCCCTCCTGCCATCTATCCTCAGCCCCCATCCCTTCACCCACCCCTCCTGCCATCCATCCACAGCCCCCATCCCTTCACCCACCCCTCCTGCCATCTATCCTCAGCCCCCATCCCTTCACCCACCCCTCCTGCCATCCATCCACAGCCCCCATCCCTTCACCCACCCCTCCTGCCATCTATCCTCAGCCCCCATCCCTTCACCCACCCCTCCTGCCATCCATCCACAGCCCCCATCCCTTCACCCACCCCTCCTGCCATCTATCCTCAGCCCCCATCCCTTCACCCACCCCTCCTGCCATCCATCCACAGCCCCCATCCCTTCACCCACCCCTCCTGCCATCTATCCTCAGCCCCCATCCCTTCACCCACCCCTCCTGCCATCCATCCACAGCCCCCATCCCTTCACCCACCCCTCCTGCCATCTATCCTCAGCCCCCATCCCTTCACCCACCCCTCCTGCCACCCATCCAAAGCCCCCATCCCTTCACCCACCCCTCCTGCCATCCACCTCAGCCCCCATCCCTTCACCCACCCCTCCTGCCATCTATCCTCAGCCCCCATCCCTTCACCCACCCCTCCTGCCATCTATCCTCAGCCCCCATCCCTTCACCCACCCCTCCTGCCATCTATCCTCAGCCCCCATCCCTTCACCCACCCCTCCTGCCATCTATCCACAGCCCCCATCCCTTCACCCACCCCTCCTGCCATCCACCTCAGCCCCCATCCCTTCACCCACCCCTCCTGCCATCTATCCTCAGCCCCCATCCCTTCACCCACCCCTCCTGCCATCTATCCTCAGCCCCCATCCCTTCACCCACCCCTCCTGCCATCTATCCTCAGCCCCCATTTCTGCAGCCTGAAGGCACAGGGAAGCCCTCTGAGGCCAGGCCACAGGACGGTTGAGGGCTTCGGGCCCCTGGAGTGGGTAGAGGGGCTCCCACAGCCAGAGAAGGGGTTTCCTGCAGGGACAGCAGCTGCCGACCTCGTCCCTATGACCTCGTCCAGTGTCTGGCTTCAGCAGTCATACTTCTTTCTCTCTGAGTTTCTTAGTAAAGATCCTTTTCACAAACCCCACGTCTCCGGAGGGCTCTGTAGGAGGTGTGTGTGGCCCTGGAGTGGCTGGTGGGAGGCAGGACCCCTGAGGACGTGCAGGAGGAGCCAGAGGGGAAGGAAGGGCAGGGGCCATTCTGGGGTCCTGAGAGCCAAAGTGCCCAAGCAGTGGTTCCCATCAATCACCCCTCAGCACCCCAGAGACTCCCCAGCTCAGCGCTGTCATACCTGGTCTGCTGGTCTCCAGCCCAGACTCATGCCTCCTTCTCAGGTAAAGTCAAAGCAACAATCAACATCGACCCCTTTGTGGGCAAAACCAGAAGAGGCCCATGCTGTGGTCAGCACAGGAGGCCCCAAGAATGCAGCTGCACAGTCACCAAGGTGGAGGCTGGTGGGGGCCCCCAGGACCACTGGCCACACACCCTGATCCAGCACCCACTGAGCACAGACAAAGCTGACTCCCCAGCCCACAGCCGCCCACCAGCCTGGACCTCCTGAAGAGCTGAGAGGTGACCCAGGAGCAGGCTGGGGCCCCAGAGCCATCGGGGCCACAGGTGGGCTTGACCCACACCAGTCCTCAGGGCAAATGTGCAGCCTCCCTGGCTGGAGAGGCCTGCTTACAAGGGTCTCCACAACATCCTAAAAATGGGAGAGAACGCATGATAGGCATGACAAAGGGCAGGGTTCCCTCATATACAAAGAGCACTCAGAGATCACTAAGAAGAAAGGTGAGCAATAGGTTCTTCATGGAAAGGAAAAACCCAGTGGCCGATAATATAAAGAAACCATTTTAACAATGAGAAAAGTGAAAGGAAGGAGGAGGGGATGAAGGGGGTGGAGGTGCTTCTTGGCCCTGACTGAGGGCACGTAAATCATTAAGACCACTTTTTAGGGCCAGTTGGCAAAATGCCCCAATGCAGGAGAGTCCTCTCACAGTGATGGCCCCACAGGGAGAGCCTCGCTCTGTGCCAGGAGAGCCACGTCACATGGAGTCTGGCACAAAGCGGAATGAAGCAAGCCTGCCTCAGTCTGACAGCGGCACCTGGGCCCTCCGCCCTGTCCTCTGCTGCGACCTCGGAGCAGCCGGGCACGGGGGAGAAGGTGAGGAGCGACGGCTCCCTACGGGGTAGAAAACCCCAAAGCGGGCAGCGCTGAGGCTGACTGGGTCCAAACAACATCAGAGGAGGGGGCGTCGCAGGACAGGGCCAAGGCCACAGCCGCTGCCCAGCTCCCCTCACACACTCCCTCATTCACAGACACACACGCGGGCACACACTCGCACATGCAAAAACACACAGGTTCACACACACAGACTCAACCTCTCATACACATTTGCACTCACACACACCAATCATGCACTCACACAGGCTGACACGCTCGGGCACGCTCATACCAACACACACACAGTCTCAGGAAGCCAGGCCCTCCATCCACCCCATCACCAGCCCAGGGTGTCGCAAACCCACATCTCCTACAACAGACCGGCCCTCCGCAGCCAAGGTGCCCCGGACCGGGAGCCCCCCCGGGGGACAGAGCTCAGTGACTTTCTCTGCCCCGCACCCTAGATCATGAGACCTCCATGGCCCCAGAGCAAGGGCAAGGAGTCAGCTCACTGCCCCACTGTGTGGCAGGCGTCCTCACGCACAGAAAATTCCATCGCCTCAAAGGCCTGAGAGGAAGACCAGATGAGCACCCACGTAGAGGAGACAGACGGGGCCCGTGGGGAGGGGCAGAGGCCCGGATTCACACCCAGGCTCGGAACAGCGCCCCTGCCTTCCACATGGCCTGGCCTCCCGGGAGCAAGAGGATGCCGTCTCAGGGCCTCTCCATCCCCCTCTTCATTCCCCTATTAACCCACCCGTGGGTACAACCATGGCCCCCAAAAGATAGAGCCACATCCTAGCCCCTGGGGCCATTGAGTGCGGCGTTATTTGTCAAAAGGGCCTTTGCAGATCCCATCAAGATAAGGATTTCGAGGTGAGGGCACCCTGGATTGTCAAGGATTTCGAGGTGAAGGAACCCTGGATTGTCAAGGATTTCGAGGTGAAGGAACCCTGGATTGTCAAGGATTTCGAGGTGAGGGCGCCCTGGATTGTCAAGGATTTCGAGGTGAAGGAACCCTGGATTGTCAAGGATTTCGAGGTGAGGGCACCCTGGATTGTCAAGGATTTCGAGGTGAAGGAACCCTGGATTGTCAAGGATTTCGAGGTGAAGGAACCCTGGATTGTCAAGGATTTCAAGGTGAGGGCACCCTGGATTGTCAAGGATTTCGAGGTGAGGGAAACCTGGATTGTCAAGGATTTCGAGGTGAGGGAACCCTGGATTGTCAAGGATTTCGAGATGAGGGAACCCTGGATTGTCAAGGATTTCGAGGTGAGGGCACCCTGGATTGTCAAGGATTTCGAGGTGAAGGAACCCTGGATTGTCAAGGATTTCGAGGTGAGGGCGCCCTGGATTGTCAAGGATTTCGAGGTGAAGGAACCCTGGATTGTCAAGGATTTCGAGGTGAGGGCACCCTGGATTGTCAAGGATTTCGAGGTGAAGGAACCCTGGATTGTCAAGGATTTCGAGGTGAAGGAACCCTGGATTGTCAAGGATTTCGAGGTGAGGGCACCCTGGATTGTCAAGGATTTCGAGGTGAGGGAAACCTGGATTGTCAAGGATTTCGAGGTGAGGGAAACCTGGATTGTCAAGGATTTCGAGATGAGGGAACCCTGGATTGTCAAGGATTTCGAGGTGAGGGCACCCTGGATTGTCAAGGATTTCGAGGTGAGGGCACCCTGGATTGTCAAGGATTTCGAGGTGAGGGAACCCTGGATTGTCAAGGATTTCGAGGTGAAGGAACCCTGGATTGTCAAGGATTTCGAGGTGAGGGCACCCTGGATTGTCAAGGATTTCGAGGTGAGGGAAACCTGGATTGTCAAGGATTTCGAGGTGAGGGAAACCTGGATTGTCAAGGATTTCGAGATGAGGGAACCCTGGATTGTCAAGGATTTCGAGGTGAGGGCACCCTGGATTGTCAAGGATTTCGAGGTGAGGGCACCCTGGATTGTCAAGGATTTCGAGGTGAGGGAACCCTGGATTGTCAAGGATTTCGAGGTGAGGGAACCCTGGATTGTCAAGGATTTCGAGGTGAGGGCACCCTGGATTGTCAAGGATTTCGAGGTGAGGGCACCCTGGATTGTCAAGGATTTCGAGGTGAGGGAACCCTGGATTGTCAAGGATTTCGAGGTGAGGGCACCCTGGATTGTCAAGGATTTCAAGGTGAGGGCGCCCTGGATTGTCAAGGATTTCAAGGTGAAGGACACCCTGGATTATCGAGGGGGCTAGGTCCAAGGACAAGTGTCCTAGCTGGAGACAGACGAGGAGACACAGGGATGGGGAGAGGCAGAGGCAGACAGGGGTGGTGCTATGGTCTGAGGGTCTGTGTCTGCCCGAAACTCCTGTGTGACAGCCGTCATCCCAGAGTGAGAGCATGCAGAGCTGGGGCCTCAGGGAGGTGGTTAGGGCCTGAGGGGGAACCCTCAAAAATGTGATTCGGTCCCTAATCTCACTAGAGACCCTAAAGAAAAGGGACCCCAGAGAGCAGCCCTGCCCTCTTTCCACCACGTGAGGACGCAGTGAAAAGATGGGGGTCTGTGAACCAGGAATCGACCCTTCCTGGAACTTGACCCTGCTGCCATCCTGACCTTGAACTTCCAGCTTCGAGAACCGTGAGAAATGAATGTTGCTGCTGAACCCACCAGTCTATGGTATTTTTGTTATTGCAGCCAGAAATGACTAAGATGCAGCAGCCACGTCCCCCTGGCGAGGGCCGGGGGCATCCCAAGGTTCATAACAAAAGCTCCAGAGCTTCCCTGAACCGCCAGGTGTGTCTTCCCAGGACCCTGGGGCAGCCCCAGGCTACCTCCCTCCTCCTCTGACCCCACCTGCCCTGATCCGGCCTCACTGTCACTCCCTGGATTTCACCCGACAGCCTCCGCCGGGGTGGCCCGGCCCCATGGCCAGGGCATCTTCCATTCACGCCCACGCTTTCCAGGACTCCGCTGCAGCAGCTCCTCTGTGAAGCGCCTCTGGCCTCCCATTGCCGGTGCCACCCGAGCCCCCAGACATAGCTGGCCTCCCCCGACTCCAGGGCCAGCATCGCTGGCGGGATCTCTCCAACGCAACGGCCAGCTCTCTGGTGACCCACAGTAGGAGTGCCACCTGGGCAGCGCTGGACAGGGTAGAGCAGGCACCTTGGCCACCCTGACCCGCAGGGCTGCAGGCTAGGAGACGGGGTGCCCCCATGCCCCCACCCTGGGCTGCAGTCTGGGGCCCCCAGCGGCCCATGGGGCAGACCGAGGGAGGCCAGGCCGGAGTGGCTCCAACCCAGCAGCGCAAGACTCACTCTCCCCAGCCTGATGCCCGCCCTGTGGCCCCAAGGCCCCCTCAACGGGAGTCCACTCACAGGCACCCTTCCCCTGCGGGTGGTCGGGGACCCTCTCTGGCCCTGTGTCTCCCCTTTGCCATCTCTGTCTCGGGGTCTCTGAGCCTCTAACTGTGTCTGTTCCTGTTTCCCTGCATCGTGGCCCCCACCCCGCCCTGTGGAGCCATGTGGAGCCATGAGGCTCCACGGCCGGTGGGGTCACAGAGCCCTGGCCACACACACCTGGCCCCACCACAGCCAGACCACAGGCCAGACATGACGTGGAGCCGCGCGGCCGTGTCTGCTGGGGCAGGAAGTGGGCGAGTGACCCTGTCTGTAGGCCAGACGTACGGGCATGCAGGCCCTCCCCTCCAGCCCCTCAGCATCCAGCCACATCTGTGGACACAGCCAGCGAGGCAGAGCAGGGCTCTGCTAAGGACAGACGGCCATCAAGGCAGGGCCTGGGCCGGGCCAGGGCTCCCTCCCCACAGCAGCCCTCTTGGCAGGCAGCCAGACGCCCGTGAGGGTGGACCTGCCATGAGGGCCTGCACGCCGGAGGCCGCCCACTCAGCACTGCGGGCCCTCCAGCAGCCTGACCAGGTGGGTCTTGGAGGTCTCCAGGCCTCCGTCTCCTCCTCTGCACATTGAGGAGTCCAGCCAGGCTGGTCCTGGCCCCTTCTGGAAGCAAAAGGTGGAGAACAGGCACCAAGACAAGAGGGAAGGACAAAAGAGGTCACCACAGGGACTCCGGAACCACAGGGCAGGGCTTCCTAACCAGGCAGGAAGGATCTGGGCACTGGGGGCTGAGCCAGGCTGGCCAGGCCTAACCAGGGATGACCCGGCCCTTCCTGGGATACAAGGTGAACAGGTTTCATGGCTGAGCTGAGGCCTAGGCTGAGCCGAGCCAGAGGGCAAAGAAGATGACGTGGAGCCAGCTGATACACGTCCATGTGGGCTGCCCTGAGCTGCCCTGGGCTGGGCTGGGCTGAGCAAGGCTAGGCTGAACTGGGCTGAGCTGAACTGGTCTGGGCTGAGCTGGGCTGAGCTAGGCTGGGCTGAGCTGGGCTGGGCTGAGCTAGTCTGGGCTGAGCTGGACTGGGCTGGGCTGAGCTGGACTGGGCTGGGCTGAGCTGGACTGGGCTGGGCTGAGCTGGGCTGAGCTAGGCTGGGCTGAGCTAGTCTGGGCTGAGCTGGACTGGGCTGGGCTGAGCTGGGCTGGGCTGGGCTTGGACGAGCTGGGCTGGGCTGGGTTGAGCTGAGCTGAGCTGAGCTGGGCTGAGCTGGGCTGGGCTGGGCTGGGCTGGGCTGAGCTGGGCTGAGCTGGGCTGGGCTAAGCTGGACTGGGCTGGGCTGAGCTGGACTGGGCTGGGCTGAGCTAGACTTGGCTGAGCTGGGCTGGGCTGGGCTGGGCTGAGCTGGGCTAAGCTGGACTGGGCTGAGCTGTGCTGGGCTGAGCTGGGCTAAGCTGGACTGGGCTGTGCTGTGCTGAGCTGGGCTGGGCTGAGCTGAGCTGGGCTGGGCTGAGCTGAGCTGGGCTGGACTGGGCTGGGATGAGCTGGACTGGGCTGGGATGAGCTGGGCTGGGCTGGGCTGAGCTGGGCTGAGCTGGGCTGGGCTGAGCTGAGCTGAGCTGGGCTGGGCTGGGATGAGCTGGGCTGGGCTGGGCTGGGCTGGGCTGGGCTGGGCTGGGTTGGGCTGAGCTAGACTGGGCTGAGCTGAGCTGGGCTGAGCTGGACTGGGCCGGGCTGAGCTGGGCCGGGCCGGATTGGGCCGGGCCGGGCCGGACTGGGCCGGGCCGAGCCGGGCCGGGCCGGGCTGAGCGGGTCTGAGCTGGGCTGAGCTGAGCTGGGCTGAGCTAGACCAGGCTCGGGTGAGCTAGGCCAGGCTGGGCTGGGCTGGGCTGGGCTGGGCTGAGCTGTGCTGGGCTGGGCTGGGCTGGGCTGAGCTGTGCTGGGCTGGGCTGGGACAAGCTGGGCTGGGCTGGGCTGGGACGAGCTGGGCTGGGCTGGGCTGGGATGAGCTGGGCTGGGCTGAGCTGAGCTAGGGTGGGCTGAGCTGAGCTGGGTTGAGCTAGACCAGGCTGGGGTGAGCTAGGCTGGGCTGGGCTGGGCCGGGTTGGGCTGGGCCGGGCTGGGCCGGGATGGGATGGGCTGGGCTGGGCTGGGCTGGGCTGGGCTGGGACGGGCTGGGCTGGGCTGGGCTGGGACGAGCTGGGCTGGCCTGGGTTGAGCTGAGCTGAGCTGAGCTGAGCTGGGCTGGCCTGAGCTGGGCTGGGCTAGGCTGGGCTGGGCTGGGCTGGGCTTGGACGAGCTGGGCTGCCCTGGGTTGAGCTGAGCTGAGCTGAGCTGGGCTGGGGTGAGCTGGGCTGGGCTGGGTTGGGCTGAGCTAGACTGGGCTGGGCTGGGCTGGGCTGAGCTGGGCTAAGCTGGACTGGGCTGGGCTGGGTTGGGCTGAACTGGGCTGGGCTGAGTTGGGCTGAGCTGGGCTGAGCTGAGTTGGGCTGAGCTGGGCTGAGCTGAGTTGGGCTGGGCTGAGCTGGGCTAAGCTGGACCTGGCTGGGGTGAGCTAGGCTGGGCTGCGCTGAGCTGGGCTGGGCTGGGCTGGGCTGAGCTGGGCTGGGCTGAGCTGAGCTGGGCTGACCTGGGCTGGGCTGACCTGGGCTGGGCTAAGCTGGACTGATCTGGGCTAGGCTGGGCTGGGCTGACCTAAGCTGAGCCAGACTGGGCTGAGCTGGGTGAGCTTAGGTGGATTGAGCTGGACTGGGCTGAGCTGAGCTGGGCTGAGCTGGACTGGGCTAGGCTGAGCTGAGCTTGGTTGGGTTGACCTGGGCTGAGCTGAGCTGAATTGGGTTGACCTGGGCTGAGCTGGGTTCGGCTGGGCTAGGCTGACCTGGGCTGGGCTGAGCTGAGCTAGGCTTGGATGAGCTGAGCTGGGCTGGGTTGGACTGCGCTGGGCTGGGTTGGACTGGTCTGGGCTGACCTGAGCTGTACTGAGCTGGTCTGACCTGTGCTGAGCTGGGCTGGGCTAGGCTGAGCTGGGCTGACCTGTGTTGGGCTGGGCTGGGCTAAGCTGGGCTAGGCTGGGCTGAGCTGGACGGAGCTGACCTGGGTGAGCTTAAGTGGACTGAGCTGAGCTGGACTGACCTGGGCTAAGCTAAGCTGGGCTGACCTGTGCTGGGCTGGGCTGGACTAGGCTGGGCTGAGCTGGACTGAGCTGAGCTAGACTGAGCTGAGCTGGGTGAGCTTAGGTGGACTGAGCTGGGCTGGGCTGAGCTGAGCTGGACTGGGCTGGGCCGAACTGAGCTAGACTGGGCTGAGCTGGGCTGAGCTGGGGTGGGCTGAGCTAGGCTGAGCTGGGGTGGGCTGAGCTGGGCTGAGCTAGGCTGAGCTGAGCTGGGTTTGGTTGACATGGACTGAGCTGTGTTGAGCTGGGCTAGGCTAAGCTAGGCTGGGCGGAGCTGAGCTGGGTTGGGCTGAGCTGAACTGGGCTGGACTGGGCTGGACTGGGCTGGGCTGGGCTGGGCTGGGCTGAGCTGAGCTGAGCTGTACTGAGCTGGCCTGGGCCAGGCTGAGCTGGGCTGGGCTGAGCTGTACTAAGCTGGCCTGGGCTGGGCTGAGCTGTACTGAGCTGGCCTGGGCTGGGTTGACCTGGGCTGAGCTGGACTAAGCTGGGCTGACCTGGGCTGGGATGGGATGGGCTAGGATGACTTGGGCTGGACTGGGCGGGACTGAGCTGGACTGGCCTGGGCTGAGCTGGGCTGGGCTGGACTGAGCTGGACTGGCCTGGGCTGGGCTGGGCGGGATGGGCTGAGGTGGCTGCTAATGTGGGAAAGAGGCCGTGGGTTGAGTGTGATTCCACCTGCAGAGCCCTGAGCCCAGCTGTGTTCTTAGGGGTTCTGAGGGCCACGCAGCTCTGTTGCACCATGATTCTGTCTTCTCTCTTGCCCACTGCCTGAAGGAAATTTGGAGTGGGCTGGGCCCAGAGCTCCCCTGTATAGCAGGCCCTGTCCTGGAGGGCCTGGCAGGGACATGGCTTAGCCTGTTGGCCTCTAGTCCCGAGACCTCATAGGCCACAGGGGTCCACTGTGGCTTGTTTGGGCCTGGGGTGGGGCTCATGGAGTGGTGGGTGTTGGACTGAGACTCTGACCAGGGACAGGGGGATGGGGTCACAGCCAAGCCACTCCACCCCTACCCCATGCACACAGCACTCAGAGCCCAGACCCTCTCCTAAGAGCCCCCACCAAAATCCTCTCTAGGGGCAGGGGATAGAGCAAGACATGTCCCCCACCCAGAGCAGGGGCTGCGGTCAGGGAGCTCAGGGGACTCAGCCACTCCATGGCAGAGCCCTGTTTAATACAACTTGTGTCTGGGATGGCCTGAATCAGAGACCCTATCTAAGGAGCATGTTCAGAAACCATGTTGCTGGGATCAGACAGCAGGGTCCAACTGCAGGCCTGTGGTGCAGGAGCTGTGTGACCATGGGGCTGTCACCAGGCCTCTCTGTGCTGGGTTCCTCCAGTATAGAGGAGAGGCAGTATAGAGGAGAGGGCCGCGTCCTCACAGTGCATTCTGTGTTCCAGCATCCCCGACCAGCCCCAAGGTCTTCCCGCTGAGCCTCTGCAGCACCCAGCCAGATGGGAACGTGGTCATCGCCTGCCTGGTCCAGGGCTTCTTCCCCCAGGAGCCACTCAGTGTGACCTGGAGCGAAAGCGGACAGGGCGTGACCGCCAGAAACTTCCCACCCAGCCAGGATGCCTCCGGGGACCTGTACACCACGAGCAGCCAGCTGACCCTGCCGGCCACACAGTGCCTAGCCGGCAAGTCCGTGACATGCCACGTGAAGCACTACACGAATCCCAGCCAGGATGTGACTGTGCCCTGCCCAGGTCAGAGGGCAGGCTGGGGAGTGGGGCGGGGCCACCCCGTCGTGCCCTGACACTGCGCCTGCACCCGTGTTCCCCACAGGGAGCCGCCCCTTCACTCACACCAGAGTGGACCGCGGGCCGAGCCCCAGGAGGTGGTGGTGGACAGGCCAGGAGGGGCGAGGCGGGGGCATGGGGAAGTATGTGCTGACCAGCTCAGGCCATCTCTCCACTCCAGTTCCCTCAACTCCACCTACCCCATCTCCCTCAACTCCACCTACCCCATCTCCCTCATGCTGCCACCCCCGACTGTCACTGCACCGACCGGCCCTCGAGGACCTGCTCTTAGGTTCAGAAGCGAACCTCACGTGCACACTGACCGGCCTGAGAGATGCCTCAGGTGTCACCTTCACCTGGACGCCCTCAAGTGGGAAGAGCGCTGTTCAAGGACCACCTGAGCGTGACCTCTGTGGCTGCTACAGCGTGTCCAGTGTCCTGCCGGGCTGTGCCGAGCCATGGAACCATGGGAAGACCTTCACTTGCACTGCTGCCTACCCCGAGTCCAAGACCCCGCTAACCGCCACCCTCTCAAAATCCGGTGGGTCCAGACCCTGCTCGGGGCCCTGCTCAGTGCTCTGGTTTGCAAAGCATATTCCTGGCCTGCCTCCTCCCTCCCAATCCTGGGCTCCAGTGCTCATGCCAAGTACAGAGGGAAACTGAGGCAGGCTGAGGGGCCAGGACACAGCCCAGGGTGCCCACCAGAGCAGAGGGGCTCTCTCATCCCCTGCCCAGCCCCCTGACCTGGCTCTCTACCCTCCAGGAAACACATTCCGGCCCGAGGTCCACCTGCTGCCGCCGCCGTCGGAGGAGCTGGCCCTGAACGAGCTGGTGACGCTGACGTGCCTGGCACGCGGCTTCAGCCCCAAGGATGTGCTGGTTCGCTGGCTGCAGGGGTCACAGGAGCTGCCCCGCGAGAAGTACCTGACTTGGGCATCCCGGCAGGAGCCCAGCCAGGGCACCACCACCTTCGCTGTGACCAGCATACTGCGCGTGGCAGCCGAGGACTGGAAGAAGGGGGACACCTTCTCCTGCATGGTGGGCCACGAGGCCCTGCCGCTGGCCTTCACACAGAAGACCATCGACCGCTTGGCGGGTAAACCCACCCATGTCAATGTGTCTGTTGTCATGGCGGAGGTGGACGGCACCTGCTACTGAGCCGCCCGCCTGTCCCCACCCCTGAATAAACTCCATGCTCCCCCAAGCAGCCCCACGCTTCCATCCGGCGCCTGTCTGTCCATCCTCAGGGTCTCAGCACTTGGGAAAGGGCCAGGGCATGGACAGGGAAGAATACCCCCTGCCCTCAGCCTCGGGGGGCCCCTGGCACCCCCCTGAGCCTTTCCACCCTGGTGTGAGTGTGAGTTGTGAGTGTGAGAGTGTGTGGTGCAGGAGGCCTCGCTGGTGTGAGATCTTAGGTCTGCCAAGGCAGGCACAGCCCAGGATGGGTTCTGAGAGATGCACATGCCCCGGACAGTTCTGAGTGAGCAGTGGCATGGCCGTTTGTCCCTGAGAGAGCCGCCTCTGGCTGTAGCTGGGAGGGAATAGGGAGGGTAAAAGGAGCAGGCTAGCCAAGAAAGGCGCAGGTAGTGGCAGGAGCGGCGAGGGAGTGAGGGGCTGGACTCCAGGGCCCCACTGGGAGGACAAGCTCCAGGAGGGCCCCACCACCCTAGTGGGTGGGCCTCAGGACGTCCCACTGACGCATGCAGGAAGGGGCACCTCCCCTTAACCACACTGCTCTGTACGGGGCACGTGGGCACAGGTGCACACTCACACTCACATATACGCCTGAGCCCTGCAGGAGCGGAACGTTCACAGCCCAGACCCAGTTCCAGAAAAGCCAGGGGAGTCCCCTCCCAAGCCCCCAAGCTCAGCCTGCTCCCCTAGGCCCCTCTGGCTTCCCTGTGTTTCCACTGTGCACAGATCAGGCACCAACTCCACAGACCCCTCCCAGGCAGCCCCTGCTCCCTGCCTGGCCAAGTCTCCCATCCCTTCCTAAGCCCAACTAGGACCCAAAGCATAGACAGGGAGGGGCCACGTGGGGTGGCATCAGAAGCAGGCCAGTGAGACAGGGCCTGCCCAGGGCCCTCTGCATGCCTCTGGCTTCTGCCTGGGGCTCCCAGGAGTGTAAGAACAGTCCCACAACCACTGTGGGGACACCTGGCACCCAGACTCCCACAAGGGGGCAGTGGGGCCCCTGCTCGTGCCTTAGACATCTTCCGGGCCTCCCCAGGGCCCCCCGCCTTCTGGCTGCCTCCCTCTGCTCTCAGGGCCAAGGTGAGGTGGAGGCCACTGTCACCCCTGAGGGTCCAGTCACCAGAGGGTAATTGAGAGCAACAGGTCACTCGGGGAAGCCCTGCCACAGAGAAGCCCTCCAGCCCATGGGACCCAGGACCTGGCCCAGGGGAGGGGCTTTTAAAGAGAGGGGGAAAGAGGGAGAATCAACAGATGAGGGGCTGAACCAGCAGACAGAGATCAGGCAGACACATGGGTAGATCCTAGGACATATAATGAATGGATGGGTGGATGGAGGATTGGTAGACGGAGGATGGATGGGTGGGTAAATGGCTGGATGGAGGATGGACAGATGGATATATGATGGATGGATGAAGGACGGGTGGATGGAGGATGGATGAGTGGATGAATGAAGGATGGAAGATGGATGGATGGATGGGTGGATGGACTGATGGATGATGGATGGATGGATGGATGGATGATGGATGGATGGGTAGGCGGATGGAGGATGGAAGGGTGGATGGAGGATGGAAGATAGATGGAGGGGTGAATGGAGGATGGGTGGACTGACGGAGGATTGAGGATACTGGGGTGGGTGGGTGGGTAGATCTATGGAGGATAGGTGTATGGAAGATAATTGGATGGAGAATTGCTTTATGAATGGATGAATGAAGAGATGGAAAATAGCTTTATAGATGGATGGGTGAATGGATGGATGGATAGATGGAAGAAGGATGAATGGATGGAAAATAGCTTTATAGATATATGGGTGGATATTTAAGTGATAGCCTTACATTAATAGATGAATGGAGGATGAATGGTTGGGTGAGTGGGTAGGAGTGTTACTGATGGAGGGGTGGATATACGGATAATAGCTTTATAGATGGATGGATGGATAGATGGATGGAAGGATAGAAAGACAGGTGAATGACTGGATGTATCAGCATATGACAAGCAGGTACAGCTGTACATGGGAGGTCTATGCCCTGAGACCCTGAGGAAAATGAGGATGCCCGTGCTGGTGGCCCTCACCTGGCCCTCGCTTGTAACCCCTCAGCCACATTCCCTGGGAAGGCAACAGAGGCCTCTGGTCTTGCCCATTCAACCTTTGGCACACTGAGTGTCAGACCCAGGTCTCTGTCTTGGACCCAGATCTCCTTGAGGGTGGGTGTGTCTGGTCCTCTCTGGCCCCGGGACCCAGTCACTGAATACGTGGCTGGGACTGAGACGGGGTGGGGTGGGAGGGGCGGGAGGGTACCTCGGGCTCAAGCTTCCCTTGGAGAAGCAGATGGTGTCCACTTTCTGCCCTGCCAAGTCTCTCCCTGAAGTGCCCTAAGAATGTCAAAGACAGAAGGTCCCAGCCCCTCACCTGGGACTCTGCCTCCTCATCCTCCCTGGGGGAGTCTCAGGCCTTAGATGGGGACCCAGACCCCACTGTCCCCAGACCCCAAGGAAGCATAGCCGCTGTTCACACGAGTCTGGGCCTGGCAGGCTCTTGCTGTGTTGCAGATTGGCAGATGCCGCCTCCCTATGTGGTGCTGGACTTGCCGCAGGAGACCCTGGAGGAGGAGACCCCCGGCGCCAACCTGTGGCCCACCACCATCACCTTCCTCACCCTCTTCCTGCTGAGCCTGTTCTATAGCACAGCACTGACCGTGACCAGCGTCCGGGGCCCATCTGGCAACAGGGAGGGCCCCCAGTACTGAGCAGGAGCCGGCAAGGCACAGGTGGGAGCCCAGGAGGGGGATGAGCCCACAGTAGATGAGGTGGGCTGCAGTGCTTGGCTAAGAGGAGAGCACCACCTGCTCCCACTGTGGGGGGACGTGCTCTCCTGGGGGGCCCTTCACAGACACTGAGGACACGCGCAGGCCCAGGGTCAGGGCTGAGCTTCCCTCCAGTGCAGTAACGAGGATTCCGTCCAGGCTCCCATGAGCCAGGCCAGGGCTGAGACAGAGGGCGTTGGCAAGGATGCTGCTCCTTCAGGCTGTGACCCCTCTGTCTTTGCAGGGAGGAAGTGTGGAGGAACCTCTTGGAGAAGCCAGCTATGCTTGCCAGAACTCAGCCCTTTCAGACATCACCGACCCGCCCTTACTCACATGCCTTCCAGGTGCAATAAAGTGGCCCCAAGGAAAATGTTCACAGACTCTGAATGAGGAGACGGGGGTCAGGGAAAGGGTGGTGGCTTTAGACTGGAGAACGCCTGCTTCAAAGTCCCCCTGGGTGTCATGGTGGTCATGGTGGGCATGGACAGAGGGTACCCCTGGTCCCAAAATCAAGAAATGACCTGATCTTGAATGAGGCTGAGGCCCAAGGATGAATGCTGGATTCACCAGAGACCATGGCAAAGAAGCCTGCTCCTAAGAACTACATGGGATCCCTGTTCCTCATAACCTAGACAGCCCTGGTCCTCCTCACTGGGTCCTCATCCTGATCACAGGGCCCTGGTCCTGACCAGTGGGCCCGTTTACCGATCACTGAGCTCTGGTCCTACTACTTGGTCCCTGTTCCTGATCACTTAATTCTAGCCTTGATCACTGAGCCTTAGTCCTGATCACTGAGTCCTACTCCTGTTTTTGGCCCTGGACCTCATCACTCAGCCCTGGTCCTCATCACTCAGCCCCGGTCCTGGTCACTCAGCCCTGGTCCTCGTCACTGAGCCCTGGACCTCCTCACTCAGCCCTGGACCTCCTCACTCAGCCCTGGACCTCCTCACTCAGCCCTGGTCCTCATCACTCAGCCCTGGACCTCATCACTCAGCCCTGGTCCTCATCACTCAGCCCTGGACCTCCTCACTCAGCCCTGGACCTCATCACTCAGCCCTGGTCCTGGTCACTCAGCCCTGGACCTCGTCACTCAGCCCTGGACCTCGTCACTCAGCCCTGGACCTCGTCACTCAGCCCTGGTCCTCATCACTCAGCCCTGGACCTCATCACTCAGCCCTGGACCTCCTCACTCAGCCCTGGACCTCATCACTCAGCCCTGGACCTCCTCACTTAGCCCTGGACCTCGTCACTCAGCCCTGGTCCTGGTCACTCAGCCCTGGTCCTCATCACTCAGCCCTGGACCTCATCACTCAGCCCTGGTCCTCATCACTCAGCCCTGGTCCTGATCACCCAGCCCTGGTCCTGATCACTCAGTCCTGGTCCAGATCACACAGCCCTGGTCCTGATCACTCCATCCTAGTCCTCATCACTCAGCCCTGGTCCTGATCACCCAGCCCTGGTCCTGATCACTCAGTCCTGGTCCAGATCACTCAGCCCTGGTCCTGATCACTCAGCTCTGGTCCTGATTATTAGATCCTGATGCTAGTCACTGGGCACTGGGCACTGGGCCCTGATCCTAATCACTGAACCCTGCTCCTGATCAATGAACCCTGGCCCTGATCAAAGGGCTTTGCTCCTGATCACTGGGCCCTGGTCATGCTGTGTTCTGGTCCTTACCCCTGAACTCTGGTCCTGATTACTGAGTCTTGGTCCTGATCCCTGAGTCCTAGACTTGATCACTCAATTCCAGTCCTCATCAGTGGGCCCTGGTCGTGATCACTGAGCCCTGATCTGGATCACTAGGCTCTGGTCCTAACTCAGTCCTGGTCTGGATCGCTGAGTCTTGATCCTGATCACTGGGCCATGTTCTGGATCAATGAGCCCTGGCCCTGATCACTGGGCCCTGGTCCTGCTAACTATGCTCTGGTCCTGACCACTGAGCCCTTGTCCCAGTCAACAGTCAATAACTGAGCTCTGGTCCTAGTCAATAGTCAATCACTGAGCCCTGGTCCTGATCACTGGGTCCTGGTCCTGATCACTGGGTCCTGTTCTTATCCCTGAATCTTGGTCCTGATCACTGAGCCCTGGCCCTCATCACTGGGTCTTGTTCCTAATCACTGGGCTCTGGTTCTGACCAATGGCCCCTGGTTCTGGTCCCTGACTCCTGGTCCTGATCAATGGGCTCTGCTCTTGACTTCTGAGTCCTGGTGCTGATCATCCAGTCCTGGTCCTGATCACTGGGCCCTGATTCTAATCACTCAGACCTCCTTTTGATCACTGAACCCTAGTATTTATCACTGAGCCCTGATCCTGATCGTTGGGCCCTATTTCTGGTAACTGAGCTCTGATCCTGACCACTGACCTCTGTTCCTAATCACTGAGCCCTGGACCAGATCACTGGCCCCTGGTCCTGATCACTGGCCCCTGGACCTGATCACTGACCCTTGTTCCCGATTGCTGAGCCCTGGACCTGATCACTGAGCCCTGTTCCTGATCACTAACCCCTATTCCTGATCACTGAGCCCTGGTCCTGATTACTGAGCCCTGGACCCAGTCAATGACCCCTGTTCCTGATCACTGAGCCCTGGACCAAATCACTGAGCCCTGGACCAGATCACTGGGCCCTGGTCTTGATCACTGGGCCCTGGTCCTGATTACTGAGCCCTGATCCTGATCACTGGGCCCTGTTCCTGACCACTGAGCCCTGGACCAGACCGCGGATCCCTGTTCCTGATCACTGATCTCTGGTTCTTTAATTATGCATATTCATTTTGAAATCTGATTCCTTTTCTGAGCATGTATCAGTCTGACTAGACACTGAGTCCTGTCTGATTTCTGAGCCTTGGCCCTCATGAGTAAGTGACCTGCAGTGGTGGAGGGAGGCCTCCAGGGGAGCCGAGACCCTCTCAGTGCATGTACTCACTGGTAGATGAAGAAATGACCCCAATGACTTGCTCCATTTTTCCAGGCTCAGAGGGGTGTGTAGGCCCCAGGAGGACTTGGTGGCGAGAAGACCAGCCCAGGCCCTGTGAGCTACACCCAGCCCCAGCCCCTAAGGGGTCGCCAGGTCTCGACTTAGCACTGGGGAGGGGGTACAGTACAGGAGTGGGGACAGGAAGGTGAGGGGAGGCCATGCCGTTTGTATTCTCTTGCTTTTCTCTCTCTCCTGAAGCCTCTTGAATAGACCTGCAGAAATACCCAAAATAGCCCTGTGGGGTGGCTGAGTCATTGTGAACACAGCCCAGGTCAGGTGTTCCAGCCAGAGAACTGCTGTTCTGAGAAACATGCCCCAAAACCGAGACCTGGCCAGGTGTGCCTGGGGCCTGAGCGAGGGGCTGCAGCCACAGGTAGGCCCAGCCCCAACCAGCCCAGGGTCAGCTAGGGCTTTCCAGGTCCAGGGTTAGGCAGAGGTCAGCCAGGGTCAACCATGGTCTATCTGAGGGGAGAGACAAGAGACACAGAGACATAGAGAGAGAGAGAGACAGGGATGGGGAGAGACAAGAGAGACAGGAAAGGAGAGACAAAGACAGACACAGAGAGAGAGATGGGGATGGAGAGAGATAAGAGACAGGGACAGGGAGGGACAGAGGCGAGGCCAGTGACAGAGACAGAGTTACAAGAGACAGAAAGAGAGAGAGATGAGATGAGAGAGATAAGAAGAAACGGAGACAGAGATGGGAGAAAAAGAGAGGAGATGGGAACAGGGAAAAAGAGACATGGAGACAGACATGCAGAGAGAACACAACAGAGGCAGAGAACACACAGGGAGAGAAAGAGGCAGCAAGATGGGCCCAGGAACTCAGCTGCAAGCCCCTCTCACACAGTCACTCTCACAAACACACACCACGACTATTATACAACATTCACACACAAACACACAGAAACATACCCACGCTCACAGCCACACACTAAGTCACTGTCACATCCATACCCACACTCACACCCAAACACACATGGCCCAGGAGCAAATGGGGAGACCTCAGCCTGCAGCTGGGAGCGGCCGAGCGGGCGCTGGGCCAGAGTCGGGGCCTGTCTGTGGGTGGGGGGCACGGCAGCACGGGCCCACCTGCACCTACAAGGCCTGGCCCCCGAGGTCACTGGGCCACCACCCAGCCCTCGCCCTGTTCCCCGTCTGTGCTGGCCGGGGCAGGACTCTGAGCCTCCAGGAAACCTGCAGATCCACACAGGACCCGGAACATCGGGCTGGGGTGGGTAACAACATGGGAGAGGCGGGAGCAGGAGGTCCCAGGACCCTGCGCACTGCGACCCCAGCCCTGGGGGCTGAAGCCCAGGACAGCCTCAGGTCTCCCAGGAGGGACTGGACAGTGGGGGATGGTCAGAGAACAGGAGAGCCAGCAGGGTGCAGCCCGAGGACAGGGATGGACGCTGGGAGGTCAACAGGACAGGGGCAGGGGCCGTGGAGTGGGCGAAGGTCCTGGAGGGCCTAGAGAACCTGTGGGTCCGTGTTTGTGGGAAGGAGGCCAGGAGCAGCCCAGAGTGGCCAGGCTGGCAGGGGTGAGGAGGTGGGGGCAGTGAGGTGAGGGTGACCGAGCCAGTGAGGCCTCTGGCCAGGGAGGGGACCTTGGCTGGGCTCTGACTGAACCCAGGGCTCCTGGAGAAGGGGCCCCAGGCGGGGATGAGGATGTGGGCATCTGACTCCATCAACAATGGGGCTTCCAACACGCACAGCCTGGGCCTCGGAGACCTGGGCCCTGACCCGCCTCCCCCTGGCACTGGGCCGGGTGCCGTGTGTGGTCCCCAGTCCCCGCAGCACCTCCCCCACACTGGTCACGTTCCAGGGCCCCTCTGAAGCACCTGCTGTGAGGGGATGTGGGGAGGGGACAGGGACTTGGGCCTGAGCTGCCGGGTCGGGGGGGAGTCGGGGACCCAGGCTCAGCGTGTGGCTGGGGACCAGACAGATGGGGATGGAGGAGGACACGCCCTGTACCCACTGCCTGCCAAGGGGCTGGACCCACGCCCAGTCTAGGCCATGTCCCCCGAGGCCTGTGAACCTTCACTCTGAGCCACTAAAACATTCAGGAGCTTTGAAAGCAGCCCCCGTCCTTGTCACTATGCGATGACTCTGAGCATCACGCTGTCCCTGCTGGATCCACCCTCCAGCCCCAGCGAGGGAGGCTGGGCCCCGGGCAGCAGGTGGTGAGGGCAGCGGGCACAGCCACCCTACAGCACACACAGGGTCTCAGGGACGCGTCCACCACAGCCCGTGCACAGGCTCCTCACGGCACTGAGTTCACCCGGGGCGCGGGCCGTTTGTCCTCAGGAGTCCCGCTGTACCCTCCGCCCCCAGCCCTGTCCTGCTGAGGCTGCAGCTGGGTCCCGGGGCACAGGGCGGCCCTGAGCACTTTGTCATCTTGGTCCCTGTCGGGTGGGCTGCTGGCTGTCTGTGGAGCTGGCAGAGCCGCGGTTCAGCCTTGGAGGCCGGTCCTGGGGCCCAGCAGCCGTGGGGAGCACTGCCCAGTCCCGTGCCCACAGGGAATCACCTGGGCTGAGGAAGGGCCCACACGCCGACGGGATCGGGGTCAGGCAGCGCACGCCTGGCACCGAGATCCCACGTCCCGAAGTGGGGACACGGCCCAGGGGCACTGTTCCGGGAGGGTCTCAAGATGGGGTCTCCTATTTCAATCTTCACTCCTTCTGCACCTGTTAGCTGGGAACCTTCTAGAAGGAGGGGTGTCCTCAATCATGGGGTGGTTGTGAGCTGAGCACAGATCATGCAGGAAGGTACATGGCTTCTCCTTCACCAGGAAAACAGTGCAGAGAGACAGAGACACAGAGACAGAGACAGAGTAACAGAGAAAGAGAGACAGAGAGAGACACAGAGACAGAGACAGAGTAACAGAGATAGACAGAGAGACACAGAGACAGAGACAGAGTAACAGAGATAGAGAGACAGAGAGAGACACAGAGACAGAGTAACAGAGAAAGACAGAGAGACAGAGACAGAGACAGAGTAACAGAGAGACAGAAAGAGACAGAGACAGAGTAACAGAGATAGAGAGACAGAGAGAGAGATAGAGACAGAGGCAGGCACAGAGATAAGAAAGATACACAGAAACAGAGAGAGACAGAGATAGATAGTCACTGTCACATTCATACCCACGCTCACCTGCTCACACACTCACACACTCACCTCACACTCACACACACTCTCACACTCACAGTCACTTACACTCACACACAGTCACACACACACAGTCACACACACACTCACAAACACACTCACACACTCACACACACTCTCACACACACACTGAGCTTCCCTCAGGCCCTGTCACTTCCGATGGGGCCTACGGCCTGTCTAAGCCTCTGGGCCACCAGCCCCTGGCTCACCGGTGTGTGCCCACCACACCCCGCCTTGGGGGTCCCCTCTATGAGCTGGGCACATGCCCTCCGCTCTGTTCATGGCTGGCCTGGGGGAAACAGGGCCCACCCAAGGCCTGGCTCAGGGAAGGCCTCAAACACACATGGCCCAGGAGCAAAGGGGCAGAGCTCAGCCTGCAGCTGGGAGCGGGCAGGGGTAGTGGAGTGGGCAGAGGGCCTGGAGAACCTGCAGGGCTCCGATGTCTCTGGGAAGGGGGCCCAGGAGCAGCTCAGCGTGGCTGGGCCGGCAGGGGCGAGGAGGTGGGGGCCGTGAGGGAGGGGTGACTCGGCTGTGTGGGGTGCCGGGGGACACGGGCTTTGCTCCGGCTGAGCCCAGGCAGTGGCGAATCCCTGAGCTGCCAGGAGGAGAGCAGGGCCGGGGTCAGGCAGAGGTGGGCCGCGGGGCCGAGGGCTGCGGCCGGTCGGGAGCAGTCGGTCGGTTGAGGGCACCATTACATGGAGGGCTGTGAGACGGGAGACCCCATTCCCTTCATTCCTTGTGCACGTGTTAGTGAGGAAACTTCTAGAAGGAGGGCATTGCTCGTAGTGGGTGAGTGTGAGCACAGATCATGCAGGCTGGCGTGCTGCCGTGAAGTGCCTCTCTTTACTTTCCAGACCTCAGCATGGCAAGCCCGTCCTGCGCCCCAGGGTCTTTCTGGAGTACACGCCGCGCGGTCCTGGTGGGCACCATACCTGGCACCCACGCTTTGGCCGGGCCCGAACCTTGCGCCCTCCCAGCCCCCATGTGGCTCTCCCTTGGCCATACTGGCCTTTTGCCAGTCCTCCTACCTCACCCTAGGGTCTGCCTGGCCCTGCCCTCCCTTCCTAGCCCCCCAAGGAGGCTGGAGGGCACCCCTGCGTCCACCAGCAGCAGCTCCTCATGGGCGAGTCTCCTTGGGCCAGTGACACATAGTGTGCCCCGATGGTGCCACGGCAGCCTGGGCCCTCCGCCTTCCTGCTTGGCAGGCACCCCCGCTCCCTGCACCCTCACCGGGGCACCTGTGAGCCCTGAGGGCCAGTGGGGGTCTCACTGCTGCTCCCTCCCACAGCCTAGCCTCGGGCCTCAGGGCTCTGCATCCAAGCGGCCCAGGGCTCCCTGCGGTCTCAGCCCGAGTGGGCCTTTGAGCCTTCGCGTTCTCTGCAGGGTGGGACCTGCCCAAGGGCTGCTGAGGGCTTCCCAGGGGTCCTGTGGGTCCCACCTAGGGGCAAGCTGGTGAGGAAAGTGGGTCCTGCCATGGCGGCCGGGTGGGCTGAGTTTTCGGCATCTCTGGGCCCAACAGCAGGTCCCTGGAGCGGCGCCCACCCCTCCCCCAGGCAGGTGTGAGGGCTCTGATCTGTTTCTCCTTGAGTGACTCATTCTGGGCAGACTTGGCCCTCAGGGCACATGCAAATGGTTGTTTGTTCCACACCGAAAACATGTTTCTTGCCCTCTGAGGCTGTTTCCAGAAATAGCTTGCACGATTCTCCACCTGCAGCTGCAGCCGCCACCCACCCAGTGTGGCCAGGCTGGCCCAGGCCTCCAGATTCGGGGACACCCCCCGCCCCCTCCCCCAGCGTGGCCAGGCTGGCTCAGGCCTCCAGATTCGGGGACACCCGCCCCCTCCCCCAGGACAGGCCCACTTGGGTTACTGACACTGGGACCACCCTGCAAACGTCAACTTTATTGAATTCAGTGGTTCTGAACTTGTTGCCATCTTTGGGACCAGGACCCAGGGGCAGCCCCCAGGTTGGCAGGAAGGGCAGGGGAGCCAACGCTGGCAGGGCCCCCAGCCAACCCCCACCCCAGAAGCCCCAAGGAGGCTGAGCGGAGGTGGCCCTGGTGGCCTGGGCACAGGCAGCCCGATTGGTACAGGGCCGGTCTGGTGCAGGCCCGCACCTCCCCCACCCTCATGGCCTGGTGGTCCCCACTGTACAGAGAGAACACTGAGGCTCAGCAGGGCCAGGGACATGGCCTGAGGTTACATGGTGATGGGGGCTGGGTCTCCGGGCCTGGGGGCCGTGGTGGGTGCAGCACCCGGACTGCGTGGGCTGTGGCCTCCCTGCTCCCAGCTCTGTCACACCCGTCTCCATCTGAGCCTCCAGCTCCATCTTTCCCGCTGTCCCTGTCTCTGGCTACCCTTCTGTCTCCCTGTCTCTCTGCCTCTCTGAAGGTATCTCCCTGCCCGAATCTCTGTCTCTGTCCCATTGTCGGTGTCTCTGACTCATCTCTGTCAAGCCCGTCTGCTGGGCTTTGTCCCGCCATCTTGCCTGTCTTGGCCTCTCTCTCTTTCTGTGTGTCTCCGTCGGTGCCTCCTTTCTCCATCCATCTCTCCCCCGTGTCTGTCTCTATCCCTCCGTCTCTCTTCCCGTCTATCCCTCCCTCTGTGCCTGTCCCTTTGCTGTGTCCCTTTCTTTGCCTCTGTCTCTCTGTCTGTCTCTTCGTGTCCCTGTGTGTCTCTCTCTGTCTCTCTGCTTCTATCTCTGTCTTTCTGTATCTCTGTCTATATCTCAGCCTCTTTGTGTCCCTGTGTGTGTGTCTCTCTCTTCTCTGTCTTTCCATGCCTCTGTCTATATCTCTGTCTCTCTGCCTCTGTATCTCTGTCTGTCTGTTCGTGTCCCTGTGTATGTCTCTCTCGGTCTCTTTCTGTATCTCTGTCTATATCTGTCTCTCTCATCTGTCTCTTCCTGTGTGTGTCTCTCTGTCTCTCTGCCTCTGTCTCTCTCTCTCTGTCTCTTCATCTCTGTCTCTGCCTCTGTGTCATTTTGTGTGTGTTTCTCTATGTCTCTCTGTCTGTGTCTCTTCCTCTCTGTAGCTCTCCCTCTCTCTGTCTCTCCTTATACCTCTCTTTCTCTCTCTCTGTTTCTTTCTCTGTCTCTTTTTGTCTTTCTCTGTCTCTCTGTCTCTGTCTCTTCCCCTCTATATATCTCTGTCTTTCTGTTGCTGTCTGTCTCTGTTTCTCTTCAGCCCTCTCTGTCTCTCTTTGTCTCTGTCTTTCTCTGCCTTTCTAACTCTCTTTCTCTGTCTCTCTGTCTCTATCTCAGTCTCTCTTCTTATCTCTGTCTCTATCTCTCTCTGTCTCTCACTCTCTGTATCTGTCTTTCTCTTATCTCTATTGCTCTGTCTCTATCTCTGTCTCTCTCATCTCTATCTCTGTCTCTATCTCTCTTTCTGTCTCTCTGTATCTCTCTGTATCTCTGTCTCTGTAACTCTCTTTATCTCTTACTGCCTCTGTTTCTCTCACTCTGTCTCTGTCTTTCTTTATCTCTGTCTTGGTCTCTGTCTCTCTGTAACTTTATCTCTGTCTCTCTGTTTCTATCTCTGTTTTTCTCTGTCTGTCTCTGCCTATATCTCTGTCTCTCTTTATCTGTCTCTCTGTCTCTGTGTATCTCTGTCTCTCTGTAACTTTATCTCTGTCTTTTTCTGTCTCTGTGTCTGTGTGTCTGTCTCTGTGTCTCTGTTTTTCTCTCTCTCTCTCTCTGCCTATTTTTCTCTCTCTGTCTCTGTCAATGTCTCTTTCTGGATCTGTGTTTCTTTCTCTCTGTCTCTGTCTCTCCATCTCTGTCTCTATCTATCTGTCTCTCTGTAACTCATCTCTGTCTCTATTTGTGTCTGCATGTCTCTTTCTGTGTCTCTGTTTCTCTCTCTGTTTCTGTCTCTTTGTTTCTCTGTCTCTGTGTCTTTCTCTCTGTCTCTGTCTGTATCTCTGTGTTTCTATTTCTCTGTCTCTCTCTGTCTCTGTCTCTCTCTTTCTCTGTTACTCTGTTTCTGTCTCTGTGTCTCTGTCTCTCTGTAACTCCTCATCTCTGTCTCTATTTGTGTCTGCATGTCTCTTTCTGTGTCTCTGTTTCTCTCTGTCTCTGTCTCTCTGTTTCTCTGTCTCTGTCTCTGTGTCTTTGTCTCTGTCTGTATCTCTGTGTCTCTATTTCTCTGTCTCTCTTTCTCTCTCTGTCTCTGTCTCTCTGTCTTTCTCTGTTACTCTGTCTCTGTCTCTGTGTGTCTCTCTCTGCCTCTCTGTCTTTCTCTGTTACTCTGTCTCTGTCTCTCTCTGTCTCTCTCTGTTACTCTGTCTCTGTCTCTGTGTCTCTCTGTCTGTCTTTCTCTGTTACTCTGTCTCTGTCTCTGTGTCTCTCTCTGTCTCTCTGTCTTTCTCTGTTACTCTGTCTCTGTCTCTGTGTCTCTCTCTGTCTCTCTTTCTCTGTTACTCTGTCTCTGTCTCTCTCTGTCTCTCTGTCTTTCTCTGTTACTCTGTCTCTGTCTCTGTGTCTCTGTCTCTCTGTCTTTCTCTGTTACTCTGTCTCTGTCTCTGTGTCTCTCTCTGTCTCTCTTTCTCTGTTACTCTGTCTCTGTCTCTCTCTGTCTCTCTGTCTTTCTCTGTTACTCTGTCTCTGTCTCTGTGTCTCTGTCTCTCTGTCTTTCTCTGTTACTCTGTCTCTGTCTCTGTGTCTCTCTCTGTCTCTGTCTTTCTCCGTTACTCTGTCTCTCTCTCTGTCTCTCTGTGACTCTATCTGTTACTCTGTCTCTGTCTCTGTGTCTCTCTGTCTCTCTTTCTCTGTTACTCTGTCTGTGTCTCTGTGTCTCTCTCTCGTCTGTCTTTCTCTGTTACTCTGTCTCTGTCTCTGTGTCTCTGTCTCTCTGCACTGTTTTCCTGGTGAAGGAGAAGCCATGTACCTTCCTGCATGATCTGTGCTCAGCTCACAACCACCCCATGATTGAGGACACCCCTCCTTCTAGAAGGTTCCCAGCTAACAGGTGCAGAAGGAGTGAAGATTGAAATAGGAGACCCCATCTTGAGACCCTCCCGGAACAGTGCCCCTGGGCCGTGTCCCCACTTCGGGACGTGGGATCTCGGTGCCAGGCGTGCGCTGCCTGACCCCGATCCCGTCGGCGTGTGGGCCCTTCCTCAGCCCAGGTGATTCCCTGTGGGCACGGGACTGGGCAGTGCTCCCCACGGCTGCTGGGCCCCAGGACCGGCCTCCAAGGCTGAACCGCGGCTCTGCCAGCTCCACAGACAGCCAGCAGCCCACCCGACAGGGACCAACATGACAAGGTGCTCAGGGCCGCCCTGTGCCCCGGGACCCAGCTGCAGCCTCAGCAGGACAGGGCTGGGGGCGGAGGGCACAGCCGGACTCCTGAGGACAAACGGCCCGCGCCCCGGGTGAACTCAGTGCCGTGAGGAGCCTGTGCACGGGCTGTGGTGGACGCGTCCCTGAGACCCTGTGTGTGCTGTAGCGTGGCTGTGCCCGCTGCCCTCACCACCTGCTGCCCGGGGCCCAGCCTCCCTCGCTGGGGCTGGAGGGTGGATCCAGCAGGGACAGCGTGATGCTCAGAGTCATCGCATAGTGACAAGGACGGGGGCTGCTTTCAAAGCTCCTGAATGTTTTAGTGGCTCAGGGTGAAGGTTCACAGGCCTCGGGGGACATGGCCTAGACTGGGCGTGGGTCCAGCCCCTTGGCAGGCAGTGGGTACAGGGCGTGTCCTCCTCCATCCCCATCTGTCTGGTCCCCAGCCACACGCTGAGCCTGGGTCCCCGACTCCCCCCCGACCCGGCAGCTCAGGCCCAAGTCCCTGTCCCCTCCCCACATCCCCTCACAGCAGGTGCTTCAGAGGGGCCCTGGAACGTGACCAGTGTGGGGGAGGTGCTGCGGGGACTGGGGACCACACACGGCACCCGGCCCAGTGCCAGGGGGAGGCGGGTCAGGGCCCAGGTCTCCGAGGCCCAGGCTGTGCGTGTCGGAAGCCCCATTGTTGATGGAGTCAGATGCCCACATCCTCATCCCCGCCTGGGGCCCCTTCTCCAGGAGCCCTGGGTTCAGTCAGAGCCCAGCCAAGGTCCCCTCCCTGGCCAGAGGCCTCACTGTCTCGGTCACCCTAACCTCACTGCCCCCACCTCCTCACCCCTGCCAGCCTGGCCACTCAGGGCTGCTCCTGGCCTCCTTCCCACAGACACTGACCCACAGGTTCTCCAGGCCCTCCAGGACCTTCTCACACTCCACAGCCCCTGCCCCTGTCCTGTTGACCTCCCAGCGTCCATCCCTGTCCTCAGGCTGCACCCTGCTGGCTGTCCTGTTCTCTGACCATCCCCCACTGTCCAGTCCCTCCTGGGAGACCTGAGGCTGTCCTGGGCTTCAGCCCCCAGGGCTGGGGTCGCAGTGCGCAGGGTCCTGGACCTCCTGCTCCTGCCTCTGGCATGCTGTTACCCACCCCAACCTCCCCAGCCCGATGTTCGGGGTCCCGTGTGTATCTGTGGGTTTCCCCGAGGCTCAGAGTCCTGCCCCGGCCAGCACAGACGGGGAACAGGGCGAGGGCTGGGTGGTGGCCCAGTGACCTCGGGGGCCAGGCCTGGGGTGTGCAGGTGGGCCCGTGCTGCCGTGCCCCCCACCCACAGACAGGCCCCGACTCTGGCCCAGCACCCGCTCCGCCGCTCCCAGCTGCAGGCTGAGCTCTGCCCATCTGTTTCTGGGCCATGTGCATGTGTGTTTGGAGCCTTTCCTGAGCCAGGCTTTGGGTGGGCCCTGTTTCCCCAGGCCACCGATGAGCAGAGCGCTGTCAGCTTACCGAGGGGACCCCCGAGGCAGGGTTTCGTGGGCACACACCAGTGAGCCCTGGAGCTGGTGGGGGGTGAGCGTGTGAGGGTGGGAGCGTGTGAGCATGGGTACAAATGTGACAGTGACTTAGCGTCGGGGTTTGAGTGTGGGTGGGGGTGTAAGTGTGGGTGAGGGTGTGAGTGTGGAAGTGTGTTAGTGAGTATATGAATGTGAGGGTGAGTGTGAGTGAGGGTGTGAGTGTGTATAGGCGTGTGGGTTGTGTGTATAGGAAGTGTGCGTGTTGTGTGTGTGTATAGGAGGTGTATGTGTTGTGAGTGTGTGATAGTTGCATGTGTTGTGTGTGTATAGGTCTATGGGTTGTGTGTGTGGTGTATGGGTTGTGTATGAATGTGTGGTGTATGGGTTGTATGTGTGTATAGGTATATGTGTTGTGTGTTTTTGTGGTACATGAGTTTGTGTGTGTGTATAGGTGTATGGGTTGTGTGTGTGGTGTATGGGTTGTATGTGTGGGTGGTGTATGCGTGTGTGTATGAGTGTTTCGTGTATGTGTTGTGTGTGTGGTGTGGTATATGTGTGTGTGAGTGTGTGGTGTATGGGTTGTATGTGTGTATAGGTGTATAGGTTGTGTGTGAGTTTGTGGTATATGGGTTATGTGTGTGAGTGTGTGTACAGGCGTATGGGTTGTGTGTGAATGTGTGGTGTATGGGTTGTGTATGAGTGTGTGTAGGTGTGTGGCTTGTTTATGAGTGTGTATACAGGTGTATGGGTTGTGAGTGTGTGGGTATGGTTTGTGTATGTGGTCTGTGGGTTGTGTATGAGTGTGTGGTGTATAAGTTGTGTGTGTATATAGGTGTACGGGTTGAGTGTGAGTTTGTGGTATATGGGTTGTATGTGTATATAAGTGTATGGGTTGTGTGTGAGTGTGTGGTGTATGGGTTGTGTGGGGGGGGGTGTACGGCTTGTTTATGAGTGTGTGTATAGGTGTATGGGTTGTGTGTGTGGTTATGGCTTGTGTGTGTTTATGGTCTGTGGGTTGTGTGTGTGCTGTATGAGTTGTGTGTGTGTGTATAGGTGTTTGGTTGTGTGTGTTTGTGGTATATGGATTGTGTGTGAGTTTATGTATAGATGTATGGGTTGTGTGTGAGTGTGTGGTGTATGAATTGTGAGTGTGAGTGTGTATAGGTGTATGTGTTGTGTGTGCAGTGTATGGGTTGTGTGTGTGAATGTGTATAGGCATATGGGCTGTGTGTGTGTGTGGTTATGGCTTGTGTGTGTTTGTGGTCTATGGGTTGTGTGTGTGGTGTATGAGTTTGTGTGTGTGGTGTATGGGTTGTGTGTGTGGCATATGGGTGTGTGTATAGGTGTATCATTTGTGTGTGAGCGTGTGGTATATGGGCTGTGTGTGAGTGTGTGGTATATGGGTGTGTGAGTGTGTATAAATGTATGGGTTTGTGTGGTATATAGATTGTGAATGTGTCTGTGGTGTATGGGTTGTGTGTGGTGTATGGGTTGTGTGATTGTGTATAGGTGTATGGGTTGTGTGTGAGTGTGGTATATAGTTTGTGTGAGTGTGTGGCATAAAGTTTGTGAGAGTGTGGTATATGGGTTGTGTGTGGTATATGGCTGTGAGAGTGTATATAGGTGTATGGTCTGTGTGTGAGTGTGTAGCATATAGTTTGTGGGTGTATGTGGTGTAGTTGTGTGAATGTGTGGTGTATGGGCGTGTGAGTGTGTATAGGTATATGGGCTGTGTGAGAGTGTGGTATATGGGTTGTGTGTGTGTGCTCTATGAGTGTGTGTAAGTGTATGCTCTGTGTGTGTATGGGGGGTGTGTGTGTGTATATATAGGGGTAGGGGTTGTGAGTGTTTTGTGTATGGGTGTGTATGTATGTACACGGGGTGTGTGTGTGGGACATGGGTGTGTGTGTATATGTGTATGTGTTATATATGTGAGTGTGGTATATATAGTGTGGTGTGTATATAGTGTATGCGCTGTGTGTGGTGTATGTGTGTGTGTGTATATATGTATGGGTTGTGTGTGTGGTATGTGTTGTATGTGGGAAATAGGTGTGTGAGTGTATATGTGCGCGCGCTGTGTGTGTGTGTGTTATATATGTGTGTGTATATGTGTATGGGTTATGTGTGAGTGTGTGCTACATAGTTTGTGGTGTGAGTGTGTACTGTATGGGCTGTGTGTGTGGTGTGTGGGTGTGTGCGTATAGGTGTATGGGTTGTGTGTGTGTGGTGTATGGGTTGTATGTGGTATATGGGTGTGAGTGTGTATAGGTGTATGGGTTGTGTGAGTGTGTATAGGTGTATGGGTTGTGTGTGAGTGTCTGATGTATGGGTTGTGTGTATGTGGTATATGGGTATGTGAGTGTGTGGTATATAGTTTGTGAGTGTGAGTGTGTGGTGTATGAGCTGTGTGTGTGTGGTATATGGGTGTGTGAGTGTATATAGGTGTATGGTTGGTGTGTGACTGTGTGGTACATAGTTTGTGAGTGTGAGTGTGTGGTGTATGGGTTGTGCGTGTTTGGTATATGGGTGTGTGAGTGTGTGGTATATAGTTTGTGAGTGTGAGTGTGTGGTGTATGAGTTGTGTAGGTGTGTGGTGTATGGGTTGGGTGGGAGTGTGTGGGACGTGACTGGATAAGTTCGTGAGTGTGAGTGTGTGGCTGTGGGTGTCTGTGTGTCTCTGGGTGTGTGTGGATGGGGGTATGTGGGTGTGAGTGTGTGTGTGAGGTGTGGGTGTGGGGGTGCACTGCGTGTCCTCCCTGGGGGTGGCCCCTGAGAGTCGGGGCCTGAGCCCGGATGTCTCCGTGACTCTGCATGTCTCCCTCTGCCTCCGTCTCTCTGCTTTGTGTCTGTCTCTGTCATCCCTGCCTCGCTGGAAAGGTGACTGGATAAGTTCGTGAGTGTGAGTGTGTGGCTGTGGGTGTCTGTGTGTCTCTGGGTGTGTGTGGATGGGGGTATGTGGGTGTGAGTGTGTGTGTGAGGTGTGGGTGTGGGGGTGCACTGCGTGTCCTCCCTGGGGGTGGCCCCTGAGAGTCGGGGCCTGAGCCCGGATGTCTCCGTGACTCTGCATGTCTCCCTCTGCCTCCGTCTCTCTGCTTTGTGTCTGTCTCTGTCATCCCTGCCTCTGCCCCATCCCTCTGGGTCCTAGAATCTGTCCAAGTCTGGGGCCGCCTCCCAGGAAGCCCCACAAGTGTCCACCAAGGGATGCACGGAGGACAAACTGCAGTGCACACATACGAGGAGGCTGAGTCACCAGAGCCTCCACGCTAGTCCTGCCCCGACTCCCCGGGTCAGGGCTCCAGGCCCCAAGCGCCGCCCGGCTCCCCCCTGGGCTGGGGCCTGTATGGGGCTGGGAGTCTGGAGGCTCAGCCCTGCGGGGGAGGTGTGAGCAAACCCGCCTGCACTGCGAACCAAGCACAGGCCATCCCCTGACACTCAGACACGCAGAGACGTGCACAGACACATACACATACGCACAGACACACAGACATGCACACACAGAAACGCACAGACACACAGACATGCACACACAGAAACGCACAGACACACACAGACATGCACAGAGACACACACACAGAGTCATGCACAGACATGCACAGACACACACACACACAGACACACAGACATGCACAGAGACACACACGCACAGAAATGCACAGACACACACGGACATGCACAGACACACACATATGTGCACAGAGACACACATATAGACACACATCCACATGGATGCACAGACACACAGAGACACACACAGGCAAACACATACACACACAGACACATAAAGACACAGACACACGGATATGCACACACACATACAGACACACATGCACGTGGATGCACAGACACACACCGACACACATAGAGACACACACACACACAGACACATAAAGACACACACAGACATGCCCGCACACAGGCACCCCCTCCCGCAGGTCACGCTTGCAGCCCCTGGCCACTGTCCTGCCCCGTGTCATGAACCTGCCTCCCCTGTTGCTCCACGCCAGGACATTGCTGCCTGACCACAGCCTGGACCACCTGCTCAGCCCTATCAGTGCGGACAAAGGCCTTGTCCTGGCGGTGACAATGAGCCAGGCCCACTGCACACTTGTCCACACCACACACCTGTCCACCCCACACACCTGTCCACCCCACACACCTGTCCACCCCACACACCTGTCCACACTACACACCCGTCCGCATCACGCACAACCGCACACCTCCAGCTCATCCACCACTCACTGCACACACGCTTGCATCTCACACGCTCATGCTCACACTCATGCACTAACACACACATTCTCCCACCTGTTGCCAAGCTCACACACGTGCACACATGGCGTTGCTGGGCCAGGCTTTGGCACATGGGGTCAGGGAAGGCTCGGAGAGCGTACGCCTTGGCCTCTCTGGCGGCATGTCCGGGTCTGCGGGGCAGAGGTCACAGTTGCTGCCCCACGACACCGCATGTGCCCCTGCAGGGCCTGGGAATGGCACCCCGCAGAGCCCGCACTCAGGGCCAGCTCGTGTCAGCACCGCGTGGACCACGTCCCGAGGACACCTGGGCCAGCCAGTGCTGCGGGCTGCAGCGAGTGTGTGTGCACACGCATGCCCATATACGTGTTGTGTGTGCTTGTGTGCATGGGAGGGGGTCCCTGGGTGGGCCAGGGTCTGCCTCGGGGGCTGGAGTGGGAGGCCTGGGCCCCTCAGCTTTCCTCCAACCCAGCCTCACTTCCCCGCCCCTCTCACCTCTGCGTGGCCACCAGCCAGCCCTGGGCTTGGCCCCGGCATGAGGCCTGAGGCAGGGCCCTGGATAACGCTCAGGACGGGCACCTGGGCCTTCTGGGCCTCCTCGCCAAGGACCAGACTCGGCCTCAGCGCCTCACACTCATCGGGGGTCATGCCCTGGGGCCCAGCCAGGACCCTCGCTGCCCCACTCAGGAGGCTGGACACACTAGCAGGTGGGGGGGCCGCAGCTCCCCCTCCCCCACCCCCGTCCAGTCTGAAAAACAAGACCTCATGGGCACCGGGCCGCAGCTCCCACCCCCACCCCACCACACAGGCACAAACACATTCTTGCAAATATTTCTAAAAATGCTGAAAATGGGAACCACAGAGCAGGTGGGACAGTGGTGTGGAAACCCCCACCCACCTCCGAGATGGCGATTTGCATTGGGGGAGGTGGGGGGAAGGCTGGCACCCAGGCAGCTGGTTTGCAGGATTCCTGACTATTCACACTCCCCAGCCACACCCCATGTCCAGGCCAATGCTGTGGCCAGGCCCAGAGTGACCAGGCCCCAGGGCACTTCCCAGAGGACTGCCTGGTGGAGGGGGTAACAAGTCGGACCTTGCCCCAGGGGAGCTGGGCCAGGGAGGAGACCCCTGCATGGAGGTCCCAGGCATGGCCCCCAGGAACAGGACCCCCAGCACCCTCGGAAGAGGATTTTGTGGGTCACCTGGGGACAGAGCTTCCTCCGTGCACCTGCTGGGCCCCTCACAGCCCACCTGTCACCAAACCTCTGTCCTCCCCTGTGCCCAGGCCTGGCCAACCCAGGCGCTTTCAGCCCGTAGACCCTAGGTGGGGTCGCCCAACCCTACCCCGGCCTCAGGACCCTCTGGGGTTGCCCCACGAGACCACCCCAGAACAGACCTGCCCAACCCCAGCCCTGCATCTTCAGTGGGACACAGAGGCCTCCATAGGACCCCACCCCACACCCAGGGGCTGTCCGGGGCCCATCACCCCAGCAGCTGAGACCCTGGGAGATGACACCCTGTGCCTAGAACAGGGTGGACCACATGGGGGGACATTGTGACCCGTGTCCCAGCCAGGCAGGACAGCCCCACCCCAGCCTCCTAGAGGAGGGGTCTGTGCCTGCGCCCACCCCCTCAGTGGAACCTAAGCCCTCCAGGGAGGACTCAAGTTTGAGGAAAGGATCCCTGGGAAGACCCCCAGGGTGCAGCCCGGGTGACAGGGCTCAGGGGGCCCTTCCTGCACATACAGCCTCCCACAAATATAGTCATGCACACCCCACAGAGACACACAGAACACACAAACACACAGAGACACAGACACATAGACAGACTTAGAGACATAAAGACACACAATACACACAGACACACTAACACACACACAGACACCTAGACACACATACAGAGACAGACACACACAAACACACAGAAACACAAGCACACATACCACACACACACGACACACAGATACACATAGACACACACAGAGACAGAGACACACACAGACACAGAGACACACAAACACAGATATACCTCACACACACACACACGGACACACATACAAAGACAGAGACACACACAAACACACAGACACACAAGCACAGACACACTACCACACACATACAGGCACACAGACACATAGACACATATACAGAGACAGAGACACACACAGACACAGAAACACAAGCACAGACACACTACCACACACACAGAGACACACAGACACACATAGGCACACACAGAGTCAGAGACACACAGACACAGAAACACAAGCACAGACACACTACCACACACAGACACGCATAGGCACACACAGAGACAGAGACACACGCAGACACAGGTACACAAGCACAGACACGCTACCACACGCAGAGACACACACAGAGATAGATACAGACACACATAAAGTCAGAGGCACACACAGACACATACAGACACACAGAGGTACACGGCACAGACACACACACTCAGAGGCTCACACTCAGCCACAGCCACGTGCACACAGCTCACACGGCCCACACTCAGGTCCACAAGGGCTCACAGCGTCACAGAGGCCCCCAGTCCCACAGCCAGACAAGCACAGGCCGTGCTCACGCTCACACACTGACGCACACATTCTCCCACCCGCTGCCAAGCTCACGCTCACACATGCACACGTGGCATTGCTGGGCCAGGCTTTGGCACATGGGGTCAGGGAAGGCTCAGAGAGTGAGCATCACAGACACAGGGTGGGACTGGTGTCCGGGGGGTCCATGAGCAGCCGAGGGGCAGCCCTGCCACGCCCACAGGCCCCAGGTCTATTCTCAGGCACCCGCCTGGGGCTGGGGGCTTCCTTCTGGGAACTCGAGGACCTCCGTTCTGCACGGAGACACACGTCCAGAAAGGGACACCCCAGGGCCACACCCAGACACACCCAGCCCGACTCGGGCACCCAGCACACGCCAGGCACACAACAAACACAGGAGCTGGCACACGCCTGGCCCCAGGCCAGGACAGCAGCAGGCAACTCGGCCAGTGCACACAGCCGCTCACACACACCACACATCCCCACAAGCCCTCACACCCTCACATCCCCACACACCCTCACAGATCCTCACACTCCCACACATCCACACACATCCTCAAACACCCCACACATCCACACACACCCCACACACCCCACACATCCACACACACCCTCACATCCCCACACCCTCACACACCCCACACCCCACACACCCCCACACATCCACACACACCCTCACATCCCCACACACCCCCACACATCCACACACACCCCACACCCCACACACACCCTCACACCCTCACACATCCTCACACTCCCACACATCCACACACACCCTCACATCCCCACACATCCACACACACCCCACACACCCACACACACCCTCACATCCCCACACCCTCACATATCCTCACACTCCCACACATCCCCACACATCCCCACACCCCACATCCACACACATCCACACACATCCTCACACACATACACACACCCTCACACACCACACACCCACTCCCTCACACACCCTCACACACCCCACACATCCACACACCCTCACACTCTCACACCTTCACACATCCACACACACCCCACACCCCACACGTGCACACACACCCTCACATCCCCACACATCCACACACACCCCACACCCCACACACCCCACACATCCTCACATCCACACACACCCCACACACCAAACACACCCTCACACATCCTCACACTCCCACACATCCACACACACCCCACACCCCACACATCCACACACACCCTCACATCCACACACATGCACACACACCCCACACATCCCACACATCCACACACACCCTCACACCCTCACACTCCCTCACACCCCCACACTCTCACACCCCCCCACTCTCACACCCTCACTCACACACTCTCACACACCCTCACACCCTCACAGTCTGAAAACTTCACACACCCTCACACCCTCACACACCCACACACCCTCACACACCGTCACACACTCCACACATACCCTCACACACTCTCTCACACACACCCTTACACCCTCACTCTCACACACCCACACACTCTCACACACCCTCACACATACACACCCTTGACAGCTTGCCTGCAGTCTGTCAGAGGGGTCCCTCAGAGGGCCACCACGCCCTGCGGATCAGGTGCCCAGAATCCACCATCCAGCGGCTCTGGGCCTTTCCCCTCTCAGCTCATGACCTTTGGGTACCACGGCTCAGGGGTACCCCTGTGCTCCCCAGCTGCCAATCCCTGCATCTCCTTGGGCCCCTGCTGACCTCTCCAGTGGCCTCAGGGTGACGTCCTGGCCAGGCCCTGTCCCTCTGCAGCCACCTCTGCCCACTGCCCCACCACCTGCCCAGGGCTCCCCCAGGCTCCCACACCAGCCGTGGGGGTCTCTCAGGCAGGCCGGCCAGGTGGCACCACGGCTCCCCCAAGGGCAGCAGGTCAGGCGTGAGCATTGCCGTCTCCCATCCCCTCCTGCTGAGCCCCCACAGGAGCCTGGCAGCCCGATCCTGTCGCCATAGTGAGGGCAGCTCCTGGCCCACCAGGCCCAGTCCACACCAGCCGGCCGCAGGCAGCGTGTCTGGGAGACACCCCAGGCCGCCCACCGCCCAGCAGGGGACAAGCCAGCCCCCAGACCCGTGCCCTGCACAGGGGGACGGGGCTCAGACCCAGGCTGCCCTTGACAGCAGGAGCTGTGGTGGGCCCACGGTGGGGACCACTGGGGACAGGCCTGGGGGCACACAATGCTCCTGAGGGGCCTCAGGCTGCGTCCTGGGTTGGGGCACTGTTCTGTGAGTAGGTGACATGTCACCTTGAAAGGGCTTCTATTTCACTAAGAGAAAAGGTGGAGGCTTTCCTGGGGGAGGGCGGTGCGGTGTTGTGTGGGACAGTGAGAGAGGGACCACCAGCACAGACAAAGGAGAGGAAAGTGCAGGGGGGGTGGGGGCTGCAGGGACAGAGGCTTGGGGAGGCGCTGGAACCGCAGGGCGCGGGCCTGGGGGGCCCACACGCCACCTCGAGGGACCGCACCTGGGGACCACAGACGCAGGCCCACTCGGGCTCTGGAGGGCCCTCCTGGGGCTGCCTGGCCACGCTCTCTCTCTCCTGGTCCCAGATCCCCTCCACGGCCCCTCCCCACCCGTCCATCCAGAGGTTGCCCAGGGCTGGTCAGAAGGGGTCACATGACACCCCCAGGACCGGCTGGAAGTGGAGGGATCGTGGTCCCGCAATTCAACTCCCACCCGGCACTCCCCACTCAACATCACTTAGGACAGTTATATTGTTTCGGGTTTTTTTTTTCTTCTGTATTAAAAGCATTAACTTCCAATACTGCTTTTATAAAACACACATGCACTGTGGTGAGGACGTTTTGTTAAAATGAAAGGGACAAGCCGGGGCTGGACGGGGAAGCCCCCTGGTGGGGGGACACGGGAGGGGCACCCTGCACTCACAGAAAAGCCCCTCCATTCTTTGCACGTTTCAAATGTTGTATTTTCAAATATAATTAAGCGACGTGGGAGGAAGGGCACCGCGTGCTAGGCAGGAGCAGCCCCCTCCTGGGAGGGAGATGGCAGACAGGGGACAGGGTGGGGGACAGGGTGGGGGACAGGGTGGGGGACAGTGACCAGGTGAGGAAAGATGCGGGTCAGGGACTGGGGGTGCAAATGGGGAGGTGGTGGGAGACGAAGCCCCTCCAAACCTGACGCCCCGCCGCTTCCCGAGCCCGGGGTTCAGGGCTTCCTGTTTTCCTGTGTGATTATGAGCTCCTGCTCCTGCCCTCGCCCCACGCGCGAGTCTCCCCTGGAAGGATGTGCAAGCTTTTCACAAGCACCACAGACTCTTACAACCCGGGACCACCTGGGACCCCAGGCGGTCAGGACCAGGGCCACCCCACACGGCAGGCACCAGCGCTCCTGACCTGGGCTGCAGAACAGCCTGTGGTCAGGCAGGGGCTCCCACTGGCCCCTGTCCTCGGCAGGCCCTTCCCCAGGAGCAGCGTCCGGGAGCTCAAGACAGGCTTGGGGGCTGCCCGTCCACCTGGGGAGGATCTTTGCAGGGCCCTTTCTTTCTCACTAAACAGCTTGCCTGTAGAAAGGAGAATTCGAAGGGATTTAAATCCAGTATTTTTACTGGTTTTCCCCGGGGCTAGCCAGGGTGTCTGCCCCACCTGCTGGTGGAAACGAAGTTCCCACTCTGGCCTTCTCCGTTAGGGCTTTATTTCATGGAGGTTGCATATGCCCGCCTCCCTGCAATGCGATGGTGAGGCCAGGGACTGGGGATGGGGCAAGGCCTGGAAGGGTGTGACTGTCTGTGAGGTGGGGATGGGCCTGCAGAGGGACGTCCGGGAATACACGGAGGCGTCTCGCACCGACACCGGGGTTCACTGTGACGGGAGGGGCTAGAGACCATCTGAGTGGGCTGGAATGGGGGTTGTCGCACACCCCTCGGGGGTGGATGTGGGTGCCCAGCAAGAGAAGCAGACCCGGCCCCACAGGAGGCTGCAGATGGAAGCTTCAGAGGCGGCTCCGGGGCTGCCACAAACCCCGCCCCTCCACGTGCCTCCCTGTCCCGGGAGCCGCCCCTCTGACCCCCAGGCCCTTCCCCGGACGTCCCAGCTGCTCCACAGCCCAGGCTTCTCCCCTCCTGCCCCCATGGAACCCCCACCCTGGGCTGTCTGGGCCTGCCTAGCCGGCCGTGTGGGGTCCCCCAGGCCCGTGGCCCAAGCACCCATCTCCGTGTCCAGCGCCCAGCGCACTCGGACGTTTCACACGCGGGCCTCTGGGGAGGACCCCCAGGCACCGCCAGCCCAACCCCGGCGGCCGGAAACTGGACCCGCTGCGGCAGCCGCTGAGGCTCTGCTGCCCCCGTGTGGCCGACAGCAGCATCGAACGCCGCCGACCACGCGGCGCTTCCCGGGCTCGGGGCAGGGGCAGGGGCAGGGGCACGGGCAGGGGCAGGGGCAGGGGCAGGGGCAGGGGCAGGGCCAGGGCCAGGGGCAGGGCCAGGCGTGCTCTCGGGGCCGGATCCCGGCTCTGCCTTGGGCTCAGGGCTGGGGCCCGGTCCGTGTCCAGCACTGTGATCCCCTCCCCTCCCCAGCGCCTGCCGCGGAGGTGGCTGTGGCATCCGCGAACAGGCATCAGCTTGTGGGGCTCTGTGGTCTGGGATCCCAGCCTCTGCCAAAGTCCTGCATTCCCTGGGTGTGGGGACGCTGTGACCTGGGGACGCTGTGGCCTGGGGGCCTTGCAAGGCTGCACCTGGGGCAGATGGGGAAGCTGGCCTGGGCTCCTCGGTGGGGCCCCGCGCCCCCCACTTCTGCCGGCAGCATCCGATGCTCCCTGACCCTGGTCAGGACCCTTCCTCCTGGCGTGGCCCAGTGTCCCCGCGGAAGCCCCAGAACGCGGCCTGCCCGGGAGCCGGCTCGGGCCTGGGGCCTGCGGGTCTTCACTATGGTCGCGAATGGACCCACGGGATGCTGCATGAGGCGCACGAGCTTGAGGCACCAGCCTCCGGCCACTGTCCCTGGAGGACAAGGGACGCGGCTCCGGAGCAGAGGGTCCTCCCCTGGGGATGCCCTCCCGGCGGCTGGGTGTGGGGCTGGGGGCTGTGCCCGGAAGTGGGTGGGTGGGAGAAGCCCTCCTGAGCACAGAGGACAGCAGCCAGGCCCAGGCCCAGGCCCTGCAGGCCCCCAGGGGCTCCAGAGCCCCAGAGAGGAGGAAGGCCTCCGTGTGCTCAGAATCAGCTCACACCCCGGGGACGAACCTCAGAGGGCCGGGACAAGGAAAGGAAGGCCCCGGCCCAACATCGGGGTCTGGGCGCTGGTGGGACAGGGCAGGCTCAGCCTTGGGGCCGGTCAGGGCCCTGTTGGGGTTCGGGTCCCCCTGCCAGGTCCGCGTCTGCAGCCACAGCCCCTCAACCCCAGCAGGGACCCCAGAGACCGGCTCGGGACCCCCTGGTGGCCGTCTTGTGCCACTGCAGTTCTGCTGCTGAGAGGTTCCCGGGGTTCCCGGGGTTCCCGGGGTCCCTGGCCCGGCAGCCTCCTGGGCTCCCAGGCAGGCGCGCTCTGCCGTCCGCTCATGCGGGGACAGCGGACCTCAGAGGCAAGCCTAAAAGACGCGCCCAGATCAGGATCCCAGGAACCCAGCTCACATACAAATCAGAAAAGCCCTAAAGAAGCAGAAACAAGAATCAGTGAAACAAGAAACTATAGAATAAGAACCCAAACAAAAGCAAAATGTCGGCGTTATCAGACATAGAATATGCAATGTGTGCTTCAGAGGGTTTTTTTGTTTGTTTTGTTTTGAGATGGAGTCTCGCTCTGTCGCCCAGGCTGGAGTACAGTGGTGCGATCTCGGCTCACTGCAACCTCCGCCTCCCGAGTTCAAGCGATTCTCCTGCCTCAGCCTCCTGAATAGCTGGGACTACAGGTGCCCGCCACCACGCCCGACTAATTTTTTTGGATTTTTAGTAGACACGGGGTTTCACCGTGTTAGCCAGGATGGTCTCGATCTCCTGACCTCATGATCTTCCTGCCTCAGCCTCCCAAAGTACTGGGATTACAGCGTGGCCACCACGCTCGGCCAAGAGATTTTTTAAACTTACTTACAGAAGCTATTCAAATATTACTGCAAAATGGGAAATTACTGCACATTGCATTTTGAAATGACCTGAGAGTTTTACGAAGAACTTCTAGAATTGAAAACCGTAATAGATGAGGCTAAAATAAGAATGGATGGGACAGGCAGCGCAGAGGACACGCAGGAGCGGGAGCTGGTAACACCGAAGAAAGAGCAGGAGACGCCACCCAGCCCGAGCGCAGCCCCGCGGAGGCTGGACGGAGGCTCCCACAAGGGCTTCTTCTGCCCAAAGGAGAAACAGAGTCGGGGGAGGCAGTGGCTGGGAATTTTCCAAAATCGCTGAATAACAGGACGCGTCAGGATCAAGGCCAAGTCCCAAGCAGGATAAATAAAAGCAAACTCCACGTCCACACCTTGACGCTTGCCGATGGAGCTGCCAACACCAGAGGCAAAGAGACTTTAGAAGCATCCAAAAGGAGGCCGGGCGTGGTGGCTCACATCTGTAATCCCAGCACTTTTCGAGGCAGAGGTGGGTGGGTCACCTGAGGTCAGGAGTTGGAGAGACCAGCCAGGCCAACATGGTGAAACCCGGTCTCTATTAAAAACACAAAAATTAGCTGGACGTGGTGGCGGGTGTCTGTGGTCCCAGCTACTCGGGAGGCTGAGGCAGGAGAATCGCTTGAGCCCGGGAGGCGGAGGTTGCAGTGAGCTGCCATCGCGCCACTACCCTCCAGCCTGGGAGACAGAGTGAGACTCTATCAAAAAAAAAAAAAAAATCCGTCAGGGCCGGCCCAGGCAGGTGCACTCGCGCGGCCACAGACTCCAGAGCCGGACTCGGGAGCCCCCCGGCGGCCGTCCCGTGCCACTGCACGTTCTCATAGACAGGAGAGTCTCAAGAACCCTGGAGCAAACAAGACGCCTGGAGCAGCCTCCCAGCATCTACTCACCTCTGCCGGCCGTTTACACCCGAAAGCCACCCCTCAAGACCAGGACAACGGTGACACTTTCATACAAAGGGCACAGGCACTTAACTCCGCACGCTGGCTGCTGGCGCCTCCTAAGAGTGTGTTTAGAAATGTTAAAGAAAAAATTATTCCATGATAGTTGTTCAATGCGGAGGCAGGTGTGATTCAGGACCACCGCCGCAGGAGCAGGGACCACGGCCATGCGGGAGAGAGATGGGGCTCAGTTCTTAACACAGCATGGGCTGGCGGGGATTGACAGCCAGGGAGCTGGGTAAACTCGGAGGACGGACATTCCCAAGAGGAAATATTGGGGGGAAGGAGGGTTCTGGCTAAATTAGCCCAGGAAGATTTTTGCTGAAGACAGACCAGGGTGATCAGACCTGGGAGATGGTGGAAGATGAGGAACTCAGGATCAAGGGTGATCAAATGTCAAGAGTGGGTCTTTAACCTGATTTAGGGGGGTTCTTTTTTTTTCTTTTTTTTTTTTTTTTTGAGACGTAGTCTCACTCTGTCACCAGGCAGTGGCACGTGTCATCGTGCAGTGGCACGATCTTGGCTCACTGCAACCTCTGCCTCCTGGGTTCAAGCAATTCTCCTGCCTCAGCCTCCCGAGTAGCTGGGATTATAGGCGCGTGCCACCACACCCAGCTAATTTTCGTATTTTTAGTAGAGACAGGGTTTCACCATGTTGGCCAGGCTGGTCTGGAACTCCTGACCTCAGATGATCAGCCCACCTCAGCCTCCCAGAGTGCTGGGATTACAGGCATGAGCCACCGCTCCGGGCCCCACCGGGTACTTTTTAAAGCCTTTTTCTTACAAGGAAGTGCAGGCCGGCCTAGGAGAAGTTTCCAGAGCCCGACTGCAGTTTAGCCAAGCAGAGAATCTTTGTCAGTCCACACTGTTTAAGGAAAGAGGAGACATTCTCGTTTCCCTCCAACAATATAAGTCCATTTTCTTGTTGGGTGGCCTTTCGTTCATTAAGAACCAGCTGGATTTTCTGTTGGGACTGGATAGAAGAGGACATTTCGCCGCATGGTGCTAGCAGTTGGACATTCGAAGAGGAGAGACTCTGAAAATAAATGAAACACAAAGGTTAACACTTAGAAATGCAGTTTCTGAGCCCAGTGGGCACCAGGCCAGAAGATTTCTAGACGCTGGGCCTGAAGCATCTTCAGCTGCAGCCAGGTAGGCAGCTGAAGGGCCTTCCTGATTTGCAGGTCAGGTGTTGCAGAAGCTGCCCGCACAGGATCTGTGGGGATGATTTCTCTGAAGTTTACATCAACTTGTCCCATTTCAGCTCACAGGGCTTCAGGAAAAGGGCAGTTTTAAATTTGACTGATTCCAAGTCAGAGGGTGAGGGAAAAATTAGTTTGCAGAGTTGTTGCCTGATATTAGAGAAAACTAGAAGAATTCTGAAGGGGCCAGCCCCTCCACACCTGTGGGTATTTCTCATCAGGTAGGACGAGAGACTGAGAAAAGAAATAAGACACAGAGACAAAGTATAGAGAAAGCACAGTGGGCCCAGGAAACCGGCGCTCAGCATACAGAGGACCTGCACCGGCACCGGCCTCTGAGTTCCCTCAGTATTTATTAATTACTATTTTCACTATCTCAGCAAGAGGAATGCGGCAGGAGAACAGGGTGACAGTGGGGAGAAGGTCAGCAAGAAAACGTGAGCAAAGGAATCTGTGTCACAAATAAGTTCAAGGGAAGGTACTATGCCTGGACATGCACATAGGACAGATTTATGTTTCTCTCCACCCAAACATTTCAGTGGAGTAAAGAATAACAAGGCAGCATTGCTGCCAGCATGTCTCGTCTCCCACCACAGGGTGGTTTTTCTCCTATCTCAGAATAGAATAAATGTACAATCGGGTTTTATACCGAGACATTCCGTTCCCAGGGGCAGGCAGGAGACAGAGGCCTTCCTCTATCTCAACTGCAAGAGGCCTTCCTCTTTTACCAATCCACCTCAGCACAGACCCTTCACGGGTGTCGGGCTGGGGGACGGTTAGGTCTTTCTCATCCCACGAGGCCATATTTCAGACTGTCACATGGGGAGAAACCGTGGACAATACCCGGCTTTCCAGGGCAGAGGTCCCTGCGGCTTTCCGCAGTGTATTGTGCCCCTGGTTCATCGAGACTGGAGAATGGCGATGACTTTTACCAAGCATACTGCCTGTGAACACTTTGTTAACAAGGCACGTCCTGCACAGCCCTAGATCCCTGAAACCTTGATTCCATACAGCACAGGTTTCTGTGAGCTCCAGGTTGGGGCAAAGTGGCTGGGGCAGAGTTACAGATTAACACCTCAGGGCAAAGCAGTTGTTCAGGGTACAGGTCAAAATGGAGTTTCTTATGTGTTCCTTTTCTACATAGACACAGTAACAGTTTGATCTCTCTTTCTTTTCCCTACATAGCCCCCTTTCCTTTTGACAAAACCGCCATCGTCATTATGGCCCCTTCTCGCTGGTCGCTGTCTCTTCAGAGCTGCGGGATATACCTGTAGACTTTGTTTTTTTCAGGCTTTTCTTAGCTAACTGTGTCAGCTCCTGTATTTGGCCCCAGGTCAGTGGCTTTGCTTCCTTGGTGGATGGCAACTTCTTCTGTAAGTTGTAGATACTAAATTGGAAGCTGGTTTTTTCCTGGGGAAATACAAGCAAAACTTCTCCCCCATGTTATCACCTTCCCTATTTCCCATGTCTTGTTTTTGTTGTCTTTCCACCACATCAGTTTTCCTTCATGTGGGCTGCTCTTTTTGCCAGTAAAATGTTGTTCTGCAGAAGTAGTGGTCTGATTTCTATAAATGTTTAAACAATTTAAAGTATAGATTGCTAGGTTAAGTTGCATCTGGGGAGCGTTATACTCCTGTCTTTTTCTTCTTTTTGTTTCACCAGTTGAGATTTTGAGTGTTCTATTAGTTCTTTCAATTATGGCCTGTCCTTGGGAATTATACAGGATTCCTGTTGTATGTGTAATTTTCCACTGATTTAAGAATTTTTGAAATGTTTTACTACAGTATCCTGGCCCATTATCTAATTTTTTCTGGAACTCCCATGACAGCAAAACAAGACAATAAATGTCTTTTAACATGGGAAGTACTTTCTCCTGTCTGGCAGGTTGCCCATACAAAATGTGAATAAGTATCAACTGTCACATGGACAAATGATAATTTTCCAAATGAAGGTACAGGTGTGACATCCGTTTGCCATAACGCATTAGGACATAGACCTCTGGGATTAACTTCTGCCTCCTGAGTGGGCAGGTGTAGGACTTGACACTAGGTGCAATGCTGTACAATATTTTTTGCCTGTTTCCATGTGATACCAAATTTATTTTTTAGTCCTGTTGCATTTACATGAGTTGAGGCATGAAGTTCTTGTGCTTCCATGAAGGCAGATGACACTAGCAAGTCAGCTTGTTCATTTGCTTTAGTTAAAGGCCCTGGTAAATTAGTATGCGCTCGAATTGAGTAATATAAAATGGGAAATTTCTTTTTCTCACAGTTTGTTGTAACAAATTAAACAGCTGGTTTAACTGATCATCCATGCTATATTTAATTAGGGCTGTCTCAACATCCTTTGTACCCTGTACTACATATGCAGAATCTGATACAATGCTAATAGGCTGATTAAAATCTTATAACACTGAAATGACAGCAACCAACTCTGCTCTTTGAGCTGAGTGATATTGAGTTTCAGTGACTCGTTCTTTTGGCCCAGTGTAAGCCACTTTTCCATTGCTAGAACCATCAGTAAACACCGTCAGAGCATTTTTTTAAAGGTTTCTGTCTGGTAATTTTAGGTAAAATCCAAGTAGTCAATTTTAAAAACTGGAAGATTTTCGTTTTGGGGTAATGATTATCAATAATTCCCACAAAATCAGCAAGACCCATCTGCCATGCACCAGAATTTATAAAGGCTTGTCTAACCTGTTCCTTGTTTACAGGAACAATGATTTTATCTGGGTCAATTCCACACAATTTTATTATTCGTAATTTTGCCTGACTAATTAATGTAGCCGTTTGATCCAAGTGCAATGTAAAAGTCTTAATCGTACTGTGAGGAAGGAAGGACCACTCCACAAGATCTGTGTTTTGAACAATGATGCCTGTTGGAGAATGTGCAGTAGCAAAAATCAAAAGTCGGAGTGGGGCTAAGTGGTCTATTCTATTTACTTGTGCTGGCTGAATTTTTTCTTCAACTAATTCAATTTCTTTCGTGGCCTCTGGAGTTAATGTTCTTTTACTATTCGATTCTGGATCCCCGCTCAAGATAGAGAACAAATTTGACATGGCATTAAGTCTACAAGTTTGTGTCCTATCCTGAGGTCGCAGGGTGCTCCACTGAGTGAGGACTGCCCGCCCCACCCAGAGGTGTCGGTTACTTCACCATGGCAGTTGTGGCCCCTGCTGCTGCACATGCCGCCCCAGGGGGCACTGCCTCAGGAAAGCCAGGCACACCCAAGGGTGCAGGAATGGCAGGCCCTGGCGGTTTGGCGCGCAACAGCCGGAACAAGTACATGCGCTCGGGCCTCTGTTCCACCTTCACCATCCAGTCTCTGCAGCCGCAGCCACCCCCTCAGCCTCGGCCTGCAGCGGTGCTCCCCAACGCAGCTCCTGCAGTCCAAGCCCCTGGGAGGCCTGCCTGGAGGCTGAGGAAGCCGGCTTCCCTCTGCAGGTCATCCTGACCCCGCCCGAGGCCCCAAACCCGAAACTGGAAGAGCCGAATGTGGAGCCGGGCTTGCGCCGCCCTTTGCCCCCGGAAGTGGAAGTGGAAGGGCCCGAGGAAGAGCTGGAATTCGCGGGGGAGAGAGGGTTCGTGCCAGAAACCGCCAAGGCCGAGCCTGAAGTCCCTCCACAGGAGGGCGTGCCAGCGTGGCTGCCGAGGTCCTTATGGACACCGCAGGGCAGGCGGGCGGCCACGCGGCTTCCAGCCCTCAGATCTCCCAGCCGCAGAAGGGCCGGAAGCCCCGGGACCTAGAGCTTCCACTCAGCCCGAGCCTGCTAGGTGCGCCGGGACCCGAACGGACCCCAGGATCGGGAACTGGCTCCGGCCTCCAGGCGCCGAGGCCGGCGCTGACCCTGTCCCTGCTTCCTACGCACACGTTGACCCCGGCGCTGCTGACACCCAGCTCGCTGCCTCCCAGCGTTCACTTCCGGAGCAGCCTGAGTCCCGCTGCGCCCCGCAGCCCGGCCAAGCTCTCCTGCCAGCTTCCGTCCAGTGGCGGCGCCCAGGTGCACATCCCTTCCATCGGCGTGGCTGGCCTCTCGACCCCCGCGGTGCTCTCGCCAGGGCCGCAGAGGCCATGACCACCACCAGCACCACCACCCCTTCTGGGGTCCCTCCATCCGTGCTCTCTCAAGGAGAAACACAGTTCAACTGAAAGACTCATGCTCTGATTGTGGTGGGGTGGGGATCCTTGGGAAGGATTTCTCCCAGGAGTGACTCTCATTAACTCCTCCACAGAAAACACTCAGCTTCCACAGCTTCTCTCTTTTCTCTCTTTTCTGTCCGTCCCCCAGTGGCTGCCCTGACACGTCTCCTACTTCAATGGTAGGGGCGGTTTATTTATTTATTTTTTGAAGGCCACTGGGAAGCGCCTGACCTAACCTATTAGGGTGGTCAGGACGTCTCCCCCACCTCCCCGCTTTTTTCCCCAAGACAGGACAATCGGGGTCTGACTTGAGAACGACCTTTCTTTCTTCATTCCTCGGCCTGCCCGTGGGGAGATGAGGGAGCCCTGTGTCCATTTTAGGATGTGAGTAGAAGTTAGTTTCGTTTTATTATTCCTGGCCATACTCGGGGTCCAGGAAGAATTTGTACCATTTAATGGGTTGGGAGTCTTGGCCAAGGCAGAATCACACCCTTGGAATAGAAATTTCCACCTCCCCAACCTTTCTCTCAGACAGCTTATCCTTTTTTAACCAACTTTTTGGCCAGGGAGGAATGTCCCTTTGTTCTTCTTCCCCCTGAGAAGCCATTCCTTTGTCTGCCAAACTCCCTGGGGTCCTGCCTGTTTCCTCCCATGGAGGGGTTTTGTGGGGGTGGTTCCTGTCTGGGGGGGCCCCTCCAGCCAGTACTCCAGGTCTCCCTGTCTCTCCCGTGCTGCCATTTTGATAGTATAATCTATTTTTAAATGGGGCTTTTCAATAGGGGAGAGGGAGTCATCTCTTCCTATATTTGGTGGGGTGGGTGTGAAGAAAGGGATTTGGGAGGGAATCTTCCTGCCGCCTCCCCCCCAGATGTTTATTTTTGATAACAAATGTGTATTTTCAGTTCCCTCCCTCCCAGCCCCCCAATTTCCTACAGGTAGGTACAAAGGACACTTTCAATGTCCCTGGAGGTGGGAGGGAGGAATGGGGGACATAAAGCCTGTCCTGTCTCTATTCTAGGCAGGAAGAGTGGGTTCAAAAGACTCCTGGGCTTCCCTGTCAGCCCTGGCCCAGCCCAGGCCTTGGGACCTGGGGGTTGGTGATTTGGGGGACGGTGCTACACTCGTCTCCACTGTTTTGCTTCCCCAAAATGGACCTTTTTTTTTTCTAAAGAGTCCCAGAGAATGGGGAATTGTTCCTGTAAATATATATTTTTCAAGGTGAAAAAAAAAAAAGAAAAACCTGCCATAATGAAGAGCAGACCAATATTCCAGAAAACTGTCACTTTAACAGAGAAGACCAAATTCTAGTTTCACATGAACTGTTAATATTAAAGCTAATTTTAATTAAACCTTATAAATAATTCCATCCAGGCTGGGCAAGGTGGCTTACACCTGTAGTCCCAGCATTCCAGGAGGGTGGATCACTTAAGCCCAGGAGTTTGAGATCAGCCTGGGCAACATGGGGAAGCCCTGTCTCTACAAAAAATACAAAAAAAAAATTGGCCAGGCATGGTGGCACGTGCCCGTAGTCCCAGCTACTTGGGAGGCTGAGGTGGGAGGATTGCTTGAGCCCTCCCACCTCAACCTCCCTCAGCCTCAGTGCTGAGTGCCACTGCACTGCTGCCTAGGCAACACAGTGGGACCCTGTCTCAAAAATAAATAAATAAATAAATCCGGCCAGGTGCAGTGGCTCATGCCTGTAATCCCAACACTTTGGGAGGCCTAGGCGGGTGGATCATGAGGTCAGGAGTTCGAGACCAGCCTGGCCAACGTGGTGAAACCCCTGTCTCTACTAAAACTATAAAAATTAGCTGGGCGTGGTGGTGGGCACCTGTAATCCCAGCTACTCTGGAGGCTGAGGCAGGAGAATCGCTTGAACCCAAGAGGCAGAGGTTGCAGTGAACCGAGATCACACCATTGCACTCCAGCTTAGGCAACAAGAGTGAAACTCTGTCTCAAAAAAATAAATAAATAAATCCAATCACAGCCGCCTTTGACCACATAAGATCCCTTTTCCACAATCCTTTTACAACTTTTTATTTGTTTGTTTTTTGTTTTGTTTTGTTTTTTGTTTTTGTTTTTGTTTTTTTTGAGACAAAGCACTGACCTGGCTGCCGAGCCCCGCCCCCTAGGCTGCAGGGGTGCCTGCAGAAGGGCACCACAGGGCCACCAGTCCTGCAAGCTTTCTGGGGCAGGCCGGGCCTGACTTTGGCTTTGGGGCAGGGAGGGGGCTAAGGTGAGGCAGGTGGCACCAGCCAGGTGCACACTCAATGCCCGTGAGCCCAGACACTGGACCCTGCCTGGACCCTCGCGGATAGACAAGAACCGAGGGGCCTCTGCACCCTGGGCCCAGCTCTGTCCCACACCGCGGTCACATGGCACCACCTCTCTTGCAGCCTCCACCAAGGGCCCATCGGTCTTCCCCCTGGTGCCCTCCTCCAGGAGCGTCTCTGAGGGCACAGCGGCCCTGGGCTGCCTGGTCAAGGACTACTTCCCCGAACCGGTGACGGTGTCGTGGAACTCAGGGGCCCTGACCAGAAGCGTGCACACCTTCCCGGCTGTCCTACAGTCCTCAGGACTCTACTCCCTCAGCAGCGTGGTGACCGTGCCCTCCAGCAGCTTGGGCACCCAGACCTACACCTGCAACGTAGATCACAAGCCCAGCAACACCAAGGTGGACAAGACAGTTGGTGAGAGGCCAGCACAGGGAGGGAGGGTGTCTGCTGGAAGCCAGGCTCAGCCCTCTTGCCTGGACGTACCCCGGCTGTGCAGCCCCAGTCCAGGGCAGCAAGGCAGGCCCCATCTGTCTCCTCACCCGGAGGCCTCTGCCCGCCCCACTCATGCTCAGGGAGAGGGTCTTCTGGCTTTTTCCACCAGGCTCCAGGCAGCCACAGGCTGGAAGCCCCTACCCCAGGCCCTGCGCACAAAGGGGCAGGTGCTGCACTTAGACTGGCCAAGAGCCATATCCGGGAAGACCCTGCCCCTGACCTAAGCCCACCCCAAAGGCCAAGATCTCCACTCCCTCAGCTCAGACACCTCTCCTCCCAGATCTGAGTAACTCCCAATCTTCTCTCTGCAGAGCCCAAAACCCCATGTTGTGACACAACTCACACATGCCCACCATGTGCAAGTAAGCCAGCCCAGGCCTCGCCCTCCAGCTCAAGGCGGGACAGGTGCCCTAGAGTAGCCTGCGTCCAGGGACAGGCCCCAACCGGGTGCTGACACGTCCGCCTCCATCTCTTCCTCAGCAACTGAACCCCTGGGGGGACCGTCAGTCTTCCTCTTCCCCCCAAAACCCAAGGATACCCTCATGATCTCCCGGACCCCTGAGGTCACGTGCGTGGTGGTGGACGTGAGCCACGAAGACCCTGAGGTCAAGTTCAACTGGTACGTGGACGGCGTGGAGGTGCATAATGCCAAGACAAAGCCGTGGGAGGAGCAGTACAACAGCACGTACCATGTGGTCAGCGTCCTCACCGTCGTGCACCAGAACTGGCTGAACGGCAAGGAGTACAAGTGCAAGGTCTCCAACAAAGGCCTCCCAGCCCCCATCGAGAAAACCATCTCCAAAACCAAAGGTGGGACCCACGGAGCGCGAAGGCCACGTGGACAGAGGCCGGCTTGGCCCACCCTCTGCCCTGGGAGTGACCGCTGTACCAACCTCTGTCCCTACAGGGCAGCCCCGAGAACCACAGGTGTACACCCTGCCCCCATCCCAGAAGATGACCAAGAACCAGGTCACCCTGACCTGCCTGGTCAAAGGCTTCTACCCCAGCGACATCGCCGTGGAGTGGGAGAGCAATGGGCAGCCGGAGAACAACTACAAGACCACGCCTCCCATGCTGGACTCCAACGGCTCCTTCTTCCTCTATAGCAAGCTCACCGTGGACAAGAGCAGGTGGCAGCAGGGGAACGTCTTCTCATGCTCCGTGATGCATGAGGGTCTGCAGAACCACTACACGCAGAAGAGCCTCTCCCTGTCCCCGGGGTAAATGAGTGCGACGGCCGGCAAGCCCCCGCTCCCCGGGCTCTCGCGGTCGCACGAGGATGCTTGGCACGTACCCCGTCTACATACTTCCCAGGCACCCAGCATGGAAATAAAGCACCCACCACTGCCCTGGGCCCCTGCGAGACTGTGATGGTTCTTTCCACGGGTCAGGCCGAGTCTGAGGCCTGAGTGGCATGAGGGAGGCAGAGCGGGTCCCACTGTCCCCACACTGGCCCAGGCTGTGCAGGTGTGCCTGGGCCGCCTAGGGTGGGGCTCAGCCAGGGGCTGCCCTCGGCAGGGTGGGGGATTTGCCAGCGTGGCCCTCCCTCCAGCAGCACCTGCCCTGGGCTGAGCCACGAGAAGCCCTAGGAGCCCCTGGGGACAGACACACAGCCCCTGCCTCTGTAGGAGACTGTCCTGTTCTGTGAGCGCCCTGTCCTCCGACCCCCCATGCCCACTCGGGGGCATGCCTAGTCCATGTGCGTAGGGACAGGCCCTCCCTCACCCATCTACCCCCACGGCACTAACCCCTGGCAGCCCTGCCCAGCCTCGCACCCGCATGGGGACACAACCGACTCCGGGGACATGCACTCTCGGGCCCTATGGAGGGACTGGTCCAGATGCCCACACACACACTCAGCCCAGACCCGTTCAACAAACCCCGCACTGAGGTTGGCCGGCCACACGGCCACCACACACACACGTGCACGCCTCACACACGGAGCCTCACCCGGGCGAACTGCACAGCACCCAGACCAGAGCAAGGTCCTCGCACACGTGAACACTCCTCGGACACAGGCCCCTACAAGCCCCATGCGGCACCTCAAGGCCCACGAGCCTCTCGGCAGCTTCTCCACTTGCTGACCAGCTCAGACAAACCCAGTCCTCCTCTCACAAAGTGCCCCTGCAGCCGCCACACACACACAGGGGATCACACACCACGTCACGTCCCTGGCCCTGGCCCACTTCCCAATACAGCCCTTCCCTGCTCCTGGGGTCACATGAGGGGTGGGCTTCATATCTCCTGCCCTCTGGGGCTCAGGGAGGGACACGGGAGACGGGGAGCGGGTCCTGCTGAGGGCCAGGTCGCTATTTAGGGCCGGGTGTCTGGCTGAGCCCCAGGGCCAAAGCCGGTGCCCAGGATGGACAGCTTCCGGGAGCTGACCTCAGGACACTGTTGGGCCATCGAGGCCGGGCCCTACATCCTAGGCCCCGCCACAGAGGGAATCACCCCCAGAGGCCCAAGCCCAGGGGGACACAGCACTGACCACCCCCTTCCTGTCCAGAGCTGCAACTGGAGGAGAGCTGTGCGGAGGCGCAGGACGGGGAGCTGGACGGGCTGTGGACGACCATCACCATCTTCATCACACTCTTCCTGCTAAGCGTGTGCTACAGTGCCACCGTCACCTTCTTCAAGGTCGGCCGCACGTTGTCCCCAGCTGTCCTTGACATTGCCCCCATGCTGTCACACACTGTCCCTGACACTGTCCCCAGGCTGTCCCCACCTGTCCCTGACGCTGTCCCCCACGCTCTCACAAACTGTCCCTCACTCTGTACCCACCTGTCCAACAGTGTCCCCCAGACTGTCTCCACATGTCCCTGACACTATCCCCAACGCTGTCGCCACCTGTCCCTGACACTCCCCAACGCTGTACCCACCTGTCCAACAGTGTCCCCCAGACTGTCTCCACATGTGCCTGACACTATCCCCAATGCTGCACCCACCTGTCCCTGACACTGTCCCCCACACTGTCACAAACTGTCCCTGACACTGTCCCCCACACGTTCCCTGTCCCTGACACTGTCCCCTGTGCTGTCACAAACTGTCACTGACAGTGTCCCCCACACTATCCCCACCTGTCCCTGACGCTGTCCCCCACACTATCCCCACCTGTCCCTGACGCTGTCCCCCACACTATCCCCACCTGTCCCGGACACTATTCCCCACACTGTCCCCACCAGTCCCCAACACTGTACCCCATGCTATCCCCACCTGTCCCCAACACTGTCCCCCACAGTCCCCTCCTGTCCCTGAATGTCCCCCATGCTGTTTCCTCCTGTCCCCTCCTGTCCCGACACTGTCCCCTACACTGTCTTCTCGTCTCCTCCTATCCCTGACACTGTCCCCCACGCTGTCCCCTCCTGTCCCCAACAATGTCCCCCACAGTTTCCTCCTGTACCTCACACTGTCCCCCATGCTGTCTTCTCCTGTCTCCTCCTGTCCCTGACACTGTCCCCCACGCTGTCACCACCTGTCCCCGACACTGTCCCCCATACTGTCCCCACCTGTCCCCGACACTGTCCCCCACGCTGTCCCCTCCTGTCCCCAACACTGTCCCCATGCTGTCTCCTCCTGTCTCTGACACTGTCCCCCACTCTGTCCCCTACAGTCCCTGACACTGTCCCCATGCTTTCCCCTCCTGTATGCAACACTGTCCCCCATGCTGTCTCCTCCTGTCCCTGACACTGTCCCCCATGCTGTCCCCACCTGTCCCACTGTCCCACATGCTGTCCCCACCTGTCCCTGACACTGTCCCCGACACTGTCTCTCATGCTGTCCCCACCCATCTCCGACACTGTACCCCATGCTGTCCCCACCTGTCCTTGACACTGTCCCCCATGCTGTCCCCACCTGTCCCTGATGCTGTCCCCCACACTGTCCCCATCTGTCCCTGACACTCTCCCCAATGCTGTCCCCACCTGTCCCTGACACTGTCCCCCACGCTGTTCCCACCTGTCCCCGACACTGTCCCCCACACTGTCCCCACCTGTCCCAACAATGTCCTCACACTGTCCCCACCTGTCCCGACACTGTCCATGCTGTCCGCACCTCTCCCTGACACTGTCCCCCATGCTGTCCCCACCTCTCCCTGACGCTGTCCCCCACACTGTCCCCTCTCCCTGACACTGTCCCCCACACTGTCCCCACCTTTCCCTGACACTGTCCCCCACGCTGTCCCCACCTCCCCCTGACACTGTCCCCTACACTGTTCCCACCTCTCCCTAACACTGTCCCCCACGCTGTCCCCTCCTGTCCCCAACACTTTCCCCCACGCTGTCCCCACCAGTCCCCAACACTGTACACCATGCTTTCCCCACCTGTCCCCAACACTGTCCCCCACACTGTCCCCTCCTGTCCCCAAAAATGTCCCCCACACTGTTTCCTCCTGTCCCCAACACTGTCCACCACTCTGTCTCCTCCTGTCCCTGACACTGTCCCCCACTCTGTCCCCACCTGTCCCCAACACTATCCCCCACACTGTCTCCACCTGTCCCTGACGCTGTCTTCTGTACTGCCCACATGCTGTTGGTGCCCTGGCTCTGCTCTCCATGTCCAGGCCTCAGAGCAGGCAGTGGTGAGGCCCTGGCACCTGGGTGGACTGAAGGGCGGATGGGCCTCAGGGGCAGGGCTGTGGCCTGGGTGGCATGAGGGGTGGGTGGACCTTGGGGGAAGAGATGTGGCCCTCAGTGCCCTGAGGGGTGGGTGGGGCTCGGGGACAGGGCTGTGGCCTCGCTCACCCCTGTGCTGTGCCTTGCCTACAGGTGAAGTGGATCTTCTCCTCGGTGGTGGACCTGAAGCAGACCATCGTCCCCGACTACAGGAACATGATCGGGCAGGGGGCCTAGGGCCACCCTCTGCGGGGTGTCCAGGGCCGCCCAGACCCCACACACGAGCCGTGGGCCATGCTCAGCCACCACCCAGGCCACACCTGCCCCCGACCTCACCGCCCTGAACCCCATGGCTCTCTGGCCTCGAAGTCACCTTCTGACCCCTGACACGCCCCCCTTCCAGACCCTGTGCATAGCAGGTCTACCCCAGACCTCCGCTGCTTGATGCATGCAGGGCGCTGGGGGCCAGGTGTCCCCTCAGCAGGACGTCCCTGCCCTCCAGACCACCAGGTGCTCACACAAAAGGAGTCAGTGACCGGCATCCCAGGCCCCCACCCAGGCAGGACCTCGCCCTGGAGCCAACCCCGTCCACACCAGCCTCCTGAACACAGGCGTGGTTTCCAGTTGGTGAGTGGGAAAATCAGCCGCCAAGGTAGGGAAGCCACAGCACCATCAGGCCCTGTTGGGGAGGCTTCCAAGAGCTGCGAAGGCTCACTCAGACGGCCTTCCTCCCAGCCCGCAGCCAGCCAGCCTCCATTCCGGGCACTCCCGTGAACTCCTGACATGAGGAATGAGGTTGTTCTGATTTCAAGCAAAGAACGCTGCTCTCTGGCTCCTGAGAACAGTCTCGGTGCCAGCACCACCCCTTGGCTGCCTGCCCACACTGCTGGATTCTCGGGTGGAACTCGACCCGCAGGGACAGCCAGCCCCAGAGTCCGCACTGGGGAGAGAAGGGGCCAGGCCCAGGACACTGCCACCTCCCACCCACTCCAGTCCACCGAGATCACTCAGAGAAGAGCCTGGGCCATGTGGCCGCTGCAGGAGCCCCACAGTGCAAGGGTGAGGATAGCCCAAGGAAGGGCTGGGCATCTGCCCAGACAGGCCTCCCAGAGAAGGCTGGTGACCAGGTCCCAGGCGGGCAAGACTCAGCCTTGGTGGGGCCTGAGGACAGAGGAGGCCCAGGAGCATCGGGGAGAGAGGTGGAGGGACACCGGGAGAGCCAGGAGCGTGGACACAGCCAGAACTCATCACAGAGGCTGGCGTCCAGTCCCGGGTCACGTGCAGCAGGAACAAGCAGCCACTCTGGGGGCACCAGGTGGAGAGGCAAGACGCCAAAGAGGGTGCCCGTGTTCTTGCGAAAGCAGGGCTGCTGGCCACGAGTGCTGGACAGAGGCCCCCACGCTCTGCTGCCCCCATCACGCCGTTCCGTGACTGTCACGCAGAATCCGCAGACAGGAAGGGAGACTCGAGCGGGAGTGCGGCCAGCGCCTGCCTCAGCCGTCAGGGAGGACTCCCGGGCTCACTCGAAGGAGGTGCCACCATTTCAGCTTTGGTAGCTTTTCTTCTTTTAAATTTTCTAAAGTTCATTAATTGTCTTTGATGTTTCTTTTGTGATGACAATAAAATATCCTTTTTAAGTCTTGTACTTCGTGATGGGAGCCGCCTTCCTGTGTCCACGTGCCTCCTGCCCCCGGTGGGAAACACGGTCAGGAGGAGGCTGGTCCAGCTGCACCTCGGGGGCTCCCTGCACACGCCCCCCGCCTCCTGCAGCCACACGCATTGCCCGAGCGACCCTCCCTGGCCCCTGTCGCTACATGGACCCCCGGGGCTTCTCCTCTTTTCTACATGGATGCAGTTTCTCCTCCTGCTGGGCACGGTGCTGCCTGCCCTGGTCACTCTGCGGGGGACAGGGCCTCCAGGGAAAGCTGGGTCGAGGCTGGGAGCTGGCTCAGGCTGGCCAGGCAGAGCCACAGGGAGGGCCTTCCAGAACCAACCATGGTCCGAAGCGAGAGGTGGGTGTCAGATCTGTGTGAGTCAGCTCAGGACCACAGCGGGGCGGCTCCCACGGCAGACATGGATCCTCCCAGGCCTAGAGACCAGGAATCTGAGATCAGGATGCAGGCAGGGCTGGTTTCTCTCAAGCCCTCTCTCCTTGGCTTGTAGACACCGTCTCCTCCCTGGTCCTCACGTGGCCATCCCTCTGTGTGCCCGTGTCCTAAGCTTCTCTTCTTAGAACACACATCGGATTAGATTAGTGACCCCCTATGAACTTAATGACCTCTGTAAAGACCCCATCTCCAAATAGTCACATTGTGAGGCCAGGGATTAAGACTTGAATATATGAATTTGTAGGGGCCACAATTTAACCCATCACAGTCCAGACTCTGGGCCCCAAAATTCATGTTCTTCTCACATGCAGAATACATTCATCCTGTCTCAGCATCCCCCTGGGCACTAGGTCATGTAGCAAGGACAGATTTTCAACAGAAATAACTATTGCAACAGAAGAAAGAGTCCGGCATGACCTGGACTCACCTTCATCTGTGCAGAGGCCACAGCCTTGTAAAGGGAGGTGGTAGGGGGAGCAGGGAGGGTGCTCGGGGCTCAGTCTTCGGGGAAGGGAAAAGTTGCCCAGCGCTGGTCAGCGTCCCCGGGATGGGACCCGCTGTGTCCGTGCCGGCCACTGTTGAGGTCAGGATTCTGTCCTCCCAGAGCCTGGAGACACAGGCCCCATCCTTCCCAATGGGGACACTTCAGGGAGCGGCTCTCAAGTCTTGAGAAAGACCCTCCTGGGTCACAGGAAATGCACAGACATCGGGAACGGATAGAAGGTCGTGTGGTTGCGGCCCTCTCAGCAGATACCCTGAGAAAGGGAGGTCGGGGTTGGTCCAAACGGTGAGTTCTGGTGCACGGAGCTTTCTCAGGCAGGTGTTGACGGGGCAGGGGTCGGCCTAGGGGTACGGCCAGAAGCTGTTAGAAACTGTTAGTGTCTGCTCAAGTCTTTACAAGCCAAGGTTGAGGCCGAGTGGAGAGGCTCCGAGGAGCCTGGCTGGAACTCAGTCAAGGACAGGGTCTTGTTACTGCAGTGGCTGCGGTGGCTGCGGTGGCTGGAAAATGCCGTCGGAGTTGCCTGTGGCAGGAGAGAGACCATCTCACCCAGGAAGGAGGAGTGGTTGGATTCGTTTGTGTGGCATCGAGCAGCTGGAGCTGCACCAGAGTTGGGGGTGAAATCCCCAGAGCCCGGACCCTGCTGTGCCGTGGGAGGGCTCGCCGCTGGAGGGTGGGCTTCAGGGTGCCTGGCCTGAACTGGGTGCTGAAGCCCAGCCCTTTAACTCTCAGGACACGCTGCTGCAGCCCCGCGGGGGGTGAGGGAGAGAGCACCTGGGGTGCAGGGCGGGCAGCAGCTGCATCACCGGCTCTATCCCAAGCCCAAGGATGGCCCCTCCCTGAAGCACCCAGGCCCCACCTCCCCCTTTCCACCTGGAACCGAGCATCCTCCAGAGGGCCAGTCCTCCTGCAGGAACACCACGCCCAGCCCCAGGACCCTCCCTCAACTCTCCAGCAAGGCTGCCTCCACGCACCCCCTAGCAGTCCATGCTGTGATGTAACATGACATGGTGTGATGTGGTGTGATATCCATGGTGTGCCAGGGTGTAATGTGTGATGTGACAGGACATGGTGTGATGTGGTATGACAGAGTGTGACATCCCTGGTGTGACATGGTGTGATGTGGTGTGATGTGATGTGACATGGTTGGACATGGTGTGATGTGGTGTGACATAGTGGGATGGGGCATGACATCCCTAGTATGATAGGATATGATATGGTGTGATGTGGTATGGTGTGACATGGTGGGACATCCTGTGACAGAGTGTGACACCCCTGGTGTGATGTGGTGTGACGTAGTGTGATGTGATATGACCTGATGTGATGCGGTGTGACATCCCTGGTGTGATGGGGTATGATATCATTTAACGGGTGTGATGTGATGTGATGTGATGGAGTGTGACATCTCTGGTGTGACATGTGTGATGTGGTGTGACAGAGTGTCACATCGTTGGTGTGATGTAATGCAGTGTGACATGGTGTGATGTGGCATGATGGGGTGTGACAGGGTTCGACCTCCCTCATGTGATGAGGAGTTGCATGGTGTGATGTGGTATGACATGGTGTAATGTCCCTTCTGTGATGTGGTGTTGGGCTACAAGGTTGGACATGGTGTGATGTGGTGTTACATCCCTGGTGTGATGCAGTGTGACATAGTATTATATGGTATGACATCCCTGGTATGATGGGGCATAATATGGTTTGATGTGGAATGGTGTGACATGATGTGATGTAATGGGACAAGGTGTGACATCCCTAGTGTGATGTGGTGTGATGAAGTGTAACAGGCTGTGACATAGTGTGGTGTGGTGTGGTGTGACATGATGTGATGTGGTTTGGCATAATGTGACGTGTTCTGATGGGGCGTGACGCCCCTGGTGTGATGGGGTGTGATGTTGTGTGGCATTATGTGAAGTGGTGTGATGACGGGTGACATCCACGGTGTGATGGGGTGTGATGTGGTGTGATGTGGCATGACATAAGGTGATGTGGCATAACATCCCTGGTGTGATGGGGTGTGATGTGGTGTGACACAATTTGATGTGGTGTATTGTGGTGTGACATAATGTGATGTGGCATAACATCCCTGGGGTAATGGGGTATGATGTAGTTTGACATGGCGTGACGTAATGTGATGTGGTGTGATGGGGTGTGACAACTCTGGTGGGGTGGGGTGTGATGAAGTGTGGTGTGACATGATGTGATGTCTGATGTGCTGTGTCAGGGTGTCACATACTTGGTGTGATGTGATGCGGTGTGACACAGTGTGATGTGGCATGATGGGGTGTGACCTGGTACGACATCCCCAGTGTGATGAGGAGTTACATAGTGTGATGTGGTGTGACATCCCTGGTGTGACATAGTGTGATATGGTGTGATGAAGGGAACCCCTGGCTTATAGAGGTGTAAAATAGGTCAAAGGAAATAAAAGATGCAGAGCTCAATAGAATGAAATAACCTGGAAGAGGGTACAAGACGATGCCTTGCTTTCCATGGAAGGCACCTACTAATCTTTTGTTTTTCTCAATGTTTCCTATAAACATATATAACTGACTGACACAAACAGATCCATAATATAAAGAAGACCCCTGTAAACCAACGAGAAAAAAAATCAAATAATTCAACAAGGAATAGGCAAAAGAATTGAACAGATGTTTTACAGAAGATATCCAAATAGCCGCTAAACATATGAAAAGGTGTTGAACCACACTAGTCAACAGGGAAATGAAAATGAAAAACCACATGAGAGAAAGTAGTTCTGATTCCAGTAATGCTGGAGCAGCTAATATCAGACTAGCCCTTTGGCAGATGGCAATTATAAACACTGGAAAAGCTGTAAGCACACACAACACCCACACACACCAATTGCAGGCACTGGAACATGACCAGAAGTAGGCAAACACTAGTAAGGATTATTCCCGGAAATATTGGTCTGAAGTCACACCCCAGGGCATGTAATGGGTGCAGCTAGAGTTCAAGCAGGAAACTGCAGCCCTCCTGGTGAGGAGTGGGATGCAGGGCTGCATTTTCAGAGCAGCTGGAAATGAAGAGAAGATGTCCATAAAGGAGAAGGTCACCAAAGGGAAACCCCACAATCTGCAAGTAAACTCCACTGAAACCTCTGGCCGATCCCTTAGGTGTGCATGGGTAGGGAAAACTCCAAAGGGCCCAGCAGAAAGCAGCACCTGTAAGGTCGAGAGAACTGAGATTCCAGCTACTGCCAACTGCCAGGCAGACAGACTTGGGAGTTTGAGTCAACTCAAGCTGTTTCCTAACATTGAAAAAAACAATCAATGCCCTGCCAAGGAAGAACGCAAAACCCATAGCCTGTACCACATGTTATCAACAACATCAGGTGCACATCCAAAATTACCATATATGCAAAGAAACATGAAAATGTGATCCATAGTCAGAAGAAAAAGGGATCAATGGAGATCAACTCCAAGATGACCTAGATGCAGACCCAGTTTTCACACAAGGACTTTAAAGAAGTCATGTTAAATATGTTCAAAGACTTAAAGGACAATATGGTTATAATGAGTGACTAGATGGGGAATCTCTGTAAGAAAGGGAAAATATTAACAAGAACCAAATGAAAATTCTAGAACTAAAAGTATGATTCTGAAATGAAAAACATCATTTGGCCAGGCACAGTGGCCCATGCCTGTTATCCTAGCACTTTGGGAGGCCAAGAAGGAAGGATCACTTGATCCCAGGAGTTTGAGACCAGCCTGGGCAACATGGAGAAATCCCATCTCTATTTTATTAAAAAAGAAAAGAAATAGAAAAACATTACTCAAGTTTCATAACAGAATGGAGCAGACATGAGAAGGAACTGAAAACTTAAAGATGCATCAATAGACTATGTCAATTATTTTTAATCTAATGCAAAGAAGAGAGAGAAAAATACTAAAAATGAAAAGAGACTCATCCTGCTGGACAAGGCGAAGCATTCTAAAACATGTGAAACTGGAGTCCAGAGGGGGATGTAATACTTCCATGGGAAAGGTCAACCCTAAGCTATATGCAAATGTACCTGCGTAGGCTGGTGTGCTGGGTTGATGGCATCTCCCTGGCCAAATGTATGCCCACCTGGAACCTCAGAATGTGACCATATTTAGAAATAGGGTCTTTACAAATTAGTTTAAGGACTTGAGATGATATCATACTAAATTTTCGATGGGTCCCAAATCCAAAGACTGGTGTCCTCATGAGAGGAGAGGACACAGACACACATGGAAGTAGCCAGATGATGACAAAGGAGAAGATGAGGGGTGTGTCAGGAGCCACCTGTGTTTGTCCCTTTGCATTACTGTAAAGAAATACATGAGGCTGGGTAACTTATAAAGGAAAGAGATTGAATTAGCTCACAGTTCTGCAGGCTTTATAGGAAGCATGGCATCAGCATCTGCTTCTGGCGAGGACCTCAGGAAACTTACAATCATAGCAGAAGGTGAAGGGAGAGCAGGTATGCCACATGGCAAGAATGGGAGCAAGAGGCTGAGGGGGGGCCCAGACTTAAACAACTAGACTGTGTGTGAGCTGACTGGGGGAGAATTCACTCATCACCAAGGGGAAGATGCTCAATCATTCATGAGGGATCTGCCCCCTTGATCTAATCACCTCCTAGTGGCCCCACTTCCAACACTGGGAATCATATTACAACATGAGATTTGGAGGGGACAAATATATAAACCATATCCTTCCACCCCTGGTCCCCCAAATCTCATGTCCTTCTCATGTTGCAAAATACAATCATGCCTTCTCAACAGTCCCCCAAAGTCTTACCTCATTCCAGAATCAACAAAAAATTCCCAAGTCCCAAGTCTCATCTGAAGATGAGTCCCTTCCACCTATCAGCCTAGGAAATCAAAGACAAATTGACTCCCAAAATACAATGAGAGTGCAGACATTGGGTAAACATTCCCATTCCACAAGGGAGAAGTTGGCAAAAAGAAAGGATCTACATGCCCCATACACGTCAGAAATCCAGCAGGGCAGTTATTAAATCTTAAAGCTCCAAGGTAATCTCCTTTGACTTCATGTCCCATATCCAGGGCACACTGGTGCAGGGGGTGGGCTCCCAAAGCCTTGGACAACTCTACCCCTGTGGCTTTGGAGGATGTAGCCCCTGTGGCTTCTCTCACACGATAGAGTTGAGTGCCTGTGGCTTTTCCAGATTCAGGGTGCAAACTGCCAGTGGATCTACCATTCTGGGGTCTGGAGGACAGTGGCCCCCTTCCCACAGCTCCACTAGGCAGTGCCCTGGTGGGGACATTATATGGGGGTTCAACCCCACATTCTCTTTGGCACTGCTCTAGTAGAGGTTCTCTGTGAGGGCTCCATGCTGGCAGGAGGCTTCTCTCTGGGCACCTAGGGTTTCTCATACATTTCTGAAATCTAGAGTGAAGATGCCAAGCCTCCTTCACTCTTGCATTCTGGGGGCCTACAGGCTTAACACCAGATGGAAGTTCCCAAGGCTTATAGTGGCTTGCACTCTCCAAAGAAGCAGCCTAAGCTGTACTTGGGGCCCTTTGAGCCAAGGCTGGAGCCAGAGGAACCAGGATGTGGAGAGCAGTGTCCCAAGGCTGCACAGGCAGCAGTGGCCATGGGCATGGCCCACAAAACCATCCTTTCCCTCTTGGCCTCTGGGCCTGTTATGGGAAAGACCACCTCAGAGATTTCCGAAAGGCCTTCAAGGCCTTTTTCCCTTTGTTCTGGATATGAGCACTTAGCTCCCTTTTAGTTATGCTAATCTCTCTAGCAACTGGCTGCTCCATAGCCTACTTATATTTGTCTCCTGAAAATACCTTTTCTTTTCTACCACATGGCCAGGCTGTGAATTTTCCACATTTTTTATGCTCTGCTTCCCTTTGTTGATGAAAAAAGCCAAACTCCATAAAACACTTGACGAGATTGATTCTGAGCCACATGTGAGAGCCATGAACTGTGGCACAGCCTCAAAAGGTCCTGAGAACACCTGTGCAAGGTGGTTGGGTTGCGGCCTGCTTTTATGTTTTAGGGAGACATATCAATCAATACATGTAAAGTATACATTGGTTTGGTTTGGTTTGGAAAAGCAGGACAATTCAAAGTGGGGAATTCCAAATCATAGGTGGATTTGAAGATTTTCTGATTGGCAATTGGCTGAAAAAGTTAAATTATCTAAAAAGTTGAAGTCAGCAAAAAGCAATGCTTAAGATAAGGGGGTTGTGGAAGCCAAGTTTCTTGTTATGTAGATGAAGCCTCCACGTTCCAGAGAGAAGAGATGGTCAATGTCTCTTATCAGAACCTAAAAGGTGCCAGACTCTTGGATAAATCTCTCCTGAATCAGGAAGAGACCTGGAAAGGGAAAAAGATTCTCAACAGAATATACATTTCCTCCACAAGAGACGGCTTTGCAGGGCCCTTCCAAAATGTGTCAGAGAAATATATTCTGGCATAAAATACTTTAATTTCCTTCCATGCCTGCCACCTGTCATGTGATGCTATACCAGAATCAGGTTGGGATTTGATATCTTATTGCTACAAAGAGTCTGCTTTGTCAGTCTTAAGCTCCCTGTTTTAATGTTAACACTGGTCAGCTGAGCCTAAGCTCCAACAGGGAGAGGGTATAGTGAGGGAGTCCAAACCACCCTCCCCTTCCTGTCATGGCCTGAACTGGTTTTCCAGGTTTCTTTGGAATCCCCTTGGATTAGCATTTTATTTTGTCGTTTACACCTTTTAAATATAAGTTCCAACTTTAAGTCATTTCTTTGCTCCCATATCTTACCATAGACTGTTAGAAGCAACCAGGTCACACCTTAGAAACATCTGCTTAGAAATGTCTTCCACAGATGCCCTAAGTCATCACTCTTAAGGTCAACCTTCCACAGATCCCTAGGGCATGAACACAATGCAGCCAAGTTGTTTCTTAGGATTTAACAAGCGTGACCTTTACACCAGTTCCCAATAAGTTTCTCATTTCCATCTGAGATTTCATCAGCCTGGCTTTCACAGTCCATATGTCTATCAGCATTTTGGTGACAACCATTTAATAGTCTCTAAGAAATTCCAAACTTTCCCTCATCTTCCTGTCTTCTTCTGAGTCCTCCAAATTCTTCTAACCTCTCTGCCTGTTACCTGATTCCAAAGCTGCTTCCACATTTTCAGGTATCCTTATAGCAATGTTCCACTCCTCAATACCAATGTTCTGAGTTAGTCTATTTGTGTTACTAGAAAAAAAAAAAAAACATGAATCTGGTAATTTATAAAGAAAAGAGGTTTGCACCAGGCACTGTGGCAAGGAAGGGAGGATTAACTAGCTCACAGTTCTGCAGCCATTCCGGAAACACGGCCCTGGCATCTGCTTCTGGCGAGGCCTCAGGGAGATTGCAATCACGGCAGAAGGCGAAGGGGGAGCAGGCATGTCACATGGCAAGAGGGAGCAAGAGAAGAGAAGTGGCACGTCCTAGACTTTTAAACAACCAGCTGTCACAGGGACTAACTGAGGGAGAACTCACTCATCACCTGGGAGATGGTGCTAGGCCATTCATGAGGGGTCCAGCCCCATGATCTAATCACCTCCCACCAGGCCCACCTCCAACACTGGGAATCACATCTCAACATGAAATTTGGAGAGACACACATCCAAACTATTGCACCACAGGAAGCTGGAAGAGGTGGACGGTCCTCCCCTGGAGCACTCAGAGACAGCCACCAACACCTTGATCTCAGATTCCTGACTCCCAGAACTCTGAAAAAATTTTTGTTGTTTTAAGCCACATTTGTGATATTTTGTTACGGCAGCCACAGCACGGATATAGCTGGTAACAGAGTTCTTTAGCCTCCAAAATACAAGCCTGGGGTAAATAACTATTGAATTTGGCCACATGGAAATCAGGAAGAATGTAATAAGCATCATCGATGGACGGGATGACCTGGGAGATCGTGGCAAGTTTAAAGCTAATTGGAAGTTGGCAACCAAAAAATCCTGTCTTGCAAATTGCCAGGAAATTGCCAAGAAAACTTTTAGAAAACATGGTTAAAGATGGAGAAACCTGGATGAATCCCTGGTTTCTGAAGAGGTGCTTAGGCATTGAAGTGAGACTGATGAGACTTCACACTGTACCTTCAGAAGGGCAGACACTCACGAGATCATCAACCACGGCTCCCTCGCTGGGAGGCAGACACAGAGCTGGAGGCGGCGGCCACAAACTAGGTGGGCAGAGAGGCGTCAGCATCGGGACTTGCGGGAGGCCCTGGGAAGGAACAGGCAGCGGTGGGGCCTGGACAGCCCTGGGGAAAGGAAGTTACTTGGAGGAGACCAGGGGCTTGCATTTGGGCCAAAACCAAGGACAAGAGATCAGCTGGTCCCAGGGAACTCTGGAGCCCAGCACCCCACCACGGGTGCAGGGTCCTGACAACCCGAGAGGGCTGTGGGCACCGGGCACCAGCCTGTGGGGATTCTGAAGGCTGCTGCCCAGCCACACGTCCCGGTTCTGAACAAAGGGTTCAAGAGACACCTGCAAACCTACCTTTCTGAGAGCAGCCTCTTAGCCTCAGCTGGTATTGGCCTTTGGTCACCCCACATGCCCCGACAGTGGGGCCTGGCCTCAGAAAGGGGCCCCTCCATTTGTACTTTCTATCTGATCCTTGACACAGTGCTAACACCAAAGACCAAACCCGAATCTTGGTTCACATACTCTGCAAAGAAATGACTAAGACTAGTTCTTCCGGAGGTCAGTTTTAGAACGTTTATTCTGACTTAATTCTGCCTTATCTCTGTGCACCAAGAAAACTATCTGCACATCTGTAGTAAAATGTGAAGGTACCTTCATTTTGTTTGTATACTAAACTTTTAAGAAATACCTCACTTTTTAAAACTTGGTTTTGTGTTTTGTATGCTTATAATATTTTCCATAATAGATCATTTTAATGATGAACTCTGAGTCTTCTGACAGAATGCAGATCAATGGATTCCTAGCCATCAGGGAGGCGTTGATTGCAAAGGGGCCTGGTGGAATTTTTGGAGAGATTCTACATCTTCTTGCAACTGTTCATCTGGATTACGGTGGTGGTTGCATGACTGTGCATTTGTTGAAACTTACATGTCACAGGATGGATTATACTGAATGTAAACTACACTTGAGTAAATATGACTTTTAAAACTTTAAAAAGTTGGGGGATGGTTCACTGCCCCGGCTCGAAGCCCCCTGGCCACGCTGCCTGGCCAGCCCACCCCCATCCCTGCCAGCGCTTGCCTCCAGCGTCCCAACAGCCTCCTGACCCCCTGGGCTGCTCTAAACCCTCAGGAGCGCAGCCATCCGGGATCAGCTGGATGGAGATGGGGAGCCCGAGACTCGTGCCACACCACGTCCTCCCGCCCACACCAGCCACACGCAGACGTCAAAGCAGCACTGTCCTCGCACGCACTGCTCCCACCCACCCTGGCACGGCCATTCCAGGCCTGGGGCAGGAAGGCAGATGCTCCCCCTGCCCCCAGACACAAGCATTCCTGCACACACCCCCAGCACACACACGCACTCCCATGCGCACACTGACACACACAGGTGTGTGCAGCTGAGACACAGCCCGTTCCCAGGAAGCCCAGCCCCCATCACTGAGGGAAAGGGGCAGCACCGTAGGGCCACAGGAGTGGCAGCTGGACACAGAGCCAGGAGCTGGTGAAGGCCCAGGCCACTGAGGCGGGCTGCCGGCATGGCTGGGCGTGAAGGCCAGAAGAGGGCAGGAGGGGCTGGGGGCACTATGCCTATTGGGCCTAGGTGGGCACACGCCGGGCAGGAGAGGAACAGCCCAGCCCCTCAGACAGGAAGGGGTGGGGGCAGGGGCCATTTGTGGAGGCCAGGGCAGGGCCAGCACCCCAAGGAAAAGCAGAGCAGGGTGAGAACGGACATGGGGCTCAGAGCTGAGCAGGCCTGCTGGGCCCCAGGAGGGAGACACAGATGACCGGAGATCTCAAGGCTGGCAGAGGCCAGAGATGGAGCCCCAGCTGGGAAGCCATCCTCCTTCCTGGGGGCCCACGCTGCCCGGCCCCTCCAGCCCAGCAAGCTTGGGGCATTGGATAGAACCGGGAGAGAGCCGACCAGGCACTGAGGCCCCTGCCCCAAATGCCCACAGCCTGGGGAAAATGAGCAGGTACATGGGAGGGGCAAGTGGAGCCCCAGGCACACCCACACAGTGCACACGGCCTCACCTGGGCCGGAGGGGGCAGGAGGCTCGCCACCCCGCTGTGGTTTCTCTCCTAATCTCACCCTGGGTTTCTCTCACACTTGATGCAGATGATGTTTCTCTGACATTGTGGACTAAGAGTTGGTGCTGGAAGGGGTTAGCCATCTTGGAGATGTTGCTATGGGATGCAGGGATTTTGCGTGTGAGAAGGACATGATTATGGGGGGAACGGAGGGCAAACTGTCATGGGTTAAAATGTGTCCCCTATAAATTCATGTGTTGAAGTCCTAACCCCCAGGACCGCAGAATGTGACCTTGTCTGGAAACAGTCTTTGCAGCTGCAATCAAGTTCAGATGAGGTCACCCTGGAGTAGGGCAAGCCTCTGATCCAATATGACTGCTGTCCTCATGAAAAGGGGGAATCTGGGCACAGACAGCACGTGGGGAGAACGCCCTGTGAAGATGGTGCTGCTTCCATAAGCCAAGAGCACCAGAGACGGCCGGCAAAGCCCAGCAGCAAGGAGAGAGCCTGGGACAGAGTCTCCCATGACACAGAGGAGCCAGCCCCACCGAGGCCTCCATCCCAGATGCCCGGCCTCCAGAACCAGGACGGAATAAACGTCTGTTGTTTAAGCCACGCAGTCTGGGGTGCAGTGTTGCCAGGGCCACAGTTAACGGATACGAGTGTTGTCCTGAGCTGCCAGCCCCACAGGCTGCACGAGGCCTCCCTGCCCCAGCCCAGTGCAGACTCCCCAGCCCCCTGGGTGTGCCATGGGCAGTGGGGGGCCCCTCACTCCGTCCTCCCCCAGCCTGGGAGGTTGAGCCCATTATGAGCTCCATGGGGTGAAGCTGGAACGAGAGGCTGGGAGCCGACTGGGAGCCTGCGGCTGGAGGATGGATTTCCCCAGGGACCCACACGTGCACCTCCACCTGTCTCCTGGACATTCTCTCTGAGGGCAGGGCTGGTGCCAGCTCAGGGATCCAGCAGGGTCACAAGGGCAGGCCGGGTCCTTGTGGAGAGCACATTTAGTGGGAGGGACATGATTTCCCTTCAAAGTGCCCATTCTGGACGCTTCCCGTTCCATGCTGGACGCTTCCTCTTCCACGCTGGATGCTTCCTGTTCCACGCTGGATGCTTCCTGTTCCACGCTGGATGTTTCCTGTTACACTCTGGATGCTTCCTGTTCCACACTGGATGCTTCCTGTTCCATCCTGGATGCTTCCTGTTCCATGCTGGACATTTCCTGTTCCACTCTGGATGCTCCCTGTTCCATGCTGGATGCTTCCTGTTCCATGCTGGATGCTTCCTGTTCCATGCTGGACATTTCCTGTTCCACTCTGCATGCTTCCTGTTCCACTCTGGATGCTTCCTGTTCCACACTGGACGCTTCCTGCTCCACGCTGGACGCTTCCTGTTCCATGCTGGATGCTTCCCGTTACATTCTGGATGCTTCCCGTTCCATGCTGGACGCTTCCTGTTCCACGCTGGACGTTTCTTGTTCCACTCTGGATGCTTCCTGTTCCACGCTGGATGCTTCCTTTTCCACGCTGGACACTTCCTGTTCCGCGCTGGACACTTCCTGCTCCACACTGGACGCTTCCTGCTCCAGGCTGGACGCTTCCTGTTCCATGCTGGATGCTTCCTGTTACATTCTGGATGCTTCCCGTTCCATGCTGGACGCTTCCTGTTCCACGCTGGACGTTTCTTGTTCCACTCTGGATGCTTCCTGTTCCACGCTGGACGCTTCCCATTCCACTCTGGATGCTTCCTGTTCCATGCTGGACATTTCTTGTTCCACTCTGGATGCTTCCTGTTCCATGCTGGATGCTTCCTGTTCCATGCTGGATGCTTCCTGTTCCATGCTGGACGTTTCTTGTTCCACTCTGGATGCTTCCTGTTACATGCTGGATGCTTCCTGTTCCATGCTGGACGTTTCTTGTTCCACTCTGGATGCTTCCTGTTCCATGCTGGATGCTTCCTGTTACATTCTGGATGCTTCCTGTTCCATGCTGGACATTTCCTGTTCCACTCTGGATGCTTCCTGTTACATTCTTGATGCTTCCTGTTCCATGCTGGACATTTCCTGTTCCACTCTGGATGCTTCCTGTTACATTCTGGATGCTTCCTGTTCCATGCTGGACATTTCCTGTTCCACTCTGGATGCTTCCTGTTACATTCTGGATGCTTCCTGTTCCATGCTGGACATTTCCTGTTCCACTCTGGATGCTTCCTGTTACATTCTTGATGCTTCCTGTTCCATGCTGGACATTTCCTGTTCCACTCTGGATGCTTCCTGTTACATTCTGGATGCTTCCTGTTCCACTCTGGACGCTTCCCATTCCACTCTGGATGCTTCCTTTTCCATGCTGGACCTTTCTTGTTCCACTCTGGATGCTTCCTGTTCCATGCTGGATGCTTCCTTTTCCATTCCGGACACTTCCTATTCCATTCTGGACACTTCCTGTGCGACACCTCCTCGGGCTTTTGGTCTGCCCAGTCCCTCTGGCCTCATACCATCCCCCCTTACCTCCCACTTCCACGTTCGTCCTTCCTCAGCTCCTCCCTCTCTCTAGAGCTTCGGCCTGGCAAGGTCCCTCCTGATCTCAGTCCAGGCTCCCCCAGCACAGGTAGGAGACTTGCACCTGCCCTTGGACCTCCCCACCCTGCATGATGCCAGCATCCCCCAGGCCCCAGGGAGGCCCCATTTCTCTCTCTGCTTGTAGTCCAGTGGCCCTGGAGTGCCACTGCAACTCGGGTGTGCCCCTCGCCTCTGAGGAAGCTAAGTGCCCTAAGCTAAGCAGAGGCCATCCCCTCTGCTCAGCCCCAGGGCCCTGCCCCCTACCCCTTCCCCTCACCTGCACCACAGGCTCTGGCCAACTCTGCCCAGGCTCTGAATGGGCCCCTCTGGCTCCCCTCTGCTGCTACACTGCCCTGCACCACCTCCACTCAGCTTCAGTGTGTTCATCCACCTGTCCCACGTCCCCTCGGCCCCCAGGAGCACAGCTGGTGGCCCTGGCTCCTGGCAGCCCATCTTGTTCCTTCTGGAGCACCAGCCTCAGAAGCCTTCCTGTGCAGGGTCCACTCGGCCAGCCCTGGGACCCTCCTGGTCTCAAGCACACACATTCTCCCTGCAGCCAGACCTGCCCCTGCCTGTGAGCTCAGACCTGAGCCTTGGAACGCCTTCCCTTCTCCATCCCAGCTCGCCTTTGCCAGCTGCTCAGCGGGATGAACTCACACTCCCCTCCCTGCACCATGAGTGAGAGCCAGCTGGAGAGACGCCCAGGCCAAAGCAGCCACCAGGGCCCAGTGGGGGTCAGAAGCTTCAGGTGAGAGGCCCAGGTATTGAGAGGCTGAGACCACGGGCAGAATGGTCATAATCACTGCCAGTATCAGTCCAGCCCCAGGGACTCAGAGACAGAGAAAAGAGCAGTGAACAAGGTCCGGGCTCCCCACCTTCTCCCACGAGTATGGGGGCAGCCACCACCCCCATCCCCACACACCCATGAGGCAGCCTCGGCTGTGTCTGGACTCCCCCTTACCCTGTGACACAGAAACCACCAGAAGAAAAGGGAACTTCAGGAAGTAAGCGGTGCCGCCGGTTTCAATCCTGTTCTTAGTCTTTGCAGCGTGGAGTTCACACCCCTGGGGACCTGAGGGCCGAGCTGTGATTTCCTAGGAAGACAAATAGCAGCTGACGGCGTGGGCAAGTCTGCCCACATGTACCGCGCCAAAACAGGAAGGGCTGAGACCCCCACCTCGGTGAGTAGGGTCAGCACAGGGCAAGGGCACAGGCTCGGGAGGAGAAGGACAGAGCCTGGGTGCAGCCGTGGGCGCTCCTGGACCTCAGCTGCTGAACAGGCTACAAGAGGCTGGGGAGACGTGGGGGCAAGGCCAGCCCCACATGGAGACCCAAGCGGAGCCAGCACGGGGGAGGTGGGCAGCCTTCAGGCACCAACGCCCACCCAGTGCAAGATGACGGGGACCGTGGGCAGGGGCTTCCAAGCCAACAGGGCAGGACACACCAGAGGCTGACTGAGGCCTCCATGACGACCAGGCTGGGAGCACGAGGAACCTGACGGGATGCGGCAGAGCCGGCCGTGGGGTGATGCCAGCATGGGCAGGACCCACCTGAGCTGAGGAGGCAGTAGAACGAGGGAGGAGGAGAGGCCCCAGGTGAACGGAGGGGCTTGTCCAGGCCAGCAGCATCACTGGAGCCCAGGGCAGGGTCAGCAGTGCTGGCCGTGGGGCCCTCTCTCAGCCAGGACCAAGGACAGCAGGTGAGCCGGGAGCAGAGCAGGGAGGGTGAGTGTGGCAGCAGGACAGGAGGGTGGAAGCCAAGGAGCCCAGAGGCAGAGGCAGGGACAGGGGAGGCACAGGGGCTAGGCTCAGAGCCACCTGATGGCGCTGGGGCACCTGCTGGCGGGGAGCAGGGCTGTGGTCAGCAGCGGAGTGGAGGGGAGAGCTGTGCTGAGTGCACAGATGGGAGGAGGGAAGAGTCCAGGGAGGCCCAGAAAGGCCCAGAGTGCAGCAGGCCTGGGGCGAGGGGAGGGGTGAGGCTCCGTGCGTTCAGGGAGCTGACCCAGCAGAGCAGAGGCCACTGAGGAGCTGAGGTTCTGGAGAGGCTTCCAGAGCAGGAGCAGTGCAGGGACGGGAGGATCTGGGAGCTCACCCAGGAGGGGCACATGGGCAAGGGCAAGGGGCTCTGTTGGGGAGACCTGACTGGACACTGGGGCTGCTCCACAGCATAGGGAACAAGCCAAGTGCTGCAAAAACAAAAATGAGGCCAGAAAAACAGCCCAAACCTGGACAGAGGGTGCCAGGACAGGCAGGGGGGCAACAGTGACCTGAGTGACATTGCTGCCCGGGTTGAGGGAGGGCAGAGTGAGCAGGGGGCAGGCATTGGAGTTCAGGGTACCAGGACCGAGCAGCCACAGGTGAGCAGGGCAGGTGGGGGCAGAAGGAGCAGGGGGCACCTCCTGGAGCTCAGCAGACCAGGGCAGAGCAACTGAAGGTGAACAAGGGCAGGTGGGAGGCAGGATGAGCAGGGGGAAGACCCTGGAGCTCAGGGGACCAGGGCAGAGCAGCCTCAGGTGCCTCAGGTGAGCAGGGGCTGGTGGGTGGCAGGACGAGTAGGGGACAGCTCCTGGAGCTCAGGGGACCAGGACAGAGCATCAAGAGCTGAGCATGGCTAGTGGGAGGTGGGCGAACAGGGTGCAGCCCCTGGAACTCGGGACCAGGGCAGAGCAGCGGCAGGTGAGCACGGGCTGGTGGGAGGCAGGAGGAACAGGGGGCAGCTCTGGGACTTCAGGGGACCAGGGGAGGGCATCTGAAGGTGAACAGGGGCTGGTGGGGGCAGGAAGAGCAGGGGGAAGCCCCTGGAGCTCAGGGGACCAGGGCAGAGCAGCCACAGGTGAGCAGGGGCTGGTAGGAAGCAGGAGGAGCAGGGGACAGCCCCTGGAGCTCAGAGCACCAGGGCAGAGCACCCTCAGGTAAGCAGGGGCAGGTAGGAGGCAGGACGAGCAGGGGACAGCCCCTGGAGCTCAGGGGACAGAGGAGAGCATCAGAAGGTGAGCAGGACTGAGGCTTAGCCTCAGGGAATCAGAGCAGAGCAGCCACAGGTGAGCAGGGCCGGTGGGAGGCAGGACGAGCAGGGGACAGGCACTAGAGCTCAGGGCAAGGCAACCACAGGTGAGCAGGGCCGGTGGGAGGCATCACTCAGCTCCTAGATTTTGGCAGGAGCTGGGTAGTTGCTGGCAGCAGACAGCTGAGGGCTGGTGAAAGTGCAGTGCAGCCTCCTGGTGCCAGGAAGGGAGTGTGAGCCCATCCCACTGAGCAGTTGGCAAGGGTGAGCTGGGATGGAGAAGGGAAGGCATTCCAGGGCTCGGGGCTGAGCTCTCAGGCAGGGGCAGGTGTGGCTGCAGGGGGAATGTGTGCTTGAGACCAGGAGGGTCCCAGGGCTGGCCCCAGCGGACCCTAGGCAGGAAGGCCTCTGAGGCTGGCGCCCCAGAAGGAGCAAGATGGGCTGCCAGGAGCCAGGGCCACCAGCACAATGAAGCTGAGTGGAGGTGGTGCAGGGCAGTGTAGCAGCAGAGGGCTGCCAGAGGGGCCCATTCAGGGCCTGGGCAGAGTCAGCCAGAGCCTGTGGTGCAGGTGAGGGGAAGGGGTGGTGAGCGGGGCCCTGGGGCTGAGCAGAGGGGATGGCCTGGCTGAGGGCAGGGCACTTAGCCTCCTCAGAGGTCAGGGGCACACCCCACCTGCAGTGGGACTCCAGGGCCACTGGGCCAGCGGCAGAGAGAAATGGGGCCTCCCTGTGGCCTGGGGGTCCTGGCACCACGCAGGGTGGGGAGGGCCAAGGGCAGGTGCAAGGCTCCTACCTGTGCTGGGGGGCCTGGGTTGAGCCCAGCAGGGACCTTGCCGGGGGAAGCTCTGGAGAGAGGGAGGAGGTGGGCTGGTGGCCGAGAAGGCCAGGCCAGGGCTGGGAGGGTGAGGTTGTGGTGACTGAGCCTCCAGAAGTAATGCAGGACACTGGGAGGCAGGGGGCATCCAGGCACTCAGGGCCCTGACCTGGGCTGCTGCACACTGGGGCTAAGGGGAAAGGAGGGGAGAGGCTGAGGAGGAGGCTCCAGGAGGCTATTCCAAGGCAGGGGGTTCCGGGGCCCTGGGGCTGAAGGGCGCCGACCCTATGCAGTGTCTGGCCCCTCTGCTGCACAGAAGAAAAGGGCCTTGGAGGGCAGAGGGCAGGCTATGACCAGGGCCCTGGGCAAGTCAGGCCCACTCACTAGCGGAGGGCCACGCTGGGGCGGCAGGGTCAGGAGCTTCAGGGGACTCGGGGGACCCACGAGAAGCCATCTGAGAACAGTGTCCACTGGTCAAGCCAGGCACCCATAAAAGGCTGGAGTGGGGCCAATGGGCATGAGCCGTCCCTGAGGTGGCACCGATGGCCAGAGCTGAGGCCAAGCTAGAGGCCCTGGACTGTGCTGACTCCCGGCAGGCACAGAGCGCTGACCTGGCTGCCGAGCCCCGCCTCCTAGGCTGCAGGGGTGCCTGCAGAAGGGCACCACAGGGCCACCGGTCCTGCAAGCTTTCTGGGGCAGGCCGGGCCTGACTTTGGCTTTGGGGCAGGGAGGGGGCTAAGGTGACGCAGGTGGCGCCAGCCAGGTGCACACCCAATGCCCGTGAGCCCAGACACTGGACCCTGCCTGGACCCTCGCAGATAGACAAGAACCGAGGGGCCTCTGCGCCCTGGGCCCAGCTCTGTCCCACACCGCGGTCACATGGCACCACCTCTCTTGCAGCCTCCACCAAGGGCCCATCGGTCTTCCCCCTGGCGCCCTGCTCCAGGAGCACCTCCGAGAGCACAGCGGCCCTGGGCTGCCTGGTCAAGGACTACTTCCCCGAACCGGTGACGGTGTCGTGGAACTCAGGCGCTCTGACCAGCGGCGTGCACACCTTCCCGGCTGTCCTACAGTCCTCAGGACTCTACTCCCTCAGCAGCGTGGTGACCGTGCCCTCCAGCAACTTCGGCACCCAGACCTACACCTGCAACGTAGATCACAAGCCCAGCAACACCAAGGTGGACAAGACAGTTGGTGAGAGGCCAGCTCAGGGAGGGAGGGTGTCTGCTGGAAGCCAGGCTCAGCCCTCCTGCCTGGACGCACCCCGGCTGTGCAGCCCCAGCCCAGGGCAGCAAGGCAGGCCCCATCTGTCTCCTCACCCGGAGGCCTCTGCCCGCCCCACTCATGCTCAGGGAGAGGGTCTTCTGGCTTTTTCCACCAGGCTCCAGGCAGGCACAGGCTGGGTGCCCCTACCCCAGGCCCTTCACACACAGGGGCAGGTGCTTGGCTCAGACCTGCCAAAAGCCATATCCGGGAGGACCCTGCCCCTGACCTAAGCCGACCCCAAAGGCCAAACTGTCCACTCCCTCAGCTCGGACACCTTCTCTCCTCCCAGATCCGAGTAACTCCCAATCTTCTCTCTGCAGAGCGCAAATGTTGTGTCGAGTGCCCACCGTGCCCAGGTAAGCCAGCCCAGGCCTCGCCCTCCAGCTCAAGGCGGGACAGGTGCCCTAGAGTAGCCTGCATCCAGGGACAGACCCCAGCTGGGTGCTGACACGTCCACCTCCATCTCTTCCTCAGCACCACCTGTGGCAGGACCGTCAGTCTTCCTCTTCCCCCCAAAACCCAAGGACACCCTCATGATCTCCCGGACCCCTGAGGTCACGTGCGTGGTGGTGGACGTGAGCCACGAAGACCCCGAGGTCCAGTTCAACTGGTACGTGGACGGCGTGGAGGTGCATAATGCCAAGACAAAGCCACGGGAGGAGCAGTTCAACAGCACGTTCCGTGTGGTCAGCGTCCTCACCGTCGTGCACCAGGACTGGCTGAACGGCAAGGAGTACAAGTGCAAGGTCTCCAACAAAGGCCTCCCAGCCCCCATCGAGAAAACCATCTCCAAAACCAAAGGTGGGACCCGCGGGGTATGAGGGCCACATGGACAGAGGCCGGCTCGGCCCACCCTCTGCCCTGGGAGTGACCGCTGTGCCAACCTCTGTCCCTACAGGGCAGCCCCGAGAACCACAGGTGTACACCCTGCCCCCATCCCGGGAGGAGATGACCAAGAACCAGGTCAGCCTGACCTGCCTGGTCAAAGGCTTCTACCCCAGCGACATCTCCGTGGAGTGGGAGAGCAATGGGCAGCCGGAGAACAACTACAAGACCACACCTCCCATGCTGGACTCCGACGGCTCCTTCTTCCTCTACAGCAAGCTCACCGTGGACAAGAGCAGGTGGCAGCAGGGGAACGTCTTCTCATGCTCCGTGATGCATGAGGCTCTGCACAACCACTACACACAGAAGAGCCTCTCCCTGTCTCCGGGTAAATGAGTGCCACGGCCGGCAAGCCCCCGCTCCCCAGGCTCTCGGGGTCGCGCGAGGATGCTTGGCACGTACCCCGTCTACATACTTCCCGGGCACCCAGCATGGAAATAAAGCACCCAGCGCTGCCCTGGGCCCCTGCGAGACTGTGATGGTTCTTTCCGTGGGTCAGGCCGAGTCTGAGGCCTGAGTGGCATGAGGGAGGCAGAGCGGGTTCCACTGTCCCCACACTGGCCCAGGCTGTGCAGGTGTGCCTGGGCCGCCTAGGGTGGGGCTCAGCCAGGGGCTGCCCTCGGCAGGGTGGGGGATTTGCCAGCGTGGCCCTCCCTCCAGCAGCAGCTGCCCTGGGCTGGGCCACGGGAAGCCCTAGGAGCCCCTGGGGACAGACACACAGCCCCTGCCTCTGTAGGAGACTGTCCTGTCCTGTGAGCGCCCTGTCCTCCGACCTCCATGCCCACTCGGGGGCATGCCTAGTCCATGTGCGTAGGGACAGGCCCTCCCTCACCCATCTACCCCCACGGCACTAACCCCTGGCTGCCCTGCCCAGCCTCGCACCCGCATGGGGACACAACCGACTCCGGGGACATGCACTCTCGGGCCCTGTGGAGGGACTGGTCCAGATGCCCACACACACACTCAGCCCAGACCCGTTCAACAAACCCCGCGCTGAGGTTGGCCGGCCACACGGCCACCACACACACACGTGCACGCCTCACACACGGAGCCTCACCCGGGCGAACCGCACAGCACCCAGACCAGAGCAAGGTCCTCGCACACGTGAACACTCCTCAGACACAGGCCCCCACGAGCCCCACGCGGCACCTCAAGGCCCACGAGCCGCTCGGCAGCTTCTCCACATGCTGACCTGCTCAGACAAACCCAGCCCTCCTCTCACAAGGTGCCCCTGCAGCCGCCACACACACACAGGCCCCCACACACAGGGGAACACACGCCACGTCGCGTCCCTGGCACTGGCCCACTTCCCAATGCCGCCCTTCCCTGCAGCTGAGGTCACATGAGGTGTGGGCTTCACCATCCTCCTGCCCTCTGGGCCTCAGGGAGGGACACAGGAGATGGGGAGCGGGTCCTGCTGAGGGCCAGGTCGCTATCTAGGGCTGGGTGTCTGGCTGAGTCCCGGGGCCAAAGCTGGTGCCCAGGGCAGGCAGCTGTGGGGAGCTGACCTCAGGACACTGTTGGCCCATCCCGGCCGGGCCCTACATCCTGGGTCCTGCCACAGAGGGAATCACCCCCAGAGGCCCGAGCCCAGCAGGACACAGTATTGACCACCCACTTCCTGTCCAGAGCTGCAACTGGAGGAGAGCTGTGCGGAGGCGCAGGACGGGGAGCTGGACGGGCTGTGGACCACCATCACCATCTTCATCACACTCTTCCTGCTAAGCGTGTGCTACAGTGCCACCATCACCTTCTTCAAGGTTGGCCGCACGTTGTCCCCAGCTGTCCTTGACATTGTCCCCCATGCTGTCACACACTGTCCCCATGCTGTCCCCACATGTCCCTGACACTGTCCCCCATGCTGTCCCCACCTGTCCCGGACACTCTCCTCCGCGCTGTCTTGACCTGTGCCCAACACTGTCCCCCACGCTATCCCCCCATCCCCAACAATGTCCCCCACAGTTTCCTCCTGTCCCCTATCCCCGACACTGTCCTCCACACTGTCCCCACCTCTCCCTGTCACTGTCGCCCATGCTGCCCCCACCTGTCCCAACACTTTCCTCCAAGCTGTCCTCACCTGTCCCCAACACTCTCCCCCACACTCTCTCCACCTGTCCCTGACACTCTCCCCCATGCTGTCCCCACCTGTCCCTGATGCTGTCCTCCACACTGTCCCCACCTCTCCCTGTCACTGTCCCCATGCTGTCCCCTGTCCCTCACACTTTCCTCCATGCTGTCCTCACCTGTCCCCAACACTCTCCCCCACTGTCTCCACCTGTCCCTGACACTGTCCCCCACACTGTCCCCACCTGTCCCTGATGCTGTCGTCTGTGCTGTCCACATACTGTTGGTGACCTGGCTCTGTTCTCCAAGTTCAAGCCTCAGAGCAGGCAGTGGTGAGGCCGTGGCACCTGGGTGGCCTGAGGGGTGGGCGGGCCTTGGGGGCAGGGCTGTGGCCTCGCTCACCCCTGTGCTGTGCCTTGCCTACAGGTGAAGTGGATCTTCTCCTCAGTGGTGGACCTGAAGCAGACCATCGTCCCCGACTACAGGAACATGATCAGGCAGGGGGCCTAGGGCCACCCTCTGTGGGGTGTCCAGGGCCGCCCAGACCCCACACAGGAGCCGTGGGCCATGCTCAGCCATCACCCAGGCCACACCTGCCCCCGACCTCACCGCCCTCAACCCCATGGCTCTCTGGCCTCGCAGTCGCCCTCTGACCCTGACACGCCCCCCTTCCAGACCCTGTGCATAGCAGGTCTACCCCAGACCTCCGCTGCTTGGTGCATGCAGGGCGCTGGGGGCCAAGTGTCCCCTCAGCAGGACGTCCCTGCCCTCCGGCCCGCCAGGTGCTCACACAAAAGGAGGTAGTGACCAGCATCCCAGGCCCCCACTCAGGCAGGACCTCGCCCTGGAGCCAACCCTGTCCACGCCAGCCTCCTGAACACAGGCGTGGTTTCCAGATGGTGAGTGGGAGCATCAGTCGCCAAGGTAGGGAAGTCACAGCACCATCAGGCCCTGTTGGGGAGGCTTCCGAGAGCTGCGAAGGCTCACTCAGACGGCCTTCCTCCCAGCCCGCAGCCAGCCAGCCTCCATTCCAGGCACTCCCGTGAACTCCTGACATGAGGAATGAGGTTGTTCTGATTTCAAGCAAAGAACGCTGCTCTCTGGCTCCTGGGAACAGTCTCAGTGCCAGCACCACCCCTTGGCTGCCTGCCCACACTGCTGGATTCTCGGGTGGAACTCGACCCGCAGGGACAGCCAGCCCCAGAGTCCGCACTGGGGAGAGAAGGGGCCAGGCCCAGGACACTGCCACCTACCACCCACTCCAGTCCACCGAGATCACTCGGAGAAGAGCCTGGGCCATGTGGCCGCTGCAGGAGCCCCACGGTGCAAGGGTGAGGATAGCCCAAGGAAGGGCTGGGCATCTGCCCAGACAGGCCTCCCAGAGAAGGCTGGTGACCAGGTCCCAGGCGGGCAAGACTCAGCCTTGGTGGGGCCTGAGGACAGAGGAGGCCCAGGAGCATCGGGGAGAGAGGTGGAGGGACACCGGGAGAGCCAGGAGCGTGGACACAGCCAGAACTCATCACAGAGGCTGGCGTCCAGCCCCGGGTCACGTGCAGCAGGAACAAGCAGCCACTCTGGGGGCACCAGGTGGAGAGGCAAGACGACAAAGAGGGTGCCCGTGTTCTTGTGAAAGCGGGGCTGCTGGCCACGAGTGCTGGACAGAGGCCCCCACGCTCTGCTGCCCCCATCACGCCGTTCCGTGACTGTCACGCAGAATCCGCAGACAGGGAGACTCGAGCGGGAGTGCGGCCAGCGCCTGCCTCAGCTGTCAGGGAGGACTCCCGGGCTCACTCGAAGGAGGTGCCACCATTTCAGCTTTGGTAGCTTTTCTTCTTCTTTTAAATTTTCTAAAGCTCATTAATTGTCTTTGATGTTTCTTTTGTGATGACAATAAAATATCCTTTTTAAGTCTTGTACTTCGTGATGGGAGCCGCCTTCCTGTGTCCACGCGCCTCCTGCCCCCGGTGGGAAGCACGGTCAGGAGGAGGCTGGTCCAGCTGCACCTCGGGGGCTCCCTGCATACGCCCCCCGCCTCCTGCAGCCACACGCATTGCCCGAGCGACCCTCCCTGGCCCCTGTCGCTACATGGACCCCCGGGGTTTCTCCTCTTTTCTACATGGATGCAGTTTCTCCTCCTGCTGGGCACGGTGCTGCCTGCCCTGGTCACTCTGCGGGGGACAGGGCCTCCAGGGAAAGCTGGGTCGAGGCTGGGAGCTGGCTCAGGCTGCCCAGGCAGAGCCACAGGGAGGGCCTTCCAGAACCAACCATGGTCCGAAGCGAGAGGTGGGTGTCAGATCTGTGTGAGTCAGCTCAGGACCACAGCGGGGCGGCTCCCACAGCAGACATGGATCCTCCCAGGCCTAGAGACCAGGAATCTGAGATCAGGATGCAGGCAGGGCTGGTTTCTCTCAAGCCCTCTCTCCTTGGCTTGTAGACACCGTCTCCTCCCTGGTCCTCACATGGCCATCCCTCTGTGTGCCCGTGTCCTAAGCTTCTCTTCTTATAAGAACACACATCGGATTAGATTAGTGACCCCCTATGAACTTAATGACCTCTGTAAAGACCCCATCTCCAAATAGTCACATTGTGAGGCCAGGGATTAAGACTTGAATATATGAATTTGTAGGGGCCACGATTTAACCCATCACAGTCCAGACTCTGGCCCCCAAAATTCATGTTCTTCTCACATGCAAAACACATTCATCCTGTCTCAGCATCCCCCTGGGCACTAGGTCATGTAGCAAGGACGGATTTTCAACAGAAATAACTATTGCAACAGAAGAAAGAGTCCGGCATGACCTGGACTCACCTTCATCTGTGCAGAGGCCACAGCCTTGTAAAGGGAGGTGGTAGGGGGAGCAGGGAGGGTGCTCGGGGCTCAGTCGTCGGGGAAGGGAAAAGTTGCCCAGCGCTGGTCAGCGTCCCCGGGATGGGACCCGCTGTGTCTGTGCCGGCCACTGTTGAGGTCAGGATTCTGTCCTCCCAGAGCCTGGAGACACAGGCCCCATCCTTCCCAATGGGGACACTTCAGGGAGTGGCTCTCAGGTCCCGAGAAAGACCCTCCTGGGTCACAGGAAATGCACAGACATCGGGAACGGATAGAAGGTCGTGTGGTTGCGGCCCTCTCAGCAGATACCCTGAGAAAGGGAGGTCGGGGTTGGTCCAAACGGTGAGTTCTGGTGCACGGAGCTTTCTCAGGCAGGTGTTGACGGGGCAGGGGTCGGCCTAGGGGTACGGCCAGAAGCTGTTAGAAACTGTTAGTGTCTGCTCAAGTCTTTACAAGCCAAGGTTGAGGCCGAGTGGAGAGGCTCCGAGGAGCCTGGCTGGAACTCAGTCAAGGACAGGGTCTTGTTACTGCAGTGGCTGCGGTGGCTGCGGTGGCTGCGAAATGCCGTCGGAGTTGCCTGTGGCAGGAGAGAGACCATCTCACCCAGGAAGGAGGAGTGGTTGGATTCGTTTGTGTGGCATCGAGCAGCTGGAGCTTCACCAAACACAGAGTTGGGGACTAAATCCCCAGACTCCAGGCCCTGCCATGCCGTGGGAAGGCTCGCCACTGGAGGGTGCGCTCCAGGGGGCCTGGCCTGAACTGGGTGCTGAAGCCCAGCCCTTTAACTCTCAGGACACGCTGCTGCAGCCCCGCGGGGGGTGAGGGAGAGAGCACCTGGGGTGCAGGGCGGGCAGCTGCTGCATCACCGGCTCTATCCCAAGCCCAAGGATGGCGTCCCAGAGATGCAGGAGAGCTTTGTCCAGAGAAGGTGCCAGCCCTCAGGGACCCTGCTGGAGAGATCTCCACCCTCTGCCCTTCAAGGGGCCCTACGGGCCTCCAGGTGCTCTGGTGGGGTGGGCTCCAGTCCACTGTCTGAGGATGGACGGCCTGGCCAGGATAAGGAAAGGAAACCCAGGACGGTGCCGGGCTCCGGGTCATTCCGTGCACTGAGCAGGCTGAGTTGGGAAGAAGCAGATGCTTCCTGCAGCTGCTGCCCCCTGCAGGGCCTGGCGCCTGGACCAGGTTCCCCTGGGGAAATTGGGCCCCTCCCTGAGCCACCCGGGGCCCACCTCCCACTTTCTACCTGGGACCGAGCATCCTCCAGAGGGTCAGCCCTCCTGCGGGAACACCATGCCCAGCCCCAGGACCCTCCCTCAACTCTCCAGCAAGGCTGCCCCTGCACACCCCCCAGCAGCCCATGCTGTGATGTAACATGACATCGTGTGACATGGTGTGATGTCCTATCACAGTGTGACATCCCTGGTGTGATGTGGTGTGACATGGTGGGATGTGGTGTGACATGGTGTGATGTCCCTGGTGTGAGGTGGTGTTGGACATAGTGTGATGTGATGCGACAGATGTAACATCCCTGGTGTGATTTGGTGTGACGTAGTGTGATGGGTATGACATCCCTGGCTTGATGAGGTATAATATGAAATGATGTGGAATGGTGTGACATGATGTGATGTGATGGGACAGGGTGTGACGTCCCTGGTGTGATGTGATGTAACAGGCTGTGACATAGTGTGATGTGGGTGGTGTGACATGATGTGATGTGGTGTGATGGTGTGGGACATCCCTGGTGTGATGGGGTGTGATTAAACCTTGATTCCATGCAGCACATGTTTCTGTGAGCACAGGGTTGGGGCTAAAGTTACAGGTTAACAGCATCTCAAAGCAGAACAATTTTTCTTTGTACAGATCAAAATGGAGTTTCTTATGTGTTCCTTTTCTACATAGGCACAGTAACAGTCTGATCTTTCTTTTCCCCACAGTGTGACATGGTGTGACATTTCTGGTGTGACTCTTGTGTTGTGACATTTGTGGTCACCCCAGGATACAGAGGTCTCTGTGGCCAAGGGAAGGGGGAGAATGGAACCATCTGAGCATGTTGACCTGGAGGAATTGGTGGCCCTTGAGTCCACGAAGCCCACCCTTCCAGGTGCCCCTGCCCCACGTGACCCAAGTGGGCTTGCAGAGCAGCAAGCAGGACTCTGGTTAGACAGGAGGAAGGACCTGCCACCACGTGGCCTTGTGAGGAGACAGAGCGAGGCTGTGACCTCGGCGTCCGCCCAGCACAGGGTGCTGCTGAAGCTCCTCCGGTCCTCTCAGCAGCGGTCTCAGAGCAAGGCCCAAGGCAGGCTGAAGAGAGGGGCAGAGGGAGGATGCTGGGGAGGCAGGTGTGAGGGGACTGAGAGCCCAGGTTTCAGCTGAGCCCCTCCACAGGGAAGGAGCCTAGCTGAACACCCATCTCCCCACACGCTCCCAACCCTGCCTCTGCCCGACCACCTCCCAGAGGGCACCTCGAACCCTCTGCTACCCACACTCAGCAAGGGGTATGGTGCCCCCACCAAGCCCAGCCAGCAAAGCCTGGCACAGCCACGCCTGTGCCCACCACTCCCATGGCCAAGGTCACTGCTAACATGGCAGGACAGAGCCAGGCCTGGAGGAGACAGAACATCAGTCCCATGGGGAAGCTCCCTGCTCACACGGCAGGGCCAGGCCTGGAGAAGACAGAACACCCCATCTGGCATGGTACTCAGGCTGCACATGCCTGCCACGAACGGGGGCCACGCGACAATGCCTGCCACACATGGGGGCCACGCAACGATGCCTGCCACACATGGGGGCCACGCGACGATGCCTGCCACACATGGGGGCCACGCGACGATGCCTGCCACGCATGGGGGACACGTGACACACACATACACACACGGGCCTCACAGGCACACAAATGCTTGCGAACCCAGCACCCACCCAGCACACTCAGGCATAGGCTCCCTGGGCAGGTCACAACCTCACGCCTTGAGCTAGTCCATGTGCCAGGCCCGTCACCCACGTACTCGTCCCCGGTGCTAGCTATTGAGCCACACCGTCTTCTCTGTGGATCCCTCCCAGCCCACTCAGCACAATGGACATGCTCTCTCCCGTCCAGTGACTGCACCGGCCTCTTCCCCTCAGCACCCAAGTCTGGCCATCTCCCAGGAAACCCGGACCACCACGGGCAGGGACCACGTTCCTCACTGTCCACGTGGACCACCCCACACCTGACCCCAGATGCAGTCACACTACGTCCTGCTTCAATATTGAAAAGGGGAAAAGCTGGAGGAGGGTAAAGATGAAAGAGAAAAAAGCAAGAGGGGAGGGTCACATTCTTCTGAGGCTTTGATTACATCTCACTGAGCCCCCACGTTGCATGAAAAGGAGGGGTGGAGGGAGCAATTACACATTTGCCTTGTGCTCAGTAAATCTGCACTTTATAAGCAAATAAACAGAGTAGAGGAAGAAGTCAAATATGCATTCGTCTCAGGGGCAGGAGGGATGATTTCTTGTCTCATTTTGTCCCATGTCATGAAGACCGGGCTGTTAATTTATATTGTCAGGGTGAGGGAGGCCACCTGGGTAGACCTGGCCTATCTGCTGCTGCTCTCAGTTTGGAAACAAAAGGAAACGCATGACTTTTTTTTTTTTTTTCATGACTCAGCTTCCCACCTCAACTGTTCTTTTTGGCATAGTGACTTTAGGGTCCTGAGATTTTATTTTCCTTTCACAATGGTCAAGATCACACCCTCAGTATTCAGGAGAGCTGGTCCAACCCAGACCCCTGCCGTCCCTGGACGCTTTTCAAATACGTGCTGCAGTCTCTGACACTCTCTCACCATGGTAGAAACTGAGGTCTTGGTGAGTCTGCAGCCCCTGCTCATGGGGACAATGCAGGCTGAAACCCGCATTTCTGACCCCAAAGCTCCTGTTCCTTTCACTCACCCCCACACCAGCTCTTTGAGTCCAGAGCTTTGTCCTTGCCTGAGTCCTACCCTCAGGGACAGGGGCCCAACCCAGCCACCAACACATCATACCCTGAGAGGGTGCCAGGAGCCCAGAGATGTTTGGAGAGCACAGTAGCCCTGGAAGCTCTGTGGAGATGCTGCACATTTCTCTATTCAACAGATACTCGCCAGGTGGCCAGCAGCAGAGATGCCACATGGCATGGAGCTCGCCTTGGCCAACAGGACAGGTGTGGGGTTGGGAGGCCTTCCCAGGGCACTCCTTGAAGCAGAGCTGTGGGGAAAAGTTGGGGCCAATCTCAGATCTCCCCGTCAACACCGGGTCTCCTGCCCTCCTGGGCCACAGAAAACTAAGCTCCGTGGATACTGCGGCTGGGTGGGGCCGTGGGGGAGAAGAAATCACAACGAGTTAAAAGATCATTTTCTAAAACTGTTATGATCAGGACTCACATAACCATATGACGACACATTTCAGAGATGCTCTTTATCTCATTAATTAAGGTGTCGTAACCAGTTCAAAGTGGAATTCTAAGTACTACACTTACATAATTGATTCAGGAATGCTAAAAGGAGTTCATAGATAGATGCAAAACTGGCCTTTTCCCTGGAAGATGAGGAGCAATTCATTGTCCTTCCAAAGATGAGAACTTGAATTTCTACCAACTCAAAGAGCTTTTGCATTGCTATCAATTATGTACAACTTAGAGCAGTGGTCCCCAACATTTTTGGCACCAGGAACCAGTTCCATGGAAGACAATTTTTCCACAGACCAGGATCGGGGGATGGCTTGGGGACAAAGCTGTTCCACCTCAGATCATTAGGCATTAGGGTGTCATAAGGAGTGTGCAACTTAGATCCCGGGAATGTGCGGCTCGCAATAGGGTTCGCTCCTGTGAGAATCTAATGCTGCCACTGATCTGACAGGAGGTGGAGCTCGGGCAGGAATGCTCACACACCCCTCACCTCCTGCTCTGTGGCCCAGTTCCTAACAGGCCATGAACCGGTTCCAGTGCATGACCCAGGGATTGGGGACCCCTGGCTTATAGAGGTGTAAAATAGTTCAAAGGAAATAAAAGATGCAGAGCTCCACAGAATGAAATAACCTGGAAGAGTGTACAAGACGATGCCTTGCTTTCCATGGAAGGCACCTACTAATTTTTCTCAATGTTTCCTATAAACATATATAACTGACTGACAGAAACAGATCCATAATATAAAGAAGACCCCTGTAAACCAATGAGAAAAAAAATCAAATAATCCAACGAGGAATAGGCAAGAGAATTGAACAGATGTTTTACAGAAGATATCCAAATAGCCACTAAACATATGAAAAGGTGTTGAACCACACTAGTCAACAGGGAAATGAAAATGAAAAACCACATGAGAGAAAGTAGTTCTGATTCCAGTAATGCTAGAGCAGCTAATATCAGACTAGCCCTTTGGCAGATGGCAATTATAAACACTGGAAACACTGTAAGCACACACAACACCCACACACACCAATTGCAGGCACTGGAACATGACCAGAAGTAGGCAAACACTAGTAAGGATTATTCCGTGAAATATTCGTCTGAAGTCACACCCCAGTGCATGTAATGGGTGCAGCTAGAGTTTAAGCAGGAAACTGCAGCCCTCCTGGTGAGGAGTGGGATGCAGGGCTGCATTTTCAGAGCAGCTGGAAATGAAGAGAAGATGTCCATAAAGGAGAAGCTCACCGAAGGGAAACCACACAATCTGCAAGTAAACTCCACTGAAACCTCTGGCCGATCCCTTAGGTGTGCATGGGTAGGGAAAACTCCAAAGGGCCCAGCAGAAAGCAACACCTGTAAGTCGAGAGAACTGAGATTCCAGCTACTGCCAACTGCCAGGCAGACAGACTTGGGAGTTTGAGTCAACTCAAGCTAACTGCTAACATTGAAAAAAACAATTAATGCTCTGCTAAGAAAGAATGCAAACCCCATAGCCTGTACGCATGTTATCAACATCAGGTGCACATCCAAAATTACCATGGATGCAAAGAAACATGAAAATGTGATCCATAGTCAGAAGAAAAAGGGATCAATGGAGATCAACTCCAAGATGACCTAGATGCAGATACAGTTATCAGACAAGGACTTTAAAGAAGTTATGTTAAACATGTTCAAAGACTTAAAGGAAAATACTATTATAATGAGTGACTAGATGGGGAATCTCTATAAGAGACGGAAAATATTTACAAGAACCAAATGAAAATTCTAGAACTGAAAGTATGATTCTGAAATGAAAAACATCATTTTTCAGAGCAGGGTGAGAATGGACATGGGACTCAGAGCTGAGCAGGCCTGGTGGGCCCCAGGAGGGAGACACAGAGGACTGGGGGATTTCAAGGCTGGCAGAGGCCAGAGATGGATCCCCAGCTGGGACTGGACCTGGGCTTATGGGAGCAACAGGTGACCCATCCTCCTTCCTGGGGGCCCACCCTGCCCGGCCCCTCCAGCCCAGCACAGGCATTGGATAGAACCGGGAGAGAGCAGGCCAGGCACTGAGGCCTCTGCCCCAAATGCCCACAGCCTGGGGAAAATGAGCAGATAGATGGGGGGGCAAGTGGATCCCCAGGCACACCCACACAGTGCACACAGCCCCACCTGGGCCAGAGGGGGCAGGAGGCTCGCCACCCCTGCTGTGGTTTCTCCCACACTTGATGCAGGTGATATTCCTCTGAGATTGTGGACTAAGAGTTGGTGCTGGAAGGGGTTAGCCATCTTGGAGATGTTGCTATGGGGTGCAGGGATTTTGCATGTGAGAAGGACATGATTATGGGGGGAGCGGAGGGCAAACTGTTGTGGGTTAAAATGTGTCCCCTATAAATTCATGTGTTGAAGTCCTAACCCCCAGGACCACAGAATGTGACCTTGTTTGGAAACAGTCTTTGCAACTGCAATCAAGTTCAGATGAGGTCACCCTGGAGTAGGGCAAGCCTCTGATCCAATATGACTGCTGTCCTCATGAAAAGGGGGAATCTGGGTACAGACAGCACGTGGGGAGAACACCCTGTGAAGATGGTGCTGCTTCCATAAGCCAAGAGCAGCAGAGACGGCCGGCAAAGCCCAGCAGCAAGGAGAGAGCCTGGGACAGAGTCTCCCATGACACAGAGGTGCCAGCCCCGCCGAGGCCTCCATCCCAGATGCCCGGCCTCCAGAACCAGGACGGAATAAACGTCTGTTGTTTAAGCCACGCAGTCTGGGGTGCTGTGTTGCCAGGGCCACAGTTAACGGATACGAGTGTTGTCCTGAGCTGCCAGCCCCACAGGCTGCACGAGGCCTCCCTGCCCCAGCCCAGTGCAGACTCCCCAGCCCCCTGGGTGTGCCATGGGCAGTGCGGGGCCCCTCACTGCATCCTCCCCCAGCCTGGGAGGTTGAGCCCATTATGAGCTCCATGGGGTGAAGCCGGAGCCAGAAGCTGGGAGCCGACTGGGAGCCTGCGGCTGGAGGATGGATTTCCCCAGGGACCCACACGTGCACCTCCACCTGTCTCCTGGACATTCTCTCTGAGGGCAGGGCTGGTGTCAGCTCAGGGATCCAGCAGGGACACAAGGGTGGGCCGGGTCCTTGTGGAGAGCACATTTAGTGGGAGGGACATGATTTCCCTTCAAAGTGCCCATTCTGGATGCTTCCTGGTCCACGCTGGACACTTCCTGTTCCACGCTGGACGCTTCCTGTTCCACGCTGGACGCTTCCTGTTCCACGCTTGATGTTTCCTGTTCCATGCTGGATGCTTCCTGTTCCATGCTGGACATTTCCTGTTCCACTCTGGATGCTCCCTGTTCCATTCTGGATGCTTCCTGTTCCATGCTGGACATTTCCTGTTCCACTCTGCATGCTTCCTGTTCCACTCTGGATGCTTCCTGTGCGAAACCTCCTCGGGCTTTTGGTCTGCCCAGTCCCTCTGGCTGCATCTCGTCCCCCGCTACCTCCCACCTCCACATCCGTCCTTGCCCAGCTCCTCTCTCTCTCCAGAGTTTCCACCTGGCAAGGTCCCTGATGAGCTCAGTCCAGGCTCCCCCAGCACAGGTAGGAGCCTAGCACCTGCCCTTGGACCTCCCCACCCTGCATGATGCCAGCATCCCCAGGCCCCAGGGAGGCCCCATTTCTCTCTCTACTGCTGGCCCAGTGGCCCTGGAGTCCCACTGCAACTCGGGTGTGCCCCTGACCTCTGAGGAAGTTAAGTGTCCTGTCCCTAGCCAGGCTATCCCCTCTGCTCAGCCCCAGGGCCCTGCCCCTTACCCCTTCCCCTCACCTGCACGATAGGCTCTGGCCAACTCTGCCCAGGCCCTGAATGGGCCCCTCTGGCTCCCCTCTGCTGCTACACTGCCCTGCACCACCTCCACTCAGCTTCAGTGTGTTCATCCACCTGTCCCAAGTCCCCTCGGCCCCCAGGAGCACAGCTGGTGGCCCTGGTTCCTGGCAGCCCATCTTGTTCCTTCTGGAGCACCAGCCTCAGAGGCCTTCCTGTGCAGGGTCCACTCGGCCAGCCCTGGGACCCTCCTGGTCTCAAGCACACGTTCTCCCTGCAGCCAGACCTGCCCCTGCCTGTGAGCTCAGACCTGAGCCTTGGAACGTCTTCCCTTCTCCATCCCAGCTCGCCTTTGCCAGCTGCTCAGTGGGATGAACTCACACTCCCCTCCCTCCACCATGAGTGAGAGTCAGCTGGAGAGATGCCCAGGCCAAAGCAGCCACCAGGGCCCAGTGGGGGGCCAGAAGCTTCAGGTGAGAGGCCCAGGTATTGAGAGGCTGAGACCATGGGCAGAATGGTCATAATCGCTGCCAGTCTCAGTCCAGCCCCAGGGACTCAGAGACAGAGAAAAGAGCAGCACACAAGGTCCGGGCTCCCCACCTTCTCCCGTGAGTATGGGGGAGTATGGGGGCAGCCACCACCCCCATCCCCACACACCCATGAGGCAGCCTCGGCTCTGTGTGGACTCCCCCTCGCCCTCTGACACAGAAACCACCAGAAGAAAAGGGAACTTCAGGAAGTAAGGGGTGCCGCTGGTTTCAATCCTGTTCTTAGTCTTTGCAGCGTGGAGTTCACACCCCTGGGGACCTGGGACCTGAGCTGTGATTTCCTAGGAAGACAAATAGCGGCTGACGGCGGGGGCGGGGCCGCCCACATGTACCTCGCCAGAACAGGAAGGGTTGAGACCCCCACCTCGGTGAGTGGGGTCAGCACAGGGCAGGGGCACAGGCTCGGGAGGAGGACAGCCTGGGCGCAGCCGTCGGCGCTCCTAGACCTGAGCTGCTGAACAGGCTGCAAGAGGCTGGGGAGACGCGGGCGCGAGGCCAGCCCCACATGGAAGCCCAAGCGGAGCCAGCACGGGGGAGGTGGGCAGCCTTCAGGCACTGATGCCCACCCAGTGCGAGACGACGGGGACCGTGGGCAGGGGCTTCCAAGCCAACAGGGCAGGACACACCAGAGGCTGACTGAGGCCTCCAGGACGACCGGGCTGGGAGCACGAGGAACATGACGGGATGCGGCAGAACCGGCTGTGGGGTGATGCCAGGATGGGCACGACCGACCTGAGCTCAGGAGGCAGCAGAGCGAGGGAGGAGGAGAGGCCCCAGGTGAACGGAGGGGCTTGTCCAGGCCGGCAGCATCACCAGAGCCCAGGGCAGGGTCAGCAGAGCTGGCCGTAGGGCCCTCCTCTCAGCCAGGACCAAGGACAGCAGGTGAGCCGGGAGCAGAGCAGCGAGGGTGAGTGTGGCAGCAGGACAGAAGGGTGGAAGCCAAGGAGCCCAGAGGCAGAGGCAGGGACAGGGGAGGGACAGGGGCTGGGCTCAGAGCCAGCTGATGGGGCTGGGGCACCTGCTGGCGGGGAGCAGGGCTGTGGTCAGCAGCGGAGAGGAGGGGAGAGCTGTGCTGAGTGCACGGGCGGGAGGAGGGAAGAGTCCAGGGAGGCCCAGAAAGGCCCAGAGTGCAGCAGGCCTGGGGCGAGGGGAGGGGCTGAGGCCCAGCAGAGCAGAGGCCACTGAGGAGCTGAGGTTCCGGAGAGGCTTCCAGAGCAGGAGCAGTGCAGGGACGGGAGGATCCGGGAGCTCATCCAGGAGGGGCACATAGGCAAGGGGCTCTGTTGGGGAGACCTGACTGGACACTGGGGCTGCTCCACAGCATAGGGAACAAGCCAAGTGCTGCAAAAACAAAAATGAGGCCAGAAAAACAGCCCAAACCTGGACAGAGGGTGCCAGGACAGGCAGGGGGGCAACAGTGGCCTGAGTGACATTGCTGCCCCGGGTTGAGGGAGGACAGAGTGAGCAGGGGGCAGGCATTGGAGTTCAGGGTACCAGGACCGAGCAGCCACAGGTGAGCAGGGCAGGTGGGGGTAGAAGGAGCAGGGGGCAGCTCCTGGAACTCAGGGGACCAGGGCAGAGCAGCCACAGGCAAACAGGAGAGGGGAGGGGGGGCAGGAGGAGCAGGGGGCAGCTCTTGGAGCTCAGGGGACCAGGGCAGAGACGCCGCAGGTGAGCAGGGGCAGGTGGGGGGGCAGGAGGAGCAGGGGGCAGCTCTTGGAGCTCAGGGGACCAGGGCAGAGCAGCCACAGGTGAGCAGGGGCAGGTGGGGGGCAGAAGGAGTAGGGGGCAGCTCTTGGAGCTCAGAGGACCAGGGCAGAGCAGCCACAGGGGAGGAGGGGCAGGTGGGAGGCAGGATGAACAGGGGGCGGCTCCTGGAACTCAGGAAACAGGGGAGAGCATCAGAAGGTGAGCAGGGCCAGTGGGAGGTTGCAGAGCAGGGGACAGCTCCTGGAGCTCAGGGGACCAGGGCAGAGCCGCCGCAGGTGAGCAGGGGCAGGTGGGGGGCAGGAGGAGCAGGGGGCACCTCCTGGAGCTCAGGCGACCGGGGCAGAGCAGCCTCAGGTGAAAAGGGCCGGTGGGGGGCAGGAGGAGCAAGGGGCAGCTCCTGGAGGTCAGGGGACCAGGGCAGAGCCGCCGCAGGTCAGCAGGGCCGGTGGGAGGCAGGACGAGCAGGGGACAGGCACTAGAGCTCAGGGCAAGGCAGCCACAGGTGAGCAGGGCTGGTGGGAGGCATCACTCAGCTCCTAGACTTTGGCAGGAGCTGGGTAGTTGCCGGCAGCAGACAGCTGAGAGCTGGTGAAAGTGCAGTGCAGCCTCCTGGTGCCGGGAAGGGAGTGTGAGTCCATCCCACTGAGCAGTTGGCAAGGGCGAGCTGGGATGGAGAAGGGAAGGCATTCCAGGGCTCAGGGCTGGGCTCTCAGGCAGGGGCAGGTGTGGCTGCAGGGGGAACGTGTGCTTGAGACCAGGAGGGTCCCAGGGCTGGCCCCAGCGGACCCTGGGCAGGAAGGCCTCTGAGGCTGGCGCCCCAGAAGGAGCAAGATGGGCTGCCAGGAGCCAGGACCATCAGCACAATGAAGCTGAGTGGAGGTGGTGCAGGGCAGTGTAGCAGCAGAGGGCTGCCAGAGGGGCCCATTCAGGGCCTGGGCAGAGTCAGCCAGAGCCTGTGGTGCAGGTGAGGGGAAGGGGTGGTGAGCGGGGCCCTGGGGCCGAGCAGAGGGGATGGCCTGGCTGAGGGCAGGGCGCTTAGCCTCCTCAGAGGTCAGGGGCACACCCCACCTGCAGTGGGACTCCAGGGCCACTGGGCCAGCGGCAGAGAGAAATGGGGCCTCCCTGTGGCCTGGGGGTCCTGGCACCATGCAGGGTGGGGAGGGCCAAGGGCAGGTGCAAGGCTCCTACCTGTGCTGGGGGGCCTGGGTTGAGCCCAGCAGGGACCTTGCCGGGGGAAGCTCTGGAGAGAGGGAGGAGGTGGGCTGGTGGCCGAGAAGGCCAGGCCAGGGCTGGGAGGGTGAGGTTGTGGTGACTGAGCCTCCAGAAGTAATGCAGGACACTGGGAGGCAGGGGGCATCCAGGCACTCAGGGCCCTGACCTGGGCTGCTGCACACTGGGGCTAAGGGGAAAGGAGGGGAGAGGCTGAGGAGGAGGCTCCAGGAGGCTATTCCAAGGCAGGGGGTTCCGGGGCCCTGGGGCTGAAGGGCGCCGACCCTATGCAGTGTCTGGCCCCTCTGCTGCACAGAAGAAAAGGGCCTTGGAGGGCAGAGGGCAGGCTATGACCAGGGCCCTGGGCAAGTCAGGCCCACTCACTAGCGGAGGGCCACGCTGGGGCGGCAGGGTCAGGAGCTTCAGGGGACTCGGGGGACCCACGAGAAGCCATCTGAGAACAGTGTCCACTGGTCAAGCCAGGCACCCATAAAAGGCTGGAGTGGGGCCAATGGGCATGAGCCGTCCCTGAGGTGGCACCGATGGCCAGAGCTGAGGCCAAGCTAGAGACACTGGACTGTGCTGACTCCCGGCAGGCACAGAGCGCTGACCTGGCTGCCGAGCCCCGCCCCCTAGGCTGCAGGGGTGCCTGCAGAAGGGCACCACAGGGCCACCGGTCCTGCAAGCTTTCTGGGGCAGGCCGGGCCTGACTTTGGCTGGGGGCAGGGAGGGGGCTAAGGTGACGCAGGTGGCGCCAGCCAGGCGCACACCCAATGCCCGTGAGCCCAGACACTGGACCCTGCATGGACCATCGCAGATAGACAAGAACCGAGGGGCCTCTGCGCCCTGGGCCCAGCTCTGTCCCACACCGCGGTCACATGGCACCACCTCTCTTGCAGCTTCCACCAAGGGCCCATCGGTCTTCCCCCTGGCGCCCTGCTCCAGGAGCACCTCCGAGAGCACAGCCGCCCTGGGCTGCCTGGTCAAGGACTACTTCCCCGAACCGGTGACGGTGTCGTGGAACTCAGGCGCCCTGACCAGCGGCGTGCACACCTTCCCGGCTGTCCTACAGTCCTCAGGACTCTACTCCCTCAGCAGCGTGGTGACCGTGCCCTCCAGCAGCTTGGGCACGAAGACCTACACCTGCAACGTAGATCACAAGCCCAGCAACACCAAGGTGGACAAGAGAGTTGGTGAGAGGCCAGCACAGGGAGGGAGGGTGTCTGCTGGAAGCCAGGCTCAGCCCTCCTGCCTGGACGCACCCCGGCTGTGCAGCCCCAGCCCAGGGCAGCAAGGCAGGCCCCATCTGTCTCCTCACCCGGAGGCCTCTGACCACCCCACTCATGCTCAGGGAGAGGGTCTTCTGGATTTTTCCACCAGGCTCCGGGCAGCCACAGGCTGGATGCCCCTACCCCAGGCCCTGCGCATACAGGGGCAGGTGCTGCGCTCAGACCTGCCAAGAGCCATATCCGGGAGGACCCTGCCCCTGACCTAAGCCCACCCCAAAGGCCAAACTCTCCACTCCCTCAGCTCAGACACCTTCTCTCCTCCCAGATCTGAGTAACTCCCAATCTTCTCTCTGCAGAGTCCAAATATGGTCCCCCATGCCCATCATGCCCAGGTAAGCCAACCCAGGCCTCGCCCTCCAGCTCAAGGCGGGACAGGTGCCCTAGAGTAGCCTGCATCCAGGGACAGGCCCCAGCCGGGTGCTGACGCATCCACCTCCATCTCTTCCTCAGCACCTGAGTTCCTGGGGGGACCATCAGTCTTCCTGTTCCCCCCAAAACCCAAGGACACTCTCATGATCTCCCGGACCCCTGAGGTCACGTGCGTGGTGGTGGACGTGAGCCAGGAAGACCCCGAGGTCCAGTTCAACTGGTACGTGGATGGCGTGGAGGTGCATAATGCCAAGACAAAGCCGCGGGAGGAGCAGTTCAACAGCACGTACCGTGTGGTCAGCGTCCTCACCGTCCTGCACCAGGACTGGCTGAACGGCAAGGAGTACAAGTGCAAGGTCTCCAACAAAGGCCTCCCGTCCTCCATCGAGAAAACCATCTCCAAAGCCAAAGGTGGGACCCACGGGGTGCGAGGGCCACATGGACAGAGGTCAGCTCGGCCCACCCTCTGCCCTGGGAGTGACCGCTGTGCCAACCTCTGTCCCTACAGGGCAGCCCCGAGAGCCACAGGTGTACACCCTGCCCCCATCCCAGGAGGAGATGACCAAGAACCAGGTCAGCCTGACCTGCCTGGTCAAAGGCTTCTACCCCAGCGACATCGCCGTGGAGTGGGAGAGCAATGGGCAGCCGGAGAACAACTACAAGACCACGCCTCCCGTGCTGGACTCCGACGGCTCCTTCTTCCTCTACAGCAGGCTCACCGTGGACAAGAGCAGGTGGCAGGAGGGGAATGTCTTCTCATGCTCCGTGATGCATGAGGCTCTGCACAACCACTACACACAGAAGAGCCTCTCCCTGTCTCTGGGTAAATGAGTGCCAGGGCCGGCAAGCCCCCGCTCCCCGGGCTCTCGGGGTCGCGCGAGGATGCTTGGCACGTACCCCGTGTACATACTTCCCGGGCGCCCAGCATGGAAATAAAGCACCCAGCGCTGCCCTGGGCCCCTGCGAGACTGTGATGGTTCTTTCCACGGGTCAGGCCGAGTCTGAGGCCTGAGTGGCATGAGGGAGGCAGAGCGGGTCCCACTGTCCCCACACTGGCCCAGGCTGTGCAGGTGTGCCTGGGCCGCCTAGGGTGGGGCTCAGCCAGGGGCTGCCCTCGGCAGGGTGGGGGATTTGCCAGCGTGGCCCTCCCTCCAGCAGCACCTGCCCTGGGCTGGGCCACGAGAAGCCCTAGGAGCCCCTGGGGACAGACACACAGCCCCTGCCTCTGTAGGAGACTGTCCTGTTCTGTGAGCGCCCTGTCCTCCGACCCGCATGCCCACTCGGGGGCATGCCTAGTCCATGTGCGTAGGGACAGGCCCTCCCTCACCCATCTACCCCCACGGCACTAACCCCTGGCAGCCCTGCCCAGCCTCGAACCCACATGGGGACACAACCGACTCCGGGGACATGCACTCTCGGGCCCTGTGGAGGGACTGGTCCAGATGCCCACACACACACTCAGCCCAGACCCGTTCAACAAACCCCGCACTGAGGTTGGCCGGCCACACGGCCACCACACACACACGTGCACGCCTCACACACGGAGCCTCACCCGGGCGAACCGCACAGCACCCAGACCAGAGCAAGGTCCTCGCACACGTGAACACTCCTCAGACACAGGCCCCCACGAGCCCCACGCGGCACCTCAAGGCCCACGAGCCGCTCGGCAGCTTCTCCACATGCTGACCAGCTCAGACAAACCCAGCCCTCCTCTCACAAGGTGCCCCTGCAGCCGCCACACACACAGGGGAACACACGCCACGTCGCGTCCCTGGCACTGGCCCACGTCCCAATACAGCCCTTCCCTGCAGCTGGGGTCACATGAGGGGTGGGTTTCACCATCCTCCTGCCCTCTGGGGCTCAGGGAGGGACACGGGAGACGGGGAGTGGGTCCTGCTGAGGGCCAGGTCGCTATCTAGGGCCGGGTGTCTGGCTGAGCCCCAGGGCCAAAGCTGGTGCCCAGGGTGGACAGCTTCCGGGAGCTGACCTCAGGACATTGTTGGCCCATCCCGGCCGGGCCCTACATCCTGGGCCCCGCCACAGAGGGAATCACCCCCAGAGGCCCAAGCCCAGGGGGACACAGCACTGACCACCCCCTTCCTGTCCAGAGCTGCAACTGGAGGAGAGCTGTGCGGAGGCGCAGGACGGGGAGCTGGACGGGCTGTGGACGACCATCACCATCTTCATCACACTCTTCCTGCTAAGCGTGTGCTACAGTGCCACCGTCACCTTCTTCAAGGTCGGCCGCACGTTGTCCCCAGCTGTCCTTGACATTGTCCCCCATGCTGTCACACACTGTCCCTGACACTGTCCCCCACTCTCTCCACAAACTGTCCCTGACACTGTCCCCCATGCTGTACACACCTGTCCAACAGTGTCCCCCAGGCTGTCTCCACATGTCCGACACTGTCCCCCATGCTATCCCCCATCCTGACACTGTCCCCCACACTGTCCCCACCTGTCCTTGATGCTGTGCCCCACGGTCTCCCCACCTCTCCCTGATTCTGTCCCCCACGCTGTACCTGTCCCCAATGCTCTCCCCCAGCCTGTCCCCAACACTGTCCGCCATGCTGTCCCACCTTTCCCCCACACTGTCCCCCAGTCTCCGCCTGTCCCTGACGCTGTCCCACATGCGGTCCCCCATTCCTGATACTGTCCCCCATGCTGTCCCCACCTTCCCCAACACTGTACCCCACAGTCCCCACCTTCCCCAACACTGTCCCCACCTGTCCCTGACACTCCCCCATGCTGTCCCCACCTGTCCCCCACTCACCCCCCACACTGTCCCTGTCTCTGACACTGTCCCCCATGCTGTCCGCACCTGTCCCCGTCCCCCACGCTGTCCCTACCTGTCCCTGACACTGTCCCCCATGCTGTCCCCCACTTTCCCCAGCTTTCCCTGTCCCCCACGCTGTCCCTACCTGTCCCTGACACTGACCCCCATGCTGTCCGCACCTGTCCCCCACTCTCCCCACCTCTCCCTGTCACCCACGCTGTCCCTACCTGTCCCTGACACTGTCCCCCATGCTGTCCCCACCTGTCCCCCAATCTCCCCACCTCTCCCTGTCCCCCACGCTGTCCCCACCTGTCCCTGACGTTGTCTTCTGTGTTATCCACATGCTGTCACTACCATGGCTCTGCTCTCCATGTCCAGGCCTGGGGGCAGGCAGTGTAGAGCCCCGGTACCTGGGTGGCCTGAAAGGCAGATGGGCCTTGGGAGCAGGGCTGTGGCCTGGGTGGCCTGAGGGGTGGGTGGGGCTCAGGGGCAGGGCTGTGGCCTCGCTCACCCCTGTGCTGTGCCTTGCCTACAGGTGAAGTGGATCTTCTCCTCAGTGGTGGACCTGAAGCAGACCATCGTCCCCGACTACAGGAACATGATAAGGCAGGGGGCCTAGGGCCACCCTCTGCGGGGTGTCCAGGGCCGCCCAGACCCCACACACGAGCCGTGGGCCATGCTCAGCCACCACCCAGGCCACACCTGCCCCCTGACCTCACCGCCCTCAACCCCATGGCTCTCTGGCTTCGCAGTCGCCCTCTGAGCCCTGAAACGCCCCCCTTCCAGACCCTGTGCATAGCAGGTCTACCCCAGACCTCCGCTGCTTGGTGCATGCAGGGCGCTGAGGGCCAGGTGTCCCCTCAGCAGGACGTCCCTGCCCTCTGGACCACCAGGTGCTCACACAAAAGGAGGTAACCGGCATCCCAGGCCCCCACTCAGGCAGGACCTCGCCCTGGAGCCAACCCCGTCCACGCCAGCCTCCTGAACACAGGCATGGTTTCCAGATGGTGAGTGGGAGCATCAGTCGCCAAGGTAGGGAAGCCACAGCACCATCAGGCCCTGTTGGGGAGGCTTCCGAGAGCTGCGAAGGCTCACTCAGACGGCCTTCCTCCCAGCCCGCAGCCAGCCAGCCTCCATTCCGGGCACTCCCGTGAACTCCTGACATGAGGAATGAGGTTGTTCTGATTTCAAGCAAAGAACGCTGCTCTCTGGCTCCTGGGAACAGTCTCGGTGCCAGCACCACCCCTTGGCTGCCTGCCCACACTGCTGGATTCTCGGGTGGAACTGGACCCGCAGGGACAGCCAGCCCCAGAGTCCGCACTGGGGAGAGAAAGGGCCAGGCCCAGGACACTGCCACCTACCACCCACTCCAGTCCACCGAGATCACTCGGAGAAGAGCCTGGGCCATGTGGCCGCTGCAGGAGCCCCACAGTGCAAGGGTGAGGATAGCCCAAGGAAGGGCTGGGCATCTGCCCAGACAGGCCTCCCACAGAAGGCTGGTGACCAGGTCCCAGGCGGGCAAGACTCAGCCTTGGTGGGGCCTGAGGACAGAGGAGGCCCAGGAGCATCGGGGAGAGAGGTGGAGGGACACCGGGAGAGCCAGGAGCGTGGACACAGCCAGAACTCATCACAGAGGCTGGCGTCCAGTCCCGGGTCACGTGCAGCAGGAACAAGCAGCCACTCTGGGGGCACCAGGTGGAGAGGCAAGACGACAAAGAGGGTGCCCGTGTTCTTGCGAAAGCGGGGCTGCTGGCCACGAGTGCTGGACAGAGGCCCCCACGCTCTGCTGCCCCCATCACACCGTTCCGTGACTGTCACGCAGAATCCACAGACAGGAAGGGAGGCTCGAGCGGGACTGCGGCCAGCGCCTGCCTCGGCCGTCAGGGAGGACTCCCGGGCTCACTCGAAGGAGGTGTCACCATTTCAGCTTTGGCTTTTCTTCTTCTTTTAAATTTTCTAAAGCTCATTAATTGTCTTTGATGTTTCTTTTGTGATGACAATAAAATATCCTTTTTAAGTCTTGTACTTCGTGATGGGAGCCGCCTTCCTGTGTCCACGCGCCTCCTGCCCCCGGTGGGAAGCACGGTCAGGAGGAGGCTGGTCGAGCTGCACCTCGGGGGCTCCCTGCACTCGCCCCCCGCCTCCTGCAGCCACACGCATTGCCCGAGCGGCCCTCCCTGGCCCCTGTCGCTACATGGACCCCCGGGGCTTCTCCTCTTTTCTACATGGATGCAGTTTCTCCTCCTGCTGGGCACGGTGCTGCCTGCCCTGGTCACTCTGCGGGGGACAGGGCCTCCAGGGAAAGCTGGGTCGAGGCTGGGAGCTGGCTCAGGCTGGCCAGGCAGAGCCACAGGGAGGGCCTTCCAGAACCAACCATGGTCCGAAGCGAGAGGTGGGTGTCAGATCTGTGTGCGTCAGCTCAGGACCACAGCGGGGCAGCTCCCACGGCAGACATGGATCCTCCCAGGCCTAGAGACCAGGAATCTGAGATCAGGATGCAGGCAGGGCTGGTTTCTCTCAAGCCCTCTCTCCTTGGCTTGTAGACACCGTCTCCTCCCTGGTCCTCACATGGCCATCCCTCTGTGTGCCCGTGTCCTAAGCTTCTCTTCTTATAAGAACACACATCGCATTAGATTAGTGACCCCATATGAACTTAATGACCTCTGTAAAGACCCCATCTCCAAATAGTCACATTGTGAGGCCAGGGATTAAGACTTGAATATATGAATTTGTAGGGGCCACAATTTAACTCATAACAGTCCATGCTATGGCCCCCCAAATTTCATGTTCTTCTCACATGCAAAATACATTCATCTGTCTCAGCATCCCCCAAGTCTTAGTCCTTTCAGCATCAATTCTAAGCCTAAAATCTCATCAAACTGTCACCCTCATCAGGCACAGGTGAAACCTGGTGTGTGATTCATTCTATGGTAAAATTCAGCCCATAGGACACATGGTGGGTGCCAGGAACGAGGACAAGGCAGGAGAGGCAAAGGTGGAGAGAGACATTTTCAAAGATAAAGCTGGGCACTAGATCATGTAGCAAGGACGGATTTTCAACAGAAATAACTATTGCAACAGAAGAAAGAGTCCGGCATGACCTGGACTCACCTTCATCTGTGCAGAGGCCACAGCCTTGTAAAGGGAGGTGGTAGGGGGAGCAGGGTGGGTGCTCGGGGCTCAGTCGTCGGGGAAGGGAAAAGTTGCCCAGCGCTGGTCAGCGTCCCCGGGATGGGACCTGCTGTGTCCGTGCCGGCCACTGTTGAGGTCAGGATTCTGTCCTCCCAGAGCCTGGAGACACAGGCCCCATCCTTCACAAAGGGGACACTTCAGGGAGCGGCTCTCAAGTCTTGAGAAAGACCCTCCTGGGTCACAGGAAATGCACAGACATCGGGAACGGATAGAAGGACGTGTGGTTGCGGCCCTCTCAGCAGACACCCTGAGAAAGGGAGGTCGGGGTTGGTCCAAACGGTGAGTTCTGGTGCACGGAGCTTTCTCAGGCAGGTGTTGACGGGGCAGGGGTCGGCCTAGGGGTACGGCCAGAAGCTGTTAGAAACTGTTAGTGTCTGCTCAAGTCTTTACAAGCCAAGGTTGAGGCCGAGTGGAGAGGCTCCGAGGAGCCTGGCTGGAACTCAGTCAAGGACAGGGTCTTGTTACTGCAGTGGCTGCGGTGGCTGCGGTGGCTGGAAAATGCCGTCGGAGTTGCCTGTGGCAGGAGAGAGACCATCTCACCCAGGAAGGAGGAGTGGTTGGATTCGTTTGTGTGGCATCGAGCAGCTGGAGCTGCACCAAACACGGAGTTGGGGACTAAATCCCCAGACTCCAGGCCCTGCCATGCCGTGGGAAGGCTCGCCACTGGAGGGTGGGCTCCAGGGGGCCTGGCCTGAACTGGGTGCTGAAGCCCAGCCCTTTAACTCTCAGGACACGCTGCTGCAGCCCCGCGGGGGGTGAGGGAGACAGCACCTGGGGTGCAGGGCGGGCAGCTGCTGCATCACCGGCTCTATCCCAAGCCCAAGGATGGCGTCCCAGAGATGCAGGAGAGCTTTGTCCAGAGAAGGTGCCAGCCCTCAGGGACCCTGCTGGAGAGATCTCCACCCTCTGCCCTTCAAGGGGCCCTACGGGCCTCCGGGTGCCCTGGTGGGGTGGGCTCCAGTCCACTGTCTGAGGATGGACGGCCTGGCCAGGATAAGGAAAGGAAACCCAGGATGGTGCCGGGCTCCGGGTCATTCCGTGCACTGAGCAGGCTGAGTTGGGAAGAAGCAGATGCTTCCTGCAGCTCCTGCCCCTGCAGGGCCTGGCGCCTGGACCAGGTTCCCCTAGGGAAATTGGGCCCCTCCCTGAGCCACCCGGGGCCCACCGCCCCCTTTCCACCTGGGACCGAGCATCCTCCAGAGGGTCAGCCCTCCTGAGGGAACACCATGCCCAGCCCCAGGACCCTCCCTCAACTCTCCAGCAAGGCTGCACTGTGGGCGGCCCCTGCACATACCCCAGCAGTCCGTGCTGTGATGTAACATGACATGGTGTGACGTGGTGTGATGTCTCTGGTGTGACGTGGATGTCATGTGGCATGATGTGACAGGACATGGTGTGATGTTGTATGATGTGGTATGACAGTGTGATATCCGAGGGGTGATGTGATGTGGTGTGACATGTTGTAATGTCCCTGGTGTGAGGTGGTGTTGCACATGGTGGGATGTGGTGTGACATGGTGTAATGTCCCTGGTGTGAGGTGGTGTTGCACATGGTGGGATGTGGTGTGACACAGTGTGACATCCCTGGTGTGATGTGCTGTGACATAGTGTGATGGGTATGACATCCCTGGTATGATGAGCTATAATATGAAATGATGTGGAATGGTGTGACATGATGTGATGTGATGGGACAAGGTGTGACATCCCTGGTGTGATGTGGTGTGATGAAGTGTAACAGGCTGTGACATACTGTGATATGGTGTGGCATGTGACGTGGTGTGACATGTGATGTGGTGTGATGGGGTGTGACATCCCTGGTGTGATGGGGTGTGAGGTAGTTTGACGTGGTGTGATGTAATGTGATGTGGTGTGATGGGGTATGACATCTGTGGTGTGATGAGGTGTGGTGTGACATGATGTGACGTGTGACGTGCTGTGACAGGGTGCCACATCCTTGGTGTGATGTGATGCGGTGTGACATGGTGTGATGTGGCAGGATGGGGTGTGGCAGGGTACGACATCCCTAGTGTGATGATGAGTTTCATGGTGTGATGTGGCGTGACATCCCTGGCATGACATAGTGTGATGTGGTGTGACATGGTGTGACATTCCTGGTGTGACTCTGCTGTTGTGACATTTGTGGTCACCCCAGCATACAGAGGTCTCTGTGGCCAAGGGAAGGGGGAGAATGGAACGATCTGAGCAGGTTGACCTGGAGGAACTGGTGGCCCTTGAGTCCACGAAGCCCACCCTGCTAGGTGCCCCTGCCCCACGTGACCCAAGGGGGTTGCAGAGCAGCAAGCAGGACTCTGGTTAGACAGGAGGAAGGACCTGCCACCACGTGGCCTTGTGAGGAGACACAGAGCGAGCCTGTGACCTCGGCGTCCACCCAGCACAGGGTGCTGCTGAAGCCCCTCCTGTCATCTCAGCAGGGGTCCCAGGGCAAGGCCCGAGGCAGGCTGAAGAGAGGGGCAGAGTGAGGATGCTGGGGAGGCAGGGGTGAGGGGAGTGAGAGCCCAGGTTTCAGCTGAGCCCCTGCACAGGGAAGGAACCTAGCTGAACACCCATCTCCCCACACACTCCCAACCCTGCCTCTGCCCGACCACCTCCCAGAGGGCACCTCGAACCCTCTAACACCCACACTCAGCAAGGGGTATGGTGTCCCCACCGAATCCAGCCAGTGAGGCCCGGCACAGCCACGCCTGTGCCCACCACTCCCATGGCCAAGCTCCCTGCTAACATGGTAGGACAGGGCCAGGCCTGGAGGAGACAGAACATCAGTCCCATGGGGAAGCTCCCTGCTCACATGGCAGGGCAGGGCCTGGAGGAGACAGAACGCCCCATCTGGCATGGTACTCAGGCTGCACATGCCTGCCACGCACGGGGGCCACGCGACAATGCCTGCCACGCATGGGGGACATGTGATGCTGCCTGCCACGCATGGGGGACACGCAACAATGCCTGACACGCATGGGGGCCACGTGACACACACATACACACACGGGCCTCACAGGCACACGAATGTTTGCAACCCCAGCACCCACCCAGCACACTCAGGCACAGGCTCTCCAGGTGGGTCACAGCCTCACGCCTTGAGCTACTCCATGTGCCAGGCCCTTCACCCACGTTCCTGTCCCCAGTGCCAGCTGTTGAGCCACACCGTCTTCTCTGTGGATCCCTCCCAGCCCACTCAGCACAATGGACATGCTCTCTCCCGTCCAGTGACTGCACTGGCCTCCTCCCCTCAGCACCCACGTCTGGCCATCTCCCAGGAAACCCGGACCACCACGGGCAGGGACCACCTTCCTCACTATCCACATGGACCACCCCACACCTGACCCCAGATGCAGTCACACTATGTCCTGCTTCAATATTGAAAAGGGGAAAAGCTGGAGGAGGGGAAAGATGAAAGAGAAAAAAGCAAGACGGGAGAGTCACATTCTTCTGAGGCTTTGATTACATCTCACTGAGCCCCCACGTTGCATGAAAAGGAGGGGTGGAGGGAGCAATTACGCATTCGCCTTGTGCTCAGTAAATCTGCACTTTATAAGAAAATAAACAGAGTAGAGGAAGAAGTCAAATATGCATTTGTCTCAGGGGCAGGAGGGATGATTTCTTGTCTCATTTTGTCCCATGTCATGAAGACCGGGCTGTTAATTTATATTGTCAGGGTGAGGGAGGCCACCTGGGTAGACCTGGCCTATCTGCTGCTGCTCTCAGTTTGGAAACAAAAGGAAACGCATGACTTTTTTTTTTTTTCATGACTCAGCTTCCCACCTCAACTGTTCTTTTTGGCATAGTGACTTTAGGGTCCTGAGATTTTATTTTCCTTTCACAATGGTCAAGATCGCACCCTCAGTATTCAGGAGAGCTGGTCCAACCCAGACCCCTGCCGTCCCTGGACACTTTCAAATACGTGCTGCAGTCTCTGACACTCTCTCACCATCGAAGAAACTGAGGCCTTGGTGAGCCTGCAAGCCCCTGCTCATGGGGACAATGCAGGCTGAAACCCGCATTTCTGACCCCAAAGCTCCTGTTCCTTTCACTCACCCCCACACCAGCTCTTTGAGTCCAGAGCTTTGTCCTTGCCTGAGTCCTACCCTCAGGGACAGGGGCCCAACCCAGCCACCAACACATCATACCCTGAGAGGGTGCCGGGAGCCCAGAGATGTTTGGAGAGCACAGAAGCCCTGGAAGCTCTGTGGAGATGCTGCACATTTCTCTATTCAACAGATACTCACCAGGTGGCCAGCGGCAGAGATGCCACATGGCATGGAGCTCGCCTTGGCCAACAGGACAGGTGTGGGGTTGGGAGGCCTTCCCAGGGCACTCCTTGAAGCAGAGCTGTGGGGAAAAGTTGGGGCCAATCTCAGATCTCCCCGTCAACACCGGGTCTCCTGCCCTCCTGGGCCACAGAAAACTAAGCTCCGTGGATACTGCGGCTGGGTGGGGCCGTGGGGGAGAAGAAATCACAACGAGTTAAGAGATCATTTTTTAAAACTATTATGATCAGGACTCACATAAACATATGACGACACATTTCAGAGATGCTCTTTATCTCATTAATTAAGGTGTCGTAACCAGTTCAAAGTGGAATTCTAAGTACTACACTTAACATAATTGATTCAGGAATGCTAAAAGGAGTTCATAGATAGATGCAAAACTGGCCTTTTCCCTGGAAGATGAGGAGCAATTCATTGTCCTTCCAAAGGTGAGAACTTGCATTTCTACCAACTCAAAGAGTTTTTGCATTGCTATCAATTATGTACAACTTAGAGCAGTGGTCCCCAACATTTTTGGCACCAGGAACCAGTTCCATGGAAGACAATTTTTCCACAGACCAAGATCGGGGGATGTCTTGGGGACAAAGCTGTTCTACCTCAGATCATTAGGCATTAGGATTTCACGAGGAGTGTGCAACTTAGATCCCAGGAATGTGCAGCTCGCAATAGGGTTCGCTCCTATGAGAATCTAATGCTGCCACTGATCTGACGGGAGGTGGAGCTCGGGCAGGAATGCTCACACATCCCTCACCTCTTGCTCTGTGGCCCAGTTCCTAACAGGCCATGAACCGGTTCCAGTGCATGACCCAGGGGTTGGGGACCCCTGGCTTATAGAGGTGTAAAATAGTTCAAAGGAAATGAAAGATGCAGAGCTCCACAGAATGAAATAACCTGGAAGAGTGTACAAGACGATGCCTTGCTTTCCATGGAAGGCACCTAGTAATCATTTGGTCCATTTCAGTTCTTCTTAATGCTTCCTATAAACATATATAACTGACTGACACAAACAGATCCATAATATAAAGAAGACCCCTGTAAACCAATGAGAAAAAAAATCAAATAATCCAACGAGGAATAGGCAAGAGAATTGAACAGATGTTTTACAGAAGATATCCAAATAGCCACTAAACATATGAAAAGGTGTTGAACCACACTAGTCAACAGGGAAATGAAAATGAAAAACCACATGAGAGAAAGTAGTTCCGATTCCAATAATGCTGGAGCAGCTAATATCAGACTAGCCCTTTGGCAGATGGCAATTATAAACACTGGAAATGCTGTAAGCACACACAACACCCACACACACCAATTACAGGCACTGGAACATGACCAGAAGTAGGCAAACACTAGTAAGGATTATTCCCTGAAATATTCATCTGAAGTCACACCCCAGGGCATGTAATGGGTGCAGCTAGAGTTCAAGCAGGAAACTGCAGTCCTCCTGGTGAGGAGTGGGATGCAGGGCTACATTTTCAGAGCAGCTGGAAATGAAGAGAAGATGTCCATAAAGGAGAAGGTCACCGAAGGGAAACCCCACAACCTGCAGGTAAACTCCACTGAAACCTCTGGCCGATCCCTTAGGTGTGCATGGGTAGGGAAAACTCCAAAGGGTCCAGCAGAAAGCAGCACCTGTATAGTCAAGAGAACTGAGATTGCAGATACTGCCAACTCCCAGGCAGACAGACTTGGGAGTTTGAGTCAACTCAAGCTAACTGCTTGCTAACATGAAAAAAACAATTAATGCTCTGCTAAGGAAGGATGCAAACCCCATAGCCTGTACACATGTTATCAACAACATCAGGTGCACATCCAAAATTACCATGGATGCAAAGAAACATGAAAATGTGATCCAAAGTCAGAAGAAAAAGGGATCAATGGAGATCAACTCCAAGATGACCTAGATGCAGATACAGTTATCAGACAAGGACTTTAAAGAAGTTATGTTAAAAATGTTCAAAGACTTAGAGAATATGGTTATCATGAGTGACTAGATGAGGTATCTCTATAAAAAACTGAAAATAGTTACAAGAACCAAATGAAAATTCTAGAACTAAAAGTATGATTCTGAAATGAAAAACATTTGGCCAGGCCCAGTGGCTCATACCTGTAATCCTAGCACTTTGGGGGCCCAACAGGGAAGTATCACTTGATCTCAGGAGCTTGAGACCAGCCTGGGCAACGTGGTGAAACCCCATCTCTATTTTATTAAAAAAGAAAAGAAAGAGAAAAACATTACCCAAGTTTAATAACAGATTGGAGAAGACAAAAGAAGGAACTGAAAACTTAAAGATGCATCAATAGAATATATCAATTATTTTTAATCCAATCCAAAGAAAAGAGAGAAAAATACTAAAAAAGGAAAAAAGACTCATCCTGCTGGAGAAGGCGAAGCATTCTAAAACATGTGAAACTGGAGTCCAGAGGGGGATGTAATACTTCCATGGGAAAGGTCAACCCTAAGCTATATGCAAATGTACCTGCATAGGCTGGTGTGGTGGGCTGATGGCATCTCCCTGGCCAAATGTATGCCCACCTGGAACCTCAGAATGTGACCATATTTAGAAATAGGGTCTTTACAAATTAGGTTAAGGACTTGAGATGATATCATACTAAATTTTGGATGGATCCCAAGTCCAAACACTGGTGTCCTCATAAGAGGAGAGGACACAGACACACGTGGAGATAAGCCACATGATGACAAAGAAGAAGATGAGGGGTGTGTCAGGAGCCACCTGTGTTTGTCCATTTGCATTACTGTAAAGAAATACCTGAGGCTGAGTAAGTTATAAAGGAAAGAGGTTGAATTGGCTCACAGTTCTGCAGGCTGTATAGGAAGCATGGCACCAGCATCTGCTTCTGGCGAGGACCTCAGGAAACTTACAGCATAGCAGAAGGTGAAGGGACAGCAGGTATGCCACATGGCAAGAATGGGAGCAAGAGGCTGAGGGGGGCCCCAGACTTAAACAACTAGATTGTGTGTGAGCTGACTGGGGGAGAATTCACTCATCACCAAGGGGAAGATGCTCAATCATTCATGAGGGATCTTCCCCCTTGATCTAATCACCTCCTACCAGGCCCCACTTCCAACACTGGGAATCATATTGCAACATGAGATTTGGAGGGGACAAATATATAAACCATATCCTTCCACCCCTGGTCCCCCAAATCTCATGTCCTTCTCATGTTGCAAAATATAATTATGCCTTCTCAACAATCCCCCAAAGTCTTACCTCATTCCAGAATCAACCCAAAATTCCCAAGTCCCAAGTCTCATCTGAAGATGAGTCCCTTCCACCTATCAGCCTAGGAAATCAAAGACAAATTGACTCCCAAAATACAATGAGTGTGCAGACATTGGGTAAACATTCCCATTCCACAAGGGAGAAGTTGGCAAAAAGAAAGGATCTACATGCCCCATACTTGTCAGAAATCCAGCAGGGCAGTTATTAAATCTTAAAGCTCCAAGGTAATCTCCTTTGACTGCGTGTCCCATATCCAGGGCACACTGGTGCAGGGGGTGGACTCCCAAGGCCTTGGAAATCTCTACCCCTGTGGCTTTGGAGGATGTAGCCCCTGTGGCTTCTCTCACACGATAGAGTTGAGTGCCTGTGGCTTTTCCAGATTCAGGGTGCAAGCTGCCAGTGGATCCACCATTCTGGGGTCTGGAGGACAGTGGCCCCCTTCCCACAGCTCCGCTAGGCAGTGCCCTGGTGGGGACATTATATGGGGGTTCAACCCCACATTCTCTTTGGCACTGCTCTAGTAGAGGTTCTCTGTGAGGGCTCCATGCTGGCAGGAGGCTTCTGTCTGGGCAGCTAGGCTTTCTCATACATTTCTGAAATCTAGAGGGAAGATGCCAAGCTTCCTTCACTCTTGCATTCTGGGGGCCTACAGGCTTAACACCAGATGGAAGTCACCAAGGCTTATAGTGGCTTGCACTCTCCAAAGCAGCAGCCTAAGCTGTACTTGGGGCCCTTTGAGCCAAGGCTGGAGCCAGAGGAACCAGGATGTGGAGAGCAGTGTCCCAAGGCTGCACAGGCAGCAGTGGCCATGGCCATGGCCCACAAAACCATCCTTTCCCTCTTGGCCTCTGGGCCTGTGATGGGAAAGACCACCTCAGAGATTTCCAAAATGCCTTCAAGGCCTTTTTCCCTTTGTTCTGGATATGAGCACTTAGCTCCCTTTTAGTTATGCTAATCTCTCTAGCAACTGGCTGCTCCATAGCCTACTTATATTTGTCTCCTGAAAATACCTTTTCTTTTCTACCACATGGCCAGGCTGTGAATTTTCCACATTTTTTATGCTCTGCTTCCCTTTGTTGATGAAAAAAGCCAAACTCCATAAAACACTTGAAAAATTGATTCTGAGCCAAATATGAGAGCCATGAACTGTGGCACAGCCTCAAAAGGTCCTGAGAACACCTGTGCAAGGTGGTTGGGTTGCGGCCTGCTTTTATGTTTTAGGGAGACATATCAATCAATACATGTAAAGTATACATTGGTTTGATTTGGTTTGGAAAAGCAGGACAATTCAAAGTGGGGAATTCCAAATCATGGTGGATTTGAAGATTTTCTGATTGGCGATTGGCTGAAAAATTTAAATTATCTAAAAAGTTGAAGTCAGCGAAAAGCAATGCTTAAGATAAGGGGGTTGTGGAAGCCAAGGTTCTTGTTATGTAGACGAAGGCTCCACGTTCCAGAGAGAAGAGATGGTCAATGTCTCTTATCAGAACCTAAAAGGTGCCAGACTCTTGGATAAATCTCTCCTGAATCAGGAAGAGACCTGGAAAGGGAAAAAGATTCTCAACAGAATATACATTTCCTCCACAAGAGACGGCTTTGCAGGGCCCTTCCAAAATGTGTCAGAGAAACATATTCTGGCAATAAATACTTTAATTTCCTTCCATGCCTGCCACCTGTCATGTGATGCTATACCAGAGTCAGGTTGGGATTTGATACCTTATTGCTACAAAGAGTCTGCTTTGTCAGTCTTAAGCTCCCTGTTTTAATGTTAACACTGGTCAGCTGAGCCTAAGCTCCAACAGGGAGAGGGTATAGTGAGGGAGTCCAAACCACCCTCCCCTTCCTGTCATGGCCTGAACTGGTTTTCCAGGTTTCTTTGGAATCCCCTTGGTTTAGCATTTTATTTTGTCGTTTACACCTTTTAAATATAAGTTCCAACTTTCAGTCATTTCTTTGCTCCCATATCTTACCATAGACTGTTAGAAGCAACCAGGTCACACCTTAGAAACATCTGCTTAGAAATGTCTTCCACAGATGCCCTAAGTCATCACTCTTAAGGTCAAACTTCCACAGATCCCTAAGGCATGAACACAATGCAGCCAAGTTGTTTCTTAGGATTTAACAAGCGTGACCTTTACCCCAGTTCCCAATAAGTTCCTCATTTCCATCTGAGATTTCATCAGCCTGGCTTTCACAGTCCATATGTCTATCAGCATTTTGGTGACAACCATTTAATAGTCTCTAAGAAATTCCAAACTTTCCCTCATCTTCCTGTCTTCTTCTGAGTCCTCCAAATTCTTCTAACCTCTCTGCCTGTTACCTGATTCCAAAGCTGCTTCCACATTTTCAGGTATCCTTATAGCAATGTTCCACTCCTCAATACCAATGTTCTGAGTTAGTCTATTTGTGTTACTAGAAAAAAAAAAAAACATGAATCTGGTAATTTATAAAGAAAAGAGGTTTGCACCAGGCACTGTGGCAAGGAAGGGAGGATTAACTAGCTCACAGTTCTGCAGCCATTCTGGAAACACGGCCCTGGCATCTGCTTCTGGCGAGGCCTCAGGGAGATTGCAATCACGGCAGAAGGCGAAGGGGGAGCAGGCATGTCACATGGCAAGAGGGAGCAAGAGAAGAGAAGTGGCACGTCCCAGACTTTTAAACAATGAGCTGTCACAGGGACTAACTGAGGGAGAACTCGCTCATCACCTGGGAGATGGTGCTAGGCCATTCATGAGGGGTCCAGCCCCATGATCTAATCACCTCCCACCAGGCCCACCTCCAACACTGGGAATCACATCTCAACACGAAATTTGAAGAGACACACATCCAAACTATTGCACCACAGGAAGCTGGAAGAGGTGGACGGTCCTCCCCTGGAGCACTCAGAGACAGCCACCAACACCTTGATCTCAGATTCCTGACTCCCAGAACTCTGAAAAAATTTTTGTTGTTTTAAGCCACATTTGTGATATTTTGTTACGGCAGCCACAGCACGGATATAGCTGGTAACAGAGTTCTTTAGCCTCCAAAATACAAGCCTGGGGTAAATAACTATTGAATTTGGCCACATGGAAATCAGGAAGAATGTAATAAGCATCCTCGATGGATGGGATGACCTGGGAGATCGTGGCAAGTTTAAAGCTAATTGGAAGTTGGCAACCAAAAAATCCTGTCTTGCAAATTGCCAGGAAATTGCCAAGAAAACCTTTAGAAAACATGGTTAAAGATGGAGAAACCCGGATGAATCCCTGGTTTCTGAAGAGGTGCTTAGGCATTGAAGTGAGACTGACGAGACTTCACACTGTACCCTTCAGAAGGGCAGACACTCACGAGATCATCAACCACAGCTCCCTCGCTGGGAGGCAGACACAGAGCTGGAGGCGGCGGCCACAAACTAGGTGGGCAGAGAGGCGTCAGCATCGGGACTTGCAGGAGGCCCTGGGAAGGAACAGGGAGCGGTGGGGCCTGGACAGCCCTGGGGAAAGGAAGTTACTTGGAGGAGACCAGGGGCTTGCATTTGGGCCAAAACCAAGGACAAGAGATCAGCTGGTCCCAGGGAACTCTGGAGCCCAACACCCCACCACGGGTGCAGGGGCCTGACGACCCAAGAGAGGGCTGTGGGCACCGGGCACCAGCCTGTGGGGGGTCTGAAGGCTGCTGCCCAGCCACACATGTCCTGGTTCTGAACAAAGGGTTCAAGAGACACCTGGAAACCTACCCTTCTGAGAGCAGCCTCTTAGCCTCAGCTGGTATTGGCCCCTGGTCACCCCACATGCCCCGACAGTGGGGCCTGGCCTCAGAAAGGGGCCCCTCCATTTGTACTTTCTATCTGATCCTTGACACAGTGCTAACACCAAAGACCAAACCCGAATCTTGGTTCACATACTCTGCAAAGAAATGACTAAGACTAGTTCTTCCGGAGGTCAGTTTTAGAACGTTTATTCTGACTTAATTCTGCCTTATCTCTGTGCACCAAGAAAACTATCTGCACATCTGTAGTAAAATGTGAAGGTACCTTCATTTTGTTTGTATACTAAACTTTTAAGAAATACCTCACTTTTTAAAACTTGGTTTTGTGTTTTGTATGCTTATAATATTTTCCATAATAGATCATTTTAATGATAAACTCTGAATCTTCTGACAGAATGCAGATCAATGGATTCCTGGCCATCAGGGAGGCGTTGATTGCAAAGGGGCCTGGTGGAATATTTGGAGAGATTCTACATCTTCTTGCAACTGTTCATCTGGATTACGGTGGTGGTTGCATGAGTGTGCATTTGTTGAAACTCACATGTCACAGGATGGATTATACTGAATGTAAACTACACTTGTGTAAATATGACTTTTAAAACTTTAAAAAGTTGGGGGATGGTTCACTGCCCCGGCTCGAAGCCCCCTGGCCACGCTGCCTGGCCAGCCCACCCCCATCCCTGCCAGCGCTTGCCTCCAGCGTCCCAACAGCCTCCTGACCCCCTGGGCTGCTCTAAACCCTCAGGAGCGCAGCCATCTGGGATCAGCTGGATGGAGATGGGGAGCCCGAGACTCGTGCCACACCACGTCCTCCCGCCCCCACCAGCCACACGCAGACGTCAAAGCAGCACTGTCCTCGCACCCGCTGCTCCCACCCACCCTGGCATGGCCATTCCAGGCCTGGGGCAGGAAGGCAGACGCTCCCCCTGCCCCCAGACACAAGCATTCCTGCACACACCCCCAGCACACACACGCACTCCCATGCGCACACTGACACACACAGGTGTGTGCAGCTGAGACACAGCCCGTTCCCAGGAAGCCCAGCCCCCATCACTGAGGGAAAGGGGCAGCACCGTAGGGCCACAGGAGTGGCAGCTGGACACAGAGCCAGGCGCTGGCGAAGGCCCAGGCCACTGAGGCAGGCTGCCGGCATGGCTGGGCGTGAAGGCCAGAACAGGGCAGGAGGGGCTGGGGGCACTATGCCTATTGGGCCTAGGTGGGCACACGCCGGGCAGGAGAGGAACAGCCCGGCCCCTCAGACAGGAAGGGGTGGGGGCAGGGGCCATTTCTGGAGGCCAGGGCAGGGCCAGCACCCCAAGGAAAAGCAGAGCAGGGTGAGAACGGACATGGGGCTCAGAGCTGAGCAGGCCTGCTGGGCCCCAGGAGGGAGACACAGACGACTGGGGATCTCAAGGCTGGCAGAGGCCAGAGATGGAGCCCCAGCTGGGATGCCAACCTCCTTCCTGGGGGCTCACCCTGCCCGGCCCCTCCAGCCCAGCACAGCTTGGGGCATTGGATAGAACCGGGAGAGAGCCGACCAGGCACTGAGGCCCCTGCCCCAAATGCCCACAGCCTGGGGAAAATGAGCAGGTACATGGGAGGGGCAAGTGGAGCCCCAGGCACACCCACACAGTGCACACAGCCTCACCGGGGCCCGGGAAGTGGGGGAACAGGAGGCTCACCACCCCTGCTGTGGTTTCTCTCAGAATCATGGGTCCTTCCAGGGAACTCAGCATTTTCCCCTCAGCCTCCCACACGGCACCTTTCTCCAGGGCCACAAGCAGGGCATGGGGGCCTTGGACAGCCTGGGAACACTCACCCCCAGCCTGCGTTCCCTGAGCCTCACATCATAGCCCTCCAGGGCCCTGGCAGCCAGCAGCCCTTCTGGTGTCTTCCACACGTGGTGAGCATCTCTCTGAGGGCACCAGGCCCGACAGCCCCTCTCCCTCCACAGGACAACCAGCCCTGGGCACCCAGGGTCCCAGGGGCAGGTCCCAGTGTCTCCCTCCCCAAAGATTCTATACAACCCACCCCTCCCCAGTGGCCACTCCATGCATGCTGGCCTCCAGGGGACAGGCAGGCCAATGGTGTGAAGGAAATTATCTCGCTCAGAGCAGAGCACTGGGTGCAACCAGGGACGAATGCCATGGGCGCCTCCAGGAAGGCCACCGAGCCCGAGCCCAGCCTTCTCCATGTGCCCACGCCCACCCATGGCATAGACGGGGCACAGTGTCCCCAGCCTCCAGCAGCTTCAAGGACCTTGCAGAGCCACCAGCCACCTCCGCACAGCTCCCTGCCAGCCCCCAGCCAGGCCCCAGCCTTCATGTGCTCGCCTTGAGGAGCAGCCCAGCTTGGGACCCCCGGCTGCAGGACAGTGACCTGGGAGTGAGTACAAGGTGAGGCCACCACTCAGGGTGCCAGCTCCAAGCGGGTCACAGGGACGAGGGCTGCGGCCATCAGGAGGCCCTGCACACACATCTGGGACACGCGGCCCCCGAGGGCCAGTTCACCTCAGTGCGCCTCATTCTCCTGCACAAAAGCGCCCCCATCCTTTCTTCACAAGGCTTTCGTGGAAGCAGAGGCGTCGATGCCCAGTACCCTCTCCCTTTCCCAGGCAACGGGACCCCAAGTTTGCTGACTGGGACCACCAAGCCACGCATGCGTCAAGAGTGAGAGTCCGGGACCTAGGCAGGGGCCCTGGGGTTGGGCCTGAGAGAGAAGAGAACCTCCCCCAGCACTCGGTGTGCATCGGTAGTGAAGGAGCCTCACCTGACCCCCGCTGTTGCTCAATCGACTTCCCAAGAACAGAGAGAAAAGGGAACTTCCAGGGCGGCCCGGGCCTCCGGGGGTTCCCACCCCATTTTTAGCTGAAAGCACTGAGGCAGAGCTCCCCCTACCCAGGCTCCACTGCCCGGCACAGAAATAACAACCACGGTTACTGATCATCTGGGAGCTGTCCAGGAACCCGACAGGGAGCCGGACGGGCCACACCATCCACAGGCACCAAATGGACGACCCGGCGCTTCAGGTATCCCAGCCCACCGGGAGCCCCAATCGAGGGGCCGGCCCAGGCAGCTGTGAGGGAGAGGCTGCCTGGGCCCCTGACAGCGAGGGGACTCCTGGGCCACCCTCACAGCATCAACCAAGCTTCTTGGTCACTGCGTGGACTCTAGGCATCCCTTCCCTGCATGGGGACACAGGAAAGCTAGAAACAGCCTAACGCCGACCTGGAGAAGGCAGGGGGCTGGGAATCTTGGCTGGGCCCAAGACCAAGAAGGTCAGAGACCCCACGCTGGGCAGGGCTAGGCTGGGTGCAGACTGCCTGCCACCCCTAGGACAGGGACAGCCAACCCAGAGCTGGAAGGGAGGGTGGGGAGGCGGCAGCAGGGAGCTGTCCTGAGCTCCACTGCGCAACTGGCTGATCTTGGCAAGTCCGAGCTGGGCGGACTGAGGGGGGCTTGGCTGAGTGGACTAGACTGAGACGGGCCTAACAGACTGAGCTGAGGCGAGCTGGGTGGGCTGAGAGGGCTACCCTGTCCCTTAGAGGACAGGTGGCCAAGCTGGGCTGTCCTGAGCCAGGGCGATCGGGGCTGGCCCGGGCCAGGCGGGTTTAGCTGAGTTGAGTGAGTGGACTGGGTAGAGGGAAATGAGCTAGGCTCAGCTGAGCTAGGCTTGAGCTGGGTTATCCTAAGCCCTAAGGTGGACTGAGCTGGGCTGAGCTGGACTTATCTGGGGGGCAGGGCAAAGTCAGGCTGAGCTGAGGTGGCCTGCCCTGGGTGGTCCAGGATTGAGTTAAGCTGAATTAGGCTGACCTGGACTTGACTGGACTTGGTTGAAATAAGCTGGGCCGACACAGGAGTAGGGACAAGCTACAGTTCTCTACTTAGGATAAAATGGGTGCTCGTGGACTATCCGGGCTGAAGGAGACCAAGCTGGGGTATTACCTGCTGAGCTTACCTGACCTGGCCTGAGTTCAGCAGGGCTGCGCTGAGCTGGACAGACCTGAGCCAAGCTTAGCTGGTTGGGCTGAGTAAGCTGGGCTGAGCTAAATGGGATTGAGCTGAGGAGGGCTAGGCTGGGGGAGAGACCTGACGACGGACAGGGTTAAAAGCTGGAGTGAGCAGGCCTTAAATTATTGAACTAAATTGGGCTGGGGTGATCTGAATTTAGCTGGGATGAGCTGGGCTGGGCTGAACTGTGCCCACGTGAACTGGGCTAAACTAGGCTCGCCTGAGTGGACTCAGCTGGGTTGGTCTCAACTGGGTTCAGCTGGGCTGGGCTGAGCTAGGTTAGACTGGGGAAGGCTGGGCTGGGTTGGGCTGGGTTGGGCTGGGCTGCTCTAGGCTAAGCTAACCTAACCTAACCTGGGTTCAGCTGGCCTAGGTTGGGCTGGGTTGGGCTAAACTGGGTTCAGCTGAGATATGCTAATATGGGCTGGGCTGGGTCAGGTTGAGGTTAACTGAACTGGGCTGACCTGGGCTGAGCTCAACTGAGTTCACATGGGCTGGGCTGGCCTGGCCTGGCCTAAACTGGGTTTGGCTGGGCTGGGCCAACTGGACTGAGGTGGATGGAGCTGGGCTGAGCTGGCCTGGCCGGGCCTGAGCTGTGATTGGAAGACCTGGGCTGAGCTGGACAGACCTGAGCCAAGCTTAGCTAGTTGGGCTGACTAAGCTGGTTTGGGCTAAACTGGGTTGAGCTGGGGAGGACTAGGCTGGGTGAGTGACCTGAGATGGACAGGGTTATAAGAAGCTGGACTGAGCTGGGCTTGGATTATTGAACCGAATTGGGTTGGGGTGATTTAAACTGAGTTCTGCTGGGATAAGCTGATCTACGCTGGGCTGAACTGAGCAGAGCTGAACCTAGCTGGGCTGGGCTAAACTGGGCTAGCCTGAGTGGGCTGAACTGGGCTGCTGGGCTGGACTGGGTAAGCTGGGCTGAGCTGGGTTGGGTGGAAATGGGCTGAGCTGAGCTAGGCTAAACTGGGTTTGGCTGGGCTGGGCTGGGCTGGGCTGGGTTCAGCTGAGCGGGGTTGGGTTAGACTGGGTCAAACTGGTTCAGCTGAGATGGGCTGATATGAGCTGGGCTGGGCCAGGCTGAGCTCAGCTAAACTGGGCAGTGCTGGACTGGGCTGAGCTAGACTGGGCAACTGTATTCAGCTGGGCTGGCCTGGCCTCGGCTAAACTGGGTTCAGCTGGGCTGGGCTGAGCAGGCCTGAGCAGGATTAGTTGAGCTGGTCGTAACTGGATTTAACTAGCTAGGCTAGGCTTAACTGACTAAGCTGATCTGGACTGTATTCATCTGGATGAAGCTGGGGTGAGGTGGCTACTTTAGGTCCAGCTTTGCTGAGCTAAACTGGACCGGGCTAAATTGATCTGGACTGACCATTCTCACCTGGCTAAGAGGAGCTGAGTCAGAAGCAAGCTGGTTGAGCTGGCTGGACTGAAATAAGAGTTTGCTGCCTGCAAGGGGAGGTCCTGGGCTGACCTGGGCCAGGCTGAACCAGGCTGGCTTAGAGTGAACTTCAGAGGGCGACTCCCCCGGTAGGCCAGTCTCAGCTGAACTTGGCTGTCCCGGTGGGCAGAGCGGGGCTGGATACTGTGATTTTGGGGGTACCTAGAGCAGACTTCAAGACCAAGCTAAACTGGGCTCCAGGGGCAGGATGGGCTGGGGACTTGGGACTCCAGGCCAGGGGCGAAGGGCCACGCTGTACAGACCGCACTATCTGGGCCAGGGTTCTGTGGTGGGAGGGACTGACTGCCTGGGGCATCAGGGCAAGTCTTCCCGCCCTCCCCTAGAGGTCAGGGGTGGGCAGAGCACCATGGGGGTCTGGCAGGTCAGGTGAGGGCTGCTGTGATGGGGAGATCCAGGCTTGGCACTCAAGAGCCCGAGGAGCTGAGACCACAGCCTTGGGGGGTTGGGGTCAGGGTTGGAGGGCAGGCAGACCATCCACCATGAGCCCAGAGAGAGTTTGAAGGGGGAGGGCTCTGGGGTCCCAGGCCCCATGGGGTCCCTGGGTTTCAGCCTAGGGGCATGGCCCAGTGTCTCTGCTCCTGAGTGCCCACCGTGCAGCACTTGCAGGGGGAGGCTGGGGTCATCCTGGAGGCACCCCCCTTCCTGAGCCCAGCCTGATGATAGTGGCTGAGCAACAGCTTCTGGTGGGGGAATGGGGGCCCTGGGAGCCGCCCTGGGCCTGGGGATTGTGGGGAAAAAGGCCCAGAATGAGCCTGGCCATCTGGATCCCTGCCACGGGGTCCCCAGCTCCCCCATCCAGGCCCCCCAGGCCTGATGGGCGCTGGCCTGAGGCTGGCACTGACTAGGTTCTGTCCTCACAGCCTCCACACAGAGCCCATCCGTCTTCCCCTTGACCCGCTGCTGCAAAAACATTCCCTCCAATGCCACCTCCGTGACTCTGGGCTGCCTGGCCACGGGCTACTTCCCGGAGCCGGTGATGGTGACCTGGGACACAGGCTCCCTCAACGGGACAACTATGACCTTACCAGCCACCACCCTCACGCTCTCTGGTCACTATGCCACCATCAGCTTGCTGACCGTCTCGGGTGCGTGGGCCAAGCAGATGTTCACCTGCCGTGTGGCACACACTCCATCGTCCACAGACTGGGTCGACAACAAAACCTTCAGCGGTAAGAGAGGGCCAAGCTCAGAGACCACAGTTCCCAGGAGTGCCAGGCTGAGGGCTGGCAGAGTGGGCAGGGGTTGAGGGGGTGGGTGGGCTCAAACGTGGGAACACCCAGCATGCCTGGGGACCCGGGCCAGGACGTGGGGGCAAGAGGAGGGCACACAGAGCTCAGAGAGGCCAACAACCCTCATGACCACCAGCTCTCCCCCAGTCTGCTCCAGGGACTTCACCCCGCCCACCGTGAAGATCTTACAGTCGTCCTGCGACGGCGGCGGGCACTTCCCCCCGACCATCCAGCTCCTGTGCCTCGTCTCTGGGTACACCCCAGGGACTATCAACATCACCTGGCTGGAGGACGGGCAGGTCATGGACGTGGACTTGTCCACCGCCTCTACCACGCAGGAGGGTGAGCTGGCCTCCACACAAAGCGAGCTCACCCTCAGCCAGAAGCACTGGCTGTCAGACCGCACCTACACCTGCCAGGTCACCTATCAAGGTCACACCTTTGAGGACAGCACCAAGAAGTGTGCAGGTACGTTCCCACCTGCCCTGGTGGCCGCCACGGAGGCCAGAGAAGAGGGGCGGGTGGGCCTCACACAGCCCTCCGGTGTACCACAGATTCCAACCCGAGAGGGGTGAGCGCCTACCTAAGCCGGCCCAGCCCGTTCGACCTGTTCATCCGCAAGTCGCCCACGATCACCTGTCTGGTGGTGGACCTGGCACCCAGCAAGGGGACCGTGAACCTGACCTGGTCCCGGGCCAGTGGGAAGCCTGTGAACCACTCCACCAGAAAGGAGGAGAAGCAGCGCAATGGCACGTTAACCGTCACGTCCACCCTGCCGGTGGGCACCCGAGACTGGATCGAGGGGGAGACCTACCAGTGCAGGGTGACCCACCCCCACCTGCCCAGGGCCCTCATGCGGTCCACGACCAAGACCAGCGGTGAGCCATGGGCAGGCCGGGGTCGTGGGGGAAGGGAGGGAGCGAGTGAGCGGGGCCCGGGCTGACCCCACGTCTGGCCACAGGCCCGCGTGCTGCCCCGGAAGTCTATGCGTTTGCGACGCCGGAGTGGCCGGGGAGCCGGGACAAGCGCACCCTCGCCTGCCTGATCCAGAACTTCATGCCTGAGGACATCTCGGTGCAGTGGCTGCACAACGAGGTGCAGCTCCCGGACGCCCGGCACAGCACGACGCAGCCCCGCAAGACCAAGGGCTCCGGCTTCTTCGTCTTCAGCCGCCTGGAGGTGACCAGGGCCGAATGGGAGCAGAAAGATGAGTTCATCTGCCGTGCAGTCCATGAGGCAGCGAGCCCCTCACAGACCGTCCAGCGAGCGGTGTCTGTAAATCCCGGTAAATGACGTACTCCTGCCTCCCTCCCTCCCAGGGCTCCATCCAGCTGTGCAGTGGGGAGGACTGGCCAGACCTTCTGTCCACTGTTGCAATGACCCCAGGAAGCTACCCCCAATAAACTGTGCCTGCTCAGAGCCCCAGGTACACCCATTCTTGGGAGCGGGCAGGGCTGTGGGCAGGTGCATCTTGGCACAGAGGAATGGGCCCCCCAGGAGGGGCAGTGGGAGGAGGTGGGCAGGGCTGAGTCCCCCCAGGAGAGGCGGTGGGAGGAGGTGGGCAGGGCTGAGGTGCCACTCATCCATCTGCCTTCGTGTCAGGGTTATTTGTCAAACAGCATATCTGCAGGGACTCATCACAGCTACCCCGGGCCCTCTCTGCCCCCACTCTGGGTCTACCCCCTCCAAGGAGTCCAAAGACCCAGGGGAGGTCCTCAGGGAAGGGGCAAGGGAGCCCCCACAGCCCTCTCTCTTGGGGGCTTGGCTTCTACCCCCCTGGACAGGAGCCCCTGCACCCCCAGGTATAGATGGGCACACAGGCCCCTCCAGGTGGAAAAACAGCCCTAAGTGAAACCCCCACACAGACACACACGACCCGACAGCCCTCGCCCAAGTCTGTGCCACTGGCGTTCGCCTCTCTGCCCTGTCCCGCCTTGCCGAGTCCTGGCCCCAGCACCGGGGCCGGTGGAGCCGAGCCCACTCACACCCCGCAGCCTCCGCCACCCTGCCCTGTGGGCACACCAGGCCCAGGTCAGCAGCCAGGCCCCCTCTCCTACTGCCCCCCACCGCCCCTTGGTCCATCCTGAATCGGCCTCCAGGGGATCGCCAGCCTCACACACCCAGTCTCGCCCACTCACGCCTCACTCAAGGCACAGCTGTGCACACACTAGGCCCCATAGCAACTCCACAGCACCCTGTACCACCACCAGGGCGCCATAGACACCCCACACGTGGTCACACGTGGCCCACACTCCGCCTCTCACGCTGCCTCCAGCCAGGCTACTGCCAAGCCCTTCCTCTGAGCCATACCTGGGCCGCTGGATCCCAGAGAGAAATGGAGAGGCCCTCACGTGGTGTCCTCCAGTCCAACCCTCCCTGTCACCCTGTCAGCAGCACCCCACAGCCAAACACAGGATGGATGCGTGGGCTCCATCCCCCACTCACCCACACCGGAACCCCAGAGCAGGCTACGTGCCCCTCACAGACCTCAAACCCACATGTGCATCTGACACCCCAGATCCAAACGCTCCCCCCGGTCATGCACACCAAGGGCACAGCACCCACCAAATCCACACGGAAACACGGGCACCGGGCACCCCATGAGCACAAAGCCCCTCCATGTCTGAAGACAGTCCCTGCACACCGTCACAGCCATACATTCAGCTTCACTCTCACGTCCCAGCCCACCTGCACCCAGCTCTGGGCCTGGAGCAGCAGAAAGAGGTGTGAGGGCCCGAGGCGGGACCTGCACCTGCTGATGACCCGGGACCAGCAGGCAGCTCACGGTGTTGGGGAAGGGAGTGGAGGGCACCCAGGGCAGGAGCCAGAGGGACCAGGCTGGTGGGCGGGGCCGGGCCGGGGTAGGGCCAGGAGGCAGCTCTGGACACCCACAGGCCTGGGCTCATAGTCCACACCAGGACAGCCCCTCAGAGCACCCATGCAGTGAGTCCCAGGTCTTGGGAGCCAGGCCGCAGAGCTCACGCATCCTTCCGAGGGCCCTGAGTGAGGCGGCCACTGCTGTGCCGAGGGGTTGGGTCCTTCTCTGGGGAGGGCGTGGGGTCTAGAGAGGCGGAGTGGAGGTAACCAGAGGTCAGGAGAGAAGCCGTAAGGAACAGAGGGAAAATGGGGCCAGAGTCGGGGCGCAGGGACGAGAGGTCAGGAGTGGTCGGCCTGGCCCTGGGCCGTTGACTGACTCGGGACCTGGGTGCCCACCCTCAGGGCTGGCTGGCGGCTCCGCGCAGTCCCAGAGGGCCCCGGATAGGGTGCTCTGCCACTCCGGACAGCAGCAGGGACTGCCGAGAGCAGCAGGAGGCTCTGTCCCCCACCCCCGCTGCCACTGTGGAGCCGGGAGGGCTGACTGGCCAGGTCCCCCAGAGCTGGACGTGTGCGTGGAGGAGGCCGAGGGCGAGGCGCCGTGGACGTGGACCGGCCTCTGCATCTTCGCCGCACTCTTCCTGCTCAGCGTGAGCTACAGCGCCGCCCTCACGCTCCTCATGGTGGGCACCCACCTCCAGGGGCCCAGCCAGGGCAGGGGGTTGGGCAGAGCCAGCAGAGCGCCCTGACCCACGCCCTCCCCTCAGGTGCAGCGGTTCCTCTCAGCCACGCGGCAGGGGAGGCCCCAGACCTCCCTCGACTACACCAACGTCCTCCAGCCCCACGCCTAGGCCGCGGGCCACTCACGCTCCACCAGGCCCAGCTTTTTCTCTGCCAGCGCCTGAGCCTCCCTCGGGCTGCACCCTGCCCTGGGTGGGAAAAGGGAAGCAGACAAGAAAAGGGGGCACAAGGTCACTACTGTGGGCTGATGGCCAGTGAACCTGAGCCCAGAGGGGCCGGCTCAGCCGCAAGGTTACAGGCGCCGAGAGAACCACCAGTCGCAGCCCCCACCCGAAAACCGTGTCTGTCCCTTCAACAGAGTCATCGAGGAGGGGTGGCTGCTAGCCGTTCTGAGCTCATCCCAGGCCCCTGGGTCTCCGGGTCACTCCCATTCTGACTGTACAATCACCAAAAGCCAAGGAGGGCCCGGCACCCAGCCCAGGGCACAGCTGAGTCTGCGTCCAGCCCAACACCAGCCCACGGCCTCACTCCCCAGCCTCGGTCTGACCCTTCTAGCCCTGAGATCCAAGTGCCTGGCATCCCCGTCCCCCAAGCCTCACCCAGACCTTCTTTCCCTTCACCCACCCCTCCTGCCACCCATCCACAGCCCCCATCCCTTCACCCACCCCTCCTGCCATCTATCCTCAGCCCCCATCCCTTCACCCACCCCTCCTGCCATCCATCCACAGCCCCCATCCCTTCACCCACCCCTCCTGCCATCTATCCTCAGCCCCCATCCCTTCACCCACCCCTCCTGCCATCTATCCTCAGCCCCCATCCCTTCACCCACCCCTCCTGCCATCCACCTGCAGCCCCCATTTCTGCAGCCTGAAGGCACAGGGAAGCCCTCTGAGGCCAGGCCACAGGACAGTTGAGGGCTTCGGGCCCCTGGAGTGGGTAGAGGGGCTCCCACAGCCAGAGAAGGGGTTTCCTGCAGGGACAGCAGCTGCCGACCTCGTCCCTATGACCTCGTCCAGCCTCTGGCTTCAGCAGTCCTACTTCTTTCTCTCTGGGTTTCTTAGTAAAGATCCTTTTCACAAACCCCACGTCTCCAGAGGGCTCTGTGGGAGGTGTGTGTGGCCCTGGAGTGGCTGGCGGGAGGCAGGACCCCTGAGGACGTGCAGGAGGAGCCAGAGGGGAAGGAAGGGCAGGGGCCATTCTGGGGTCCTGAGAGCCAAAGTGCCCAAGCAGTGGTTCCCATCAATCACCCCTCAGCACCCCAGAGACTCCCCAGCTCGGCCCTGTCATACCTGGTCTGCTGGTCTCCAGCCCAGACTCATGCCTCCTTCTCAGGTAAAGTCAAAGCAACAATCAACATCGACCCCTTTGTGGGCAAAACCAGAAGAGGCCCATGCTGTGGTCAGCACAGGAGGCCCCAAGAATGCAGCTGCACAGTCACCAAGGTGGAGGCTGATGGGGGCCCCCAGGACCACTGGCCACACACCCTGATCCAGCACCCACTGAGCACAGACAAAGCTGACTCCCCAGCCCACAGCCGCCCACCAGCCTGGACCTCCTGAAGAGCTGAGAGGTGACCCAGGAGCAGGCTGGGGCCCCAGAGCCATCGGGGCCACAGGTGGGCTTGACCCACACCAGTCCTCAGGGCAAATGTGCAGCCTCCCTGGCTGGAGAGGCCTGCTTACAAGGGTCTCCACAACATCCTAAAAATGGGAGAGAACGCATGATAGGCATGACAAAGGGCAGGGTTCCCTCATATACAAAGAGCACTCAGAGATCACTAAGAAGAAAGGTGAGCAATAGGTTCTTCATGGAAAGGAAAAACCCAGTGGCCGATAATATAAAGAAACCATTTTAACAATGAGAAAAGTGAAAGGAAGGAGGAGGGGATGAAGGGGGTGGAGGTGCTTCTTGGCCCTGACTGAGGGCACGTAAATCATTAAGACCACTTTTTAGGGCCAGTTGGCAAAATGCCCCAATGCAGGAGAGTCCTCTCACAGTGATGGCCCCACAGGGAGAGCCTCGCTCTGTGCCAGGAGAGCCACGTCACATGGAGTCTGGCACAAAGCGGAATGAAGCAAGCCTGCCTCAGTCTGACAGCGGCACCTGGGCCCTCCGCCCTGTCCTCTGCTGCGACCTCGGAGCAGCCGGGCACGGGGGAGAAGGTGAGGAGCGACGGCTCCCTACGGGGTAGAAAACCCCAAAGCGGGCAGCGCTGAGGCCGACTGGGTCCAAACAACACCAGAGGAGGGGGCGTCGCAGGACAGGGCCAAGGCCACAGCCGCTGCCCAGCTCCCCTCACACACTCCCTCATTCACAGACACACACGCAGGCACACACTCGCACATGCAAAAACACACAGGTTCACACACACAGACTCAACCTCTCATACACATTTGCACTCACACACACCAATCATGCACTCACACAGGCTGACACGCTCGGGCACGCTCATACCAACACACACACAGTCTCAGGAAGCCAGGCCCTCCATCCACCCCATCACCAGCCCAGGGTGTCGCAAACCCACATCTCCTACAACAGACCGGCCCTCCGCAGCCAAGGTGCCCCGGCCCGGGAGCCCCCCCGGGGGACAGAGCTCAGTGACTTTCTCTGCCCCGCACCCTAGATCATGAGACCTCCATGGCCCCAGAGCAAGGGCAAGGAGTCAGCTCACTGCCCCACTGTGTGGCAGGCGTCCTCACGCACAGAAAATTCCATCGCCTCAAAGGCCTGAGAGGAAGACCAGATGAGCACCCACGTAGAGGAGACAGACGGGGCCCGTGGGGAGGGGCAGAGGCCCGGATTCACACCCAGGCTCGGAACAGCGCCCCTGCCTTCCACATGGCCTGGCCTCCCGGGAGCAAGAGGATGCCGCCTCAGGGCCTCTCCATCCCCCTCTTCATTCCCCTATTAACCCACCCGTGGGTACAACCATGGCCCCCAAAAGATAGAGCCACATCCTAGCCCCTGGGGCCATTGAGTGCGGCATTATTTGTCAAAAGGGCCTTTGCAGATCCCATCAAGATAAGGATTTCGAGGTGAGGGCACCCTGGATTGTCAAGGATTTCGAGGTGAGGGCGCCCTGGATTGTCAAGGATTTCGAGGTGAGGGCGCCCTGGATTGTCAAGGATTTCGAGGTGAGGGCGCCCTGGATTGTCAAGGATTTCGAGGTGAGGGCGCCCTGGATTGTCAAGGATTTCGAGGTGAGGGAACCCTGGATTGTCAAGGATTTCGAGGTGAGGGCGCCCTGGATTGTCAAGGATTTCGAGGTGAGGGCGCCCTGGATTGTCAAGGATTTCGAGGTGAAGGAACCCTGGATTGTCAAGGATTTCGAGGTCAGGGCACCCTGGATTGTCAAGGATTTCGAGGTGAAGGAACCCTGGATTGTCAAGGATTTCGAGGTGAGGGCACCCTGGATTGTCAAGGATTTCGAGGTGAGGGAACCCTGGATTGTCAAGGATTTCGAGGTGAGGGCGCCCTGGATTGTCAAGGATTTCGAGGTGAGGGCGCCCTGGATTGTCAAGGATTTCGAGGTGAAGGAACCCTGGATTGTCAAGGATTTCGAGGTGAAGGAACCCTGGATTGTCAAGGATTTCGAGGTGAAGGAACCCTGGATTGTCAAGGATTTCGAGGTGAAGGAACCCTGGATTGTCAAGGATTTCGAGGTGAGGGCACCCTGGATTGTCAAGGATTTCGAGGTGAGGGCGCCCTGGATTGTCAAGGATTTCGAGGTGAGGGAGCCCTGGATTGTCAAGGATTTCGAGGTGAGGGCACCCTGGATTGTCAAGGATTTCGAGGTGAGGGCACCCTGGATTGTCAAGGATTTCGAGGTGAGGGCGCCCTGGATTGTCAAGGATTTCGAGGTGAGGGCGCCCTGGATTGTCAAGGATTTCGAGGTGAGGGCGCCCTGGATTGTCAAGGATTTCGAGGTGAAGGACACCCTGGATTATCGAGGGGGCTAGGTCCGAGGACAAGTGTCCTAGCTGGAGACAGACGAGGAGACACAGGGATGGGGAGAGGCAGAGGCAGACAGGGGTGGTGCTATGGTCTGAGGGTCTGTGTCTGCCCGAAACTCCTGTGTGACAGCCGTCATCCCAGAGTGAGAGCATGCAGAGCTGGGGCCTCGGGGAGGTGGTTAGGGCCTGAGGGGGAACACTCAAAAATGTGACTCGGTCCCTGATCTCACTAGAGACCCAAAAGAAAAGGGACCCCAGAGAGCAGCCCTGCCCTCTTTCCACCATGTGAGGACGCAGCGAAAAGATGGGGGTCTGTGAACCAGGAATCGGCCCTTCCTGGAACTTGACCCTGCTGCCATCCTGACCTTGAACTTCCAGCTTCCCTGAGAAATGAATGTTGCTGCTGAACCCACCAGTCTATGGTATTTTTGTTATTGCAGCCAGAAATGACTAAGACGCAGCAGCCACGTCCCCCTGGCGAGGGCCGGGGGCATCCCAAGGTTCATAACAAAAGCTCCAGAGCTTCCCTGAACCGCCAGGTGTGTCTTCCCAGGACCCTGGGGCAGCCCCAGGCTACCTCCCTCCTCCTCTGGCCCCACCTGCCCTGATCCGGCCTCACTGTCACTCCCTGGATTTCACCCGACAGCCTCCGCCGGGGTGGCCCGGCCCCATGGCCAGGGCATCTTCCATTCACGCCCACGCTTTCCAGGACTCCGCTGCAGCAGCTCCTCTGTGAAGCGCCTCTGGCCTCCCATTGCCGGTGCCACCCGAGCCCCCAGACATAGCTGGCCTCCCCCGACTCCAGGGCCAGCATCGCTGGCGGGATCTCTCCAACGCAACGGCCAGCTCTCTGGTGACCCACAGTAGGAGTGCCACCTGGGCAGTGCTGGACAGGGTAGAGCAGGCACCTTGGCCGCCCTGACCCGCAGGGCTGCAGGCTAGGAGACGGGGTGCCCCCATGCCCCCACCCTGGGCTGCAGTCTGGGGCCCCCAGCGGCCCGTGGGGCAGGCCGAGGGAGGCCAGGCCCGAGTGGCTCCAACCCAGCAGCGCAAGACTCACTCTCCCCAGCCTGATGCCCGCCCTGTGGCCCCAAGGCCCCTTCAACGGGAGTCCACTCACAGGCGCCCTTCCCCTGCGGGTGGTCGGGGACCCTCTCTGGCCCTGTGTCTCCCCTTTGCCATCTCTGTCTCGGGGTCTCTGAGCCTCTAACTGTGTCTGTTCCTGTTTCCCTGCAGCGTGGCCCCCACCCCGCCCTGTGGAGCCATGTGGAGCCGTGAGGCTCCACGGCCGGTGGGGTCACAGAGCCCTGGCCACACACACCTGGCCCCACCACAGCCAGACCACAGGCCAGACATGACGTGGAGCCGCGCGGCCGTGTCTGCTGGGGCAGGAAGTGGGCGAGTGACCCCGTCTGTAGGCCAGACGTACGGGCATGCAGGCCCTCCCCTCCAGCCCCTCAGCATCCAGCCACATCTGTGGACACAGCCAGCGCGGCGGAGCAGGGCTCTGCTAAGGACAGACGGCCATCAAGGCAGGACCTGGGCCGGGCCAGGGCTCCCTCCCCACAGCAGCCCTCTTGGCAGGCAGCCAGACGCCCGTGAGGGTGGACCTGCCATGAGGGCCTGCACGCCGGAGGCCGCCCACTCAGCACTGCGGGCCCTCCAGCAGCCTGACCAGGTGGGTCTTGGAGGTCTCCAGGCCTCCGTCTCCTCCTCTGCACATTGAGGAGTCCAGCCAGGCTGGTCCTGGCCCCTTCTGGAAGCAAAAGGTGGAGAACAGGCACCAAGACAAGAGGGAAGGACAAAAGAGGTCACCACAGGGACTCCGGAACCACAGGGCAGGGCTTCCTAACCAGGCAGGAAGGATCTGGGCACTGGGGGCTGAGCCAGGCTGGCCAGGCCTAAGCTGGGATGACCCGGCCCTTCCTGGGATACAAGGTGAACAGCTTTCATGGCTGAGCTGAGGCCTAAGTTGAGCCGAGGCCTAGGCTGAGCCGAGCCAGAGGGCAGAGGAGAAGATGACCTGGAGCCAACTGATACACGTCCATGTGGGCTGCCCTGAGCTGCCCTGGCCTGGGCTGGGCTGAGCTAGGCTACACTGGGCTGAGCTAGGCTACACTGGACTGGGCTGAGCTGAACTGAGCTGAGCTGGGCTGAGCTGGGCTGGGCTAGGCTGGGCTGAGCTGGGCTGGGCTGAGCTGAGCTGGAGCTGGGGCTGAGGTGGACTGGGCTGGGCTGGGCTGGGCTGAGCTGGGCTGAGCTGAGCTGGACTGAGCTGGGCTGGGCTGGGCTAGGCTGGGCTGGGCTGGGCTGGGCTGGGCTGGGCTGGGCTAGGCTGGGCTGGGCTGGACTGGGCTGGGCTAGATTGGGCTGGGCTGGACTGGGCTAGGCTGAGCTGGGCTGAGCTGAGCTGGACTGAGCTGGGCTGGGCTGGGCTGGGCTGGGCTGGGCTGGGCTGGGCTAGATTGGGCTGGGCTGGACTGGGCTAGGCTGAGCTGGGCTGAGCTGAGCTGGACTGAGCTGGGCTGGGCTGGGCTGAGCTGGGCTGGGCTGGGCTGGGCTGGGCTGGGCTAGGCTGGGCTGGGCTGGGCTGAGCTGGGCTGAGCTGAGCTGGACTGAGCTGGGCTGGGCTGGGCTGGGCTGGGCTGGGCTGGGCTAGATTGGGCTGGGCTGGACTGGGCTAGGCTGAGCTGGGCTGAGCTGAGCTGGACTGAGCTGGGCTGGGCTGGGCTGGGCTGGGCTAGGCTGGGCTGGGCTGAGCTGGGCTGGGCTGGGCTGGGCTGAGCTGGGCTGAGCTGAGCTGGACTGAGCTGGGCTGGGCTGGGCTAGGCTGGGCTGGGCTGGGCTGGGCTGGGCTGGGCTAGGCTGGGCTGGGCTGGGCTAGATTGGGCTGGGCTGGACTGGGCTAGGCTGAGCTGGGCTGAGCTGAGCTGGACTGAGCTGGGCTGGGCTGGGCTGGGCTGGCCTGGGCTGGCCTGGGCTGGGCTGAGCTGGACTGGGCTAGACTGGGCTAGACTGGGCTGGGCTGGACTGTGCTGGGCTGGACTGTGCTGGGCTGGACTGGGCTGGGCTGGGCTGGACTGGGCTGAGCTGGGCTGGGCTAGATTGGGCTGGGCTGGACTGGGCTGGGCTGGGCTGAGCTCGGCTGGGCCCGGCTGAGCTGGGCTGAGCTAGACTGGGCTGAGCTGGACTGGGCTGGGCTGGGCTGAGCTCGGCTGGGCCGGGCTGAGCTGGGCTGAGCTAGACTGGGCTGAGCTGGGCTGAGCTGGGCTGAGCTGGGCTGTGCTGAGCTGGGCTGAGCTGAGCTGGGCTGAGCTGGACTAGGCTGGGGTGAGCTAGGCTGGGCTAGGCTGGGCTGGGCTGAGCTGGGCTGGGCTGAGCTGGGCTAAACTGGACTGGGCTAGGCTGAGCTGAGCTGAGCTGAGCTGAGCTGGACTGGGCCGGGCTGGGCTGAGCTGAGCTGGGCTAGGCTGGGCTGGGCTGGGCTGACCTGATCTGAGCTGGACTGGGCTGAACTGGGTGAGCTTAGGTGGACTGAGCTGGTCTGGGCTGAGCTGAGCTGGGCTGAGCTGGGCTGGGCTGAGCTGAGCTGGGCTGAGCTGGGCTGGGCTGAGCTGGACTGAGCTATGCTGAGCTGAGCTGGGTTGCGTTGACCTGGGCTGAGCTGGGCTGGGCTGGGTTGGACTGGGCTGGGCTGAGCTGAGCTGAGCTGGGCTGGGCTGAGCTGAGCTGGGCTGGGTTGGACTGGGCTGGGCTGGGTTGGACTGGGCTGGGCTGAGCTGAGCTGTACTGAGCTGGACTGACCTGGGCTAAGCTGAGCTGGGCTGACCTGTACTGGGCTGGGCTAGACTGGGCTGAGCTGGACTGAGCTGAGCTAGACTGGGCTGAGCTGGGTGAGCTTAGGTGGACTGAGCTGGGCTGGGCTGGGCTGAGCTGAGCTGAGCTGGGCTGGGCTGGGCTGGGATGAGCTGTACTGAGCTGCCCTGGGGTGGGCTGGGCTGAGCTGGGCTGAGCTGGGCTGGGCTGGACTGAGCTGGACTGAGCTGGACTGGCCTGGGCTGGGCTGGGCTGGATGAGCTGAGGTGGCTGCTAATGTGGGAAGGAGGCCGTGGGTTGAGTGTGACTCCACCTGCAGAGCCCTGAGCCCAGCTGTGTTCTTAGGGGTTCTGAGGGCCACGCAGCTCTGTTGCACCATGATTCTGTCTTCTCTCTTGCCCACTGCCTGAAGGAAATTTGGAGTGGGCTGGGCCCAGAGCTCCCCTGGGTAACAGGCCCTGTCCTGGAGGGCCTGGCAGGGACATGGCTTAGCCTGTTGGCCTCTAGTCCCGAGACCTCATAGGCCACAGGGGTCCACTGTGGCTTGTTTGGGCCTGGGGTGGGGCTCATGGAGTGGTGGGTGTTGGACTGAGACTCTGACCAGGGACAGGGGGATGGGGTCACAGCCAAGCCACTCCACCCCTACCCCATGCACACAGCACTCAGAGCCCAGGCCCCCTCCTCAGAGCCCCCACCAAAATCCTCTCTAGGGGCAGGGGAAAGAGCAAGATATGTCCCCCACCCAGAGCAGGAACTGGGGTCAGGGAGCTCAGGGGACTCAGCCACTCCATGGCAGAGCCCTGTTTAATATAACTTGTGTCTGGGATGGCCTGGGTCAGAGGCCCTATCTAAGGAGCATGTTCAGAAACTGTGTCGCTGGGATGAGACAGCTGGGTCCAACCGCAGGCCCATGGTGCAGGAGCTGTGTAACCTTGGGGCTGTCACCAGGCCTCTCTGTGCTGGGTTCCTCCAGTGTAGAGGAGAGGCAGGTACAGCCTGTCCTCCTGGGGACATGGCATGAGGGCCGCGTCCTCACAGCGCATTCTGTGTTCCAGCATCCCCGACCAGCCCCAAGGTCTTCCCGCTGAGCCTCGACAGCACCCCCCAAGATGGGAACGTGGTCGTCGCATGCCTGGTCCAGGGCTTCTTCCCCCAGGAGCCACTCAGTGTGACCTGGAGCGAAAGCGGACAGAACGTGACCGCCAGAAACTTCCCACCTAGCCAGGATGCCTCCGGGGACCTGTACACCACGAGCAGCCAGCTGACCCTGCCGGCCACACAGTGCCCAGACGGCAAGTCCGTGACATGCCACGTGAAGCACTACACGAATCCCAGCCAGGATGTGACTGTGCCCTGCCCAGGTCAGAGGGCAGGCTGGGGAGTGGGGCGGGGCCACCCCGTCCTGCCCTGACACTGCGCCTGCACCCGTGTTCCCCACAGGGAGCCGCCCCTTCACTCACACCAGAGTGGACCGCGGGCCGAGCCCCAGGAGGTGGTGGTGGACAGGCCAGGAGGGGCGAGGCGGGGGCACGGGGAAGGGCGTTCTGACCAGCTCAGGCCATCTCTCCACTCCAGTTCCCCCACCTCCCCCATGCTGCCACCCCCGACTGTCGCTGCACCGACCGGCCCTCGAGGACCTGCTCTTAGGTTCAGAAGCGAACCTCACGTGCACACTGACCGGCCTGAGAGATGCCTCTGGTGCCACCTTCACCTGGACGCCCTCAAGTGGGAAGAGCGCTGTTCAAGGACCACCTGAGCGTGACCTCTGTGGCTGCTACAGCGTGTCCAGTGTCCTGCCTGGCTGTGCCCAGCCATGGAACCATGGGGAGACCTTCACCTGCACTGCTGCCCACCCCGAGTTGAAGACCCCACTAACCGCCAACATCACAAAATCCGGTGGGTCCAGACCCTGCTCGGGGCCCTGCTCAGTGCTCTGGTTTGCAAAGCATATTCCCGGCCTGCCTCCTCCCTCCCAATCCTGGGCTCCAGTGCTCATGCCAAGTACAGAGGGAAACTGAGGCAGGCTGAGGGGCCAGGACACAGCCCAGGGTGCCCACCAGAGCAGAGGGGCTCTCTCATCCCCTGCCCAGCCCCCTGACCTGGCTCTCTACCCTCCAGGAAACACATTCCGGCCCGAGGTCCACCTGCTGCCGCCGCCGTCGGAGGAGCTGGCCCTGAACGAGCTGGTGACGCTGACGTGCCTGGCACGTGGCTTCAGCCCCAAGGATGTGCTGGTTCGCTGGCTGCAGGGGTCACAGGAGCTGCCCCGCGAGAAGTACCTGACTTGGGCATCCCGGCAGGAGCCCAGCCAGGGCACCACCACCTTCGCTGTGACCAGCATACTGCGCGTGGCAGCCGAGGACTGGAAGAAGGGGGACACCTTCTCCTGCATGGTGGGCCACGAGGCCCTGCCGCTGGCCTTCACACAGAAGACCATCGACCGCTTGGCGGGTAAACCCACCCATGTCAATGTGTCTGTTGTCATGGCGGAGGTGGACGGCACCTGCTACTGAGCCGCCCGCCTGTCCCCACCCCTGAATAAACTCCATGCTCCCCCAAGCAGCCCCACGCTTCCATCCGGCGCCTGTCTGTCCATCCTCAGGGTCTCAGCACTTGGGAAAGGGCCAGGGCATGGACAGGGAAGAATACCCCCTGCCCTGAGCCTCGGGGGGCCCCTGGCACCCCCATGAGACTTTCCACCCTGGTGTGAGTGTGAGTTGTGAGTGTGAGAGTGTGTGGTGCAGGAGGCCTCGCTGGTGTGAGATCTTAGGTCTGCCAAGGCAGGCACAGCCCAGGATGGGTTCTGAGAGACGCACATGCCCCGGACAGTTCTGAGTGAGCAGTGGCATGGCCGTTTGTCCCTGAGAGAGCCGCCTCTGGCTGTAGCTGGGAGGGAATAGGGAGGGTAAAAGGAGCAGGCTAGCCAAGAAAGGCGCAGGTAGTGGCAGGAGCGGCGAGGGAGTGAGGGGCTGGACTCCAGGGCCCCACTGGGAGGACAAGCTCCAGGAGGGCCCCACCACCCTAGTGGGTGGGCCTCAGGACGTCCCACTGACGCATGCAGGAAGGGGCACCTCCCCTTAACCACACTGCTCTGTACGGGGCACGTGGGCACACATGCACACTCACACTCACATATACGCCTGAGCCCTGCAGGAGTGGAACGTTCACAGCCCAGACCCAGTTCCAGAAAAGCCAGGGGAGTCCCCTCCCAAGCCCCCAAGCTCAGCCTGCTCCCCCAGGCCCCTCTGGCTTCCCTGTGTTTCCACTGTGCACAGATCAGGCACCAACTCCACAGACCCCTCCCAGGCAGCCCCTGCTCCCTGCCTGGCCAAGTCTCCCATCCCTTCCTAAGCCCAACTAGGACCCAAAGCATAGACAGGGAGGGGCCGCGTGGGGTGGCATCAGAAGCAGGCCAGTGAGACAGGGCCTGCCCAGGGCCCTCTGCATGCCTCTGGCTTCTGCCTGGGGCTCCCAGGAGTGAAAGAACAGTCCCACAACCACTGTGGGGACACCTGGCACCCGGACTCCCACAAGGGGGCAGTGGGGCCCCTGCTCGTGCCTTAGACATCTTCCGGGCCTCCCCAGGGGCCCCCGCCTTCTGGCTGCCTCCCTCTGCTCTCAGGGCCAAGGTGAGGTGGAGGCCACTGTCACCCCTGAGGGTCCAGTCACCAGAGGGTAATTGAGAGCAACAGGTCACTTGGGGAAGCCCTGCCACAGAGAAGCCCTCCAGCCCATGGGACCCAGGACCTGGCCTGGGGAGGGGCTTTTAAAGAGAGGGGGAAAGAGAGAGAATCAACAGATGAGGGGCTGAACCAGCAGACAGAGATCAGGCAGACACATGGGTAGATCCTAGGACATATAATGAATGGATGGGTGGATGGAGGGTGGGTAGATGAAGGATGGATGGGTGGTAAAATGGATGGGTGGGTAAATGGCTGGATGGAGGATGGACGGATGGATATGTGATGGATGGATGGATGAAGGATGGGTGGATGGAGGATGGATGAGTGGATGAAGGATGGAAGATGGATGGACTGATGGATGGATGATGGATGGATGGATGATGGATGGGTGGGTAGGCGGATGGAGGATGGAAGGGTGGATGGAGGATGGAAGATAGATGGAGGGGTGAATGGAGGATGGGTGGATGGAGGGAGGATTGAGGATAGATGGGTGGGTGGGTGGGTAGATCTATGGAGGATAGGTGTATGGAAGATAATTGGATGGAGAATTGCTTTATGAATGGATGAATGAAGAGATGGAAAATAGCTTTATAGATGGATGGGTGAATGGATGGATGGATAGATGGAAGAAGGATGAATGGATGGAAAATAGCTTTATAGATATATGGGTGGATATTTAAGTGATAGCCTTACATTAATAGATGAATGGAGGATGAATGGTTGGGTGAGTGGGTAGGAGTGTTACTGATGGAGGGGTGGATATACGGATAATAGCTTTATAGATGGATGGATGGATAGATGGACGGAAGGATAGAAAGACAGGTGAATGACTGGATGTATCAGCATATGACAAGCAGGTACAGCTGTACATGGGAGGTCTATGCCCTGAGACCCTGAGGAAAATGAGGATGCCCGTGCTGGTGGCCCTCACCTGGCCCTCGCTTGTAACCCCTCAGCCACATTCCCTGGGAAGGCAACAGAGGCCTCTGGTCTTGCCCATTCAACCTTTGGCACACTGAGTGTCAGACCCAGGTCTCTGTCTTGGACCCAGATCTCCTTGAGGGTGGGTGTGTCTGGTCCTCTCTGGCCCCGGGACCCAGTCACTGAATACGTGGCTGGGACTGAGACGGGGTGGGGTGGGAGGGGCGGGAGGGTACCTCGGGCTCAAGCTTCCCTTGGAGAAGCAGATGGTGTCCACTTTCTGCCCTGCCAAGTCTCTCCCTGAAGTGCCCTAAGAATGTCAAAGACAGAAGGTCCGAGCCCCTCACCTGGGACCCTGCCTCCTCATCCTCCCTGGGGGAGTCTCAGGCCTTAGATGGGGACCCAGACCCCACTGTCCCCAGACCCCAAGGAAGCATAGCCGCTGTTCACACGAGTCTGGGAGTCTGGGCCTGGCAGGCTCTTGCTGTGTTGCAGATTGGCAGATGCCGCCTCCCTATGTGGTGCTGGACTTGCCGCAGGAGACCCTGGAGGAGGAGACCCCCGGCGCCAACCTGTGGCCCACCACCATCACCTTCCTCACCCTCTTCCTGCTGAGCCTGTTCTATAGCACAGCACTGACCGTGACCAGCGTCCGGGGCCCATCTGGCAAGAGGGAGGGCCCCCAGTACTGAGCGGGAGCCGGCAAGGCACAGGTGGGAGCCCAGGAGGGGGATGAGCCCACAGTAGATGAGGTGGGCTGCAGTGATTGGCTAAGAGGAGAGCACCACCTGCTCCCACTGTGGGGGGACGTGCTCTCCTGGGGGCCCTTCACAGACACTGAGGACACGCGCAGGCCCAGGGTCAGGGCTGAGCTTCCCTCCAGTGCAGTAACGAGGATTCCGTCCAGGCTCCCATGAGCCAGGCCAGGGCTGAGACAGAGGGCGTTGGCAAGGATGCTGCTCCTTCAGGCTGTGACCCCTCTGTCTTTGCAGGGAGGAAGTGTGGAGGAACCTCTTGGAGAAGCCAGCTATGCTTGCCAGAACTCAGCCCTTTCAGACATCACCGACCCGCCCTTACTCACGTGGCTTCCAGGTGCAATAAAGTGGCCCCAAGGAAAATGTTCACAGACTCTGAATGAGGAGACGGGGGTCAGGGAAAGGGTGGTGGCTTTAGACTGGAGAACGCCTGCTTCAAAGTCCCCCTGGGTGTCATGGTGGTCATGGTGGGCATGGACAGAGGGTACCCCTGGTCCCAAAATCAAGAAATGACCTGATCTTGCATGAGGCTGAGGCCCAAGGATGAATGCTGGATTCACCAGAGAACATGGCAAAGAAGCCTGCTCCCAAGAACTACATGGGATCCCTATTCCTCATAACCTAGACAGCCCTGGTCCTCCTCACTGGGTCCTCATCCTGATCACAGGGCCCTGGTCCTGACCAGTGGGCCCGTTTACCGATCACTGAGCTCTGGTCCTACTACTTGGTCCCTGTTCCTGATCACTTAATTCTAGCCTTGATCACTGAGCCTTAGTCCTGATCACTGAGTCCTACTCCTGTTTTTTGCCCTGGACCTCGTCACTCAGCCCTGGTCCTTGTCACTCAGCCCTGGACCTCATCACTCAGCCCTGGTCCTGGTCACTCAGCCCTGGTCCTCGTCACTCAGCCCTGGACCTCGTCACTCAGCCCTGGTCCTCGTCACTCAGCCCTGGACCTCGTCACTCAGCCCTGGACCTCGTCACTCAGCCCTGGACCTCCTCACTCAGCCCTGGTCCTCATCACTCAGCCCTGGACCTGATCACTCAGCCCTGGTCCTGGTCACTCAGCCCTGTTCCTGATCACTGAGCCCTGGACCCAATGGCTGGGCCCTGGTCCTGATCACTGGCCCCTGTTCCTGATCACTGAGCCCTGGACCCAATCGCTGGGCCCTGGTCCTGATCACTGAGCCCTGGACCCAATCGCTGGGCCCTGGTCCTGATCACTGAGCCCTGGTCCTGATTACTGAGCCCTGGTCCTGATCGCTGGGCCCTGTTCCTGATCACTGAGCCCTGGACCCAATCACTGGGCCCTGGTCCTGATCACTGAGCCCTGTTCCTGATCACTAACCCCTGTTCCTGATCACTGAGCCCTGTTCCTGATCACTGAGCCCTGTTCCTGATCACTGAGCCCTGGACCCAATCGCTGAGCCCTGTTCCTGATCACTGAACCCTGTTCCTGATCGCTGAGCCCTGGACCCAATCGCTGGGCCCTGGTCCTGATCACTGAGCCCTGGACCCGATCGCTGGGCCCTGGTCCTGATCACTGAGCCCTGGTCCTGATTACTGAGCCCTGGTCCTGATCGCTGGGCCCTGTTCCTGATCACTGAGCCCTGGACCCAATCGCTGGGCCCTGTTCCTGATCACTGAGCCCTGGACCCAATCGCTGGGCCCTGGTCCTGATCACTGAGCCCTGGTCCTGATTACTGAGCCCTGGTCCTGATCGCTGGGCCCTGTTCCTGATCACTGAGCCCTGGACCCAATCGCTGGGCCCTGGTCCTGATCACTGAGCCCTGGACCCAATCGCTGGGCCCTGGTACTGATCACTGAGCCCTGGTCCTGATTACTGAGCCCTGGTCCTGATCGCTGGGCCCTGTTCCTGATCACTGAGCTCTGGACCCAATCGCTGGGCCCTGGTCCTGATCACTGAGCCCTGTTCCTGATCACTAACCCCTGTTCCTGATCACTGAGCCCTGTTCCTGATCACTGGGCCCTGGTCCTGATTACTGAGCCCTGCTCCTGATCACTGAGCGCTGGTCCTGATCACTGAGCCCTGTTCCTGATCACTAACCGCTGTTCCTGATCACTGAGCCCTGGTCCTGATTACTGAGCCCTGGACCCAGTCACTGGCCCCTGTTCCTGATCACTGGGCCCTGGTCCTGATCACTGAGCCCTGGTCCTGATTACTGAGCCCTGGTCCTGATCGCTGGGCCCTGTTCCTGATCACTGAGCTCTGGACCCAATCGCTGGGCCCTGGTCCTGATCTCTGAGCCCTGTTCCTGATCACTGAGCCCTGTTCCTGATCACTAACCCCTGTTCCTGATCACTAACCCCTGTTCCTGATCACTGAGCCCTGTTCCTGATCACTGGGCCCTGGTCCTGATTACTGAGCCCTGGACCCAATCACTGGGCCCTGGTCCTGATCACTGGGCCCTGGTCCTGATCACTGAGTGCTGGTCCTGATCACTGAGCCCTGTTCCTGATCACTAACCCCTGTTCCTGATCACTGAGCCCTGTTCCTGATCACTGAGCCCTGGTCCTGATCACTGAGCCCTGGACACAATCACTGGGCCCTGGTCCTGATCACTGAGCCCTGGTCCCGATCACTGAGCCCTGTTCCTGATCACTAACCCCTGTTCCTGATCACTGACCACTGTTCCTGATCACTGAGCCCTGTTCCTGATCACTGAGCCCTGGTCCTGATCACTGAGCCCTGTTCCTGATCACTAACCCCTATTCCTGATCACTGAGCCCTGGTCCTGATCACTGAGCCCTGGTCCTGATTACTGAGCCCTGGACCCAGTCACTGGCCCCTGTTCCTGATCACTGGGCCCTGGTCCTGATCACTGAGCCCTGTTCCTGATCACTGAGCCCTGGACCCAATCGCTGGGCCCTGGTCCTGATCACTGGGCCCTGGTCCTGATTACTGAGCCCTGGTCCTGATCGCTGGGCCCTGTTCCTGACCGCTGAGCCCTGGACCAGATCATGGATCCCTGTTCCTGATCACTGATCCCCGGTTCTTTTCTTATACATATTCATTTTGAAATCTGATTCCTTTTCTGAGCATGTATCAGTCTGACTAGACACTGAGTCCTGTCTGATTTCTGAGCCTTGGCCCTCATGAGTAAGTGACCTGCAGTGGTGGAGGGAGGCCTCCAGGGGAGCCGAGACCCTCTCAGTGCATGTACTCACTGGTAGATGAAGAAATGACCCCAATGGCTTGCTCCATTTTTCCAGGCTCAGAGGGGTGTGTAGGCCCCAGGAGGACTTGGTGGGGAGAGGACCAGCCCAGGCCCTGTGAGCTACACCCAGCCCCAGCCCCTAAGGGGTCGCCAGGTCTCGACTTAGCACTGGGGAGGGGGTACAGTACAGGAGTGGGGACAGGAAGGTCGGGGGAGGCCATGCTGTTTGTATTCTCTTGCTTTTCTCTCTCTCCTGAAGCCTCTTGTACCCCATCACCTGCAGAAATATCCAAAATAGCCCTGTGGGGCGGCTGAGTCATTGTGAACACAGCCCAGGCCAGGTGTTCCAGCCAGAGAACTGCTGTTCTGAGAAACATGCCCCAAAACCGAGACCTGGCCAGGTGTGCCTGGGGCCTGAGCGAGGGGCTGCAGCCACAGGGAGGCCCAGCCCCAACCAGCCCGGGGTCAGCTAGGGCTTTCCAGGTCCAGGGTTAGGCAGAGGTCAGCCAGGGTCAGCCAGGATCAGCCAGGGTCAGCCAGGGTCATCTGGGGTCAGCCAGGGCCAGCCAGGGTCAGCCAGGGTCATCTGGGTTCCGCCAGGGTCAGCCAGGGCCATCTGGGGTCATCTGGGGCCAGCCAGGGTTCCGCCAGGGTCAGCACAGGCCATTGTCCCCCTGTCCGGGCTCTCTAGGCGGCAGGCCTCCTCCATGGGCAGCCCTCACGAGGGCTGTGCCCACCACACAGCAGACCCAGGGAAGCACCAGCACTGAGCATCTGGCAGTGACTGTGGTGGGCCTCACACCCTGCATGCACCTCCCTCAGCTCTCCCCAGGGCCCTTGGCCAGAGCCAGGACGCAGTGCCCAGCCCTGGGGCTTGAGTGGCTGCCCTGGCAGGCTGTGCCCAGCACAAGCACGGCCCACAGGGCCACAGAAGGACCTGCACCCCACACCAGGGAAACAGGGGTTCTGGGAAGGGGACATTGGACCAGGGGCCCAGAGAGACACAGAGACATAGAGAGAGACAGGGACAGGGAGAGACAAGAGACACAGAGACATAGACAGAGACAAGGATGGGGAGAGATAAGAGACACAGAGACATAGAGACAGGGATGGGGAGAGAGATAAGAGATGAAGAGACATAGAGAGAGACAGGGATGGGGAGAGATAAGAGACACAGAGACATAGAGAGAGAGAGACAGGGATGGGGAGAGACAAGAGACATAGAGAGACAGGGATAGGGAGAGATAAGAGACACAGAGACATAGAGAGAGACAGGGATGGAGAGAGACACAGAGACGTAGACAGAGAAAGACAAGGACAAGGAGAGATAAGAGACACAGAGACATAGAGAGACAGGGATGGGGAGAGATAAGAGACACAGAGACATAGAGAGAGACAGGGATGGGGAGAGACAAGAGACATAGAGACAGAGACAAAGACAGACACAGAGAGAGAGATGGGGATGGAGAGAGATAAGAGACAGGGATGGGGAGGGACAGAGACACAAGAGACAGAAAGAGAGAGATGAGATGAGATAGATAAGAAACAGAGACAGAGATGGGAGAAAAAGGGAGGAGATGGGAACAGGGAAAAAGAGACATGGAGACAGACATGCAGAGAGAACACAACAGAGGCAGAGAACACACAGGGAGAGAAAGAGGCAGCAAGATGGGCCCAGGAACTCAGCTGCAAGCCCCTCTCACACAGTCACTCTCACAAACACACACCACGACTATTATACAACATTCACACACAAACACACAGAAACATACCCACGCTCACAGCCACACACTAAGTCACTGTCACATCCATACCCACACTCACACCCAAACACACATGGCCCAGGAGCAAATGGGGAGACCTCAGCCTGCAGCTGGGAGCGGCCGAGCGGGCGCTGGGCCAGAGTCGGGGCCTGTCTGTGGGTGGGGGGCACGGCAGCACGGGCCCACCTGCACCTACAAGGCCTGGCCCCCGAGGTCACTGGGCCACCACCCAGCCCTCGCCCTGTTCCCCGTCTGTGCTGGACGGGGCAGGACTCTGAGCCTCGGGGAAACCTACAGATCCACACAGGACCCCGAACATCGGGCTGGGGTGGGTAACAACATGGGAGAGGCGGGAGCAGGAGGTCCCAGGACCCTGCGCACTGCGACCCCAGCCCTGGGGGCTGAAGCCCAGGACGGCCTCAGGTCTCCCAGGAGGGACTGGACAGTGGGGGATGGTCAGAGAACAGGATAGCCAGCAGGGTGCAGCCCGAGGACAGGGATGGACGCTGGGAGGTCAACAGGACAGGGGCAGGGGCCGTGGAGTGGGCGAAGGTCCTGGAGGGCCTAGAGAACCTGTGGGTCCGTGTTTGTGGGAAGGAGGCCAGGAGCAGCCCAGAGTGGCCAGGCTGGCAGGGGTGAGGAGGTGGGGGCAGTGAGGTGAGGGTGACCGAGACAGTGAGGCCTCTGGCCAGGGAGGGGACCTTGGCTGGGCTCTGACTGAACCCAGGGCTCCTGAAGAAGGGGCCCCAGGCGGGGATGAGGATGTGGGCATCTGACTCCATCAACAATGGGGCTTCCAACACGCACAGCCTGGGCCTCGGAGACCTGGGCCCTGACCCGCCTCCCCCTGGCACTGGGCCGGGTGCCGTGTGTGGTCCCCAGTCCCCGCAGCACCTCCCCCACACTGGTCACGTTCCAGGGCCCCTCTGAAGCACCTGCTGTGAGGGGATGTGGGGAGGGGACAGGGACTTGGGCCTGAGCTGCCGGGTCGGGGGGGAGTCGGGGACCCAGGCTCAGCGTGTGGCTGGGGACCAGACAGATGGGGATGGAGGAGGACACGCCATGTACCCACTGCTTGCCAAGGGGCTGGACCCACGCCCAGTCTAGGCCATGTCCCCCGAGGCCTGTGAACCTTCACTCTGAGCCACTAAAACATTCAGGAGCTTTGAAAGCAGCCCCCGTCCTTGTCACTATGCGATGACTCTGAGCATCACGCTGTCCCTGCTGGATCCACCCTCCAGCCCCAGCGAGGGAGGCTGGGCCCCGGGCAGCAGGTGGTGAGGGCAGCGGGCACAGCCACCCTACAGCACACACAGGGTCTCAGGGACGCGTCCACCACAGCCCGTGCACAGGCTCCCCACGGCACTGAGTTCACCCGGGGCGCGGGCCGTTTGTCCTCAGGAGTCCGGCTGTGCCCTCCACCCCCAGCCCTGTCCTGCTGAGGCTGCAGCTGGGTCCCGGGGCACAGGGCGGCCCTGAGCACCTTGTCATGTTGGTCCCTGTCGGGTGGGCTGCTGGCTGTCTGTGGAGCTGGCAGAGCCGCGGTTCAGCCTTGGAGGCCGGTCCTGGGGCCCAGCAGCCGTGGGGAGCACTGCCCAGTCCCGTGCCCACAGGGAATCACCTGGGCTGAGGAAGGGCCCACACGCCGACGGGATCGGGGTCAGGCAGCGCACGCCTGGCACCGAGATCCCACGTCCCGAAGTGGGGACACGGCCCAGGGGCACTGTTCCGGGAGGGTCTCAAGATGGGGTCTCCTATTTCAATCTTCACTCCTTCTGCACCTGTTAGCTGGGAACCTTCTAGAAGGAGGGGTGTCCTCAATCATGGGGTGGTTGTGAGCTGAGCACAGATCATGCAGGAAGGTACATGGCTTCTCCTTCACCAGGAAAACAGTGCAGAGAGACAGAGACACAGAGACAGAGACAGAGTAACAGAGAAAGACAGACGAGAGAGAGACACAGAGACACAGACAGAGTAACAGAGAAAGAGAGACAGAGAGAGACAGAGACAGAGACAGAGTAACAGATAGAGTCACAGAGAGACAGAGAGAGAGACAGAGTAACAGAGAAAGACAGAGACAGAGACAGAGACAGAGTCACAGAGAGACAGAGACAGAGAGAGAAACAGAGACACAGAAAGAGACATGCAGACACAGAGACAGAGATGAGGAGTTACAGAGAGACAGAGAGATAGAGACAGAGATAGAGAGACAGAGACAGAGAGAAAGAAACAGATACAGAAAGAGACATTGACAGAGACAGAGAGAAAAACAAAGACACAGAGACAGACACACACAGAGACAGAAAAAGACAGAGATAAAGTTACAGAGAGACAGAGATACACAGAGACAGAGAGACAGATAAAGAGAGACAGAGATACAGACAGAGACAGAGAAAAACAGAGATAGAAACAGAGAGACAGAGATAAAGTTACAGAGAGAGAGAGCAAGACAGAGATAAAGAGAGACAGAGACAGAGTGAGAGAAACAGAAGCAGTAAGAGATAAAGAGAGTTACAGAGACAGAGATAGAGAGAGATCAAGAAAGAGAGACAGAGATAGAAAGATACACACAGAGAGATAGAGATACAGAGAGACAGAGATAGAGAGACATATAGAGAGACAGAGATAGAAAGATACACACAGAGAGACAGAGATACAAAGAGACAGATAGAGAGTCACTGTCACATTCATACCCACGCTCACACACTCACACTGAGCTTCCCTCAAGCCCTGTCACTTCCTATGGGGCCCACGGCATGTCCAAGCCTCTGGGCCACCAGCCTCATGGCTCACTGCTGTGTGCCCACCACACCCCGCCTCAGAGGTCCCCTCTGTGAGCTGGGCACGTGCCCTACACTCTGCTCATGGGTGGTCTGGGGAAACAGGGCCCACCCAAGGCCTGGCTCAGGAAAGGCCCCAAACACACATGGCCCAGCAGCAAACGGGCAGAGCTCAGCCTGCAGCTGGGAGCGGCGGAGCGGGTGCTGGGCCAGAGCCGGGGCCTGTCTGTGGGTGGGGGGCACGGCAGCACGGGCCCACCTGCACCCCCAAGGCCTGGCCCCCAAGGTCACTGGGCCACCACCCAGCCCTCGCCCTGTTCCCTGTCTGTGCTGACCGGGGCAGGGCTCTGAGCCTCGGGGAAACCCACAGACCCACATGGGATGGAGAGACAGAGATAGAGAGAGACAGGGAGAGACAGAGAGAGATAGAGAGACAGAGATAGAGACAGAGATACAGAGACACAGAGAAAGACAGAGAGAGATAGAGACAGAGAGATACAGACAGAGAAAGAGATAGAGAGACAGAGATAGAGACAGAAAGACAGAGATAGAGATAGAGATGAAAGACAGAGATACAGAGAGACAGAGAAAGACAGAGAGATAGACATGAGAGAGACAGAGATAGAGATACAGAGAGACAGAAAGAGAGATAGAGACAGAGCGATAGAGATAAGAGAAAGACAGAGACAAAGAGATACAGAGAGTGAGAGAGACAGAGAGAGAGATAAGAAGAGAGACTGAGATAGAGACAGAGAGACAGAGAAAGACAGAGTTAGAAAGGCAGAGAAAGACAGACAAAGAGAGATAGAGAGAGGAGAAGAGAAACAGAGACAGACAGCAACAGAAAGACAGAGAGGTATATACAGAGAGGAAGAGACAGAGACAGAGACAGACTCAGAAAGACAAAAAGAGACAGAGAAAGAAACAGGGAGAGAGAAAGACAGATATAAGGAGAGATAGAGAGAGGCAGAGCTACAGAGAGGAAGAGACACAGACAAACAGAGAGACATACAAAAACAGAGACACCAAATGACACAGACAGGCAGAGACAGACAGAGATGAAGAGACAGAGAGACAGAGACAGAGGCAGAGAGACAGAGAGACACACACAGGAAGAGACAGATGAGAGAGACAGATATAGACAGAGATACAGAAAGAGACAGAGAGAGACATACACAGGGACACGAACAGACAGACAGAGATACAGAGGCAGAGAGACAGAGATATAGACAGAGACATGGAAAGACAGAGAAGAGAGAGACACACACACAGGGACACAAAGAGGCTGAGATATAGACAGAGATACAGAAAGAGAAGCAGAGAGAAGAGAGAGACACACACAGGGACACGAAGAGACAGACAGAGAGACAGAGGCAAAGAAAGGGACACAGCAAAGGGACAGGCACAGAGGGAGGGATAGACGGGAAGAGAGACGGAGGGATAGAGACAGACACGGGGGAGAGATGGATGGAGAAAGGAGGCACCGACGGAGACACACAGAAAGAGAGAGAGGCCAAGACAGGCAAGATGGCGGGACAAAGCCCAGCAGACGGGCTTGACAGAGATGAGTCAGAGACACCGACAATGGGACAGAGACAGAGATTCGGGCAGGGAGATACCTTCAGAGAGGCAGAGAGACAGGGAGACAGAAGGGTGGCCAGAGACAGGGACAGCGGGAAAGATGGAGCTGGAGGCTCAGATGGAGACGGGTGTGACAGAGCTGGGAGCAGGGAGGCCACAGCCCACGCAGTCCGGGTGCTGCACCCACCACGGCCCCCAGGCCCGGAGACCCAGCCCCCATCACCATGTAACCTCAGGCCATGTCCCTGGCCCTGCTGAGCCTCAGTGTTCTCTCTGTACAGTGGGGACCACCAGGCCATGAGGGTGGGGGAGGTGCGGGCCTGCACCAGACAGGCCCTGTACCAATCGGGCTGCCTGTGCCCAGGCCACCAGGGCCACCTCCGCTCAGCCTCCTTGGGGCTTCTGGGGTGGGGGTTGGCTGGGGGCCCTGCCAGCGTTGGCTCCCCTGCCCTTCCTGCCAACCTGGGGGCTGCCCCTGGGTCCTGGTCCCAAAGATGGCAACAAGTTCAGAACCACTGAATTCAATAAAGTTGACGTTTGCAGGGTGGTCCCAGTGTCAGTAACCCAAGTGGGCCTGTCCTGGGGGAGGGGGCGGGTGTCCCCGAATCTGGAGGCCTGAGCCAGCCTGGCCACGCTGTGGTGGGGGGGTGTCCCCGAATCTGGAGGCCTGAGCCAGCCTGGCCACGCTGTTGGGGGGGGGGGGTGTCCCCGAATCTGGAGGCCTGAGCCAGCCTGGCCACGCTGGGGGAGGGGGCGGGGGGTGTCCCCGAATCTGGAGGCCTGGGCCAGCCTGGCCACACTGGGTGGGTGGCGGCTGCAGCTGCAGGTGGAGAATCGTGCAAGCTATTTCTGGAAACAGCCTCAGAGGGCAAGAAACATGTTTTCGGTGTGGAACAAACAACCATTTGCATGTGCCCTGAGGGCCAAGTCTGCCCAGAATGAGTCACTCAAGGAGAAACAGATCAGAGCCCTCACACCTGCCTGGGGGAGGGGTGGGCGCCGCTCCAGGGACCTGCTGTTGGGCCCAGAGATGCCGAAAACTCAGCCCACCCGGCCGCCATGGCAGGACCCACTTTCCTCACCAGCTTGCCCCTAGGTGGGACCCACAGGACCCCTGGGAAGCCCTCAGCAGCCCTTGGGCAGGTCCCACCCTGCAGAGAACGCGAAGGCTCAAAGGCCCACTCGGGCTGAGACCTCAGGGAGCCCTGGGCCGCTTGGATGCAGAGCCCTGAGGCCCGAGGCTAGGCTGTGGGAGGGAGCAGCAGTGAGACCCCCACTGGCCCTCAGGGCTCACAGGTGCCCCGGTGAGGGTGCAGGGAGCGGGGGTGCCTGCCAAGCAGGAAGGCGGAGGGCCCAGGCTGCCGTGGCACCATCGGGGCACACTATGTGTCACTGGCCCAAGGAGACTCGCCCATGAGGAGCTGCTGCTGGTGGACGCAGGGGTGCCCTCCAGCCTCCTTGGGGGGCTAGGAAGGGAGGGCAGGGCCAGGCAGACCCTAGGGTGAGGTAGGAGGACTGGCAAAAGGCCAGTATGGCCAAGGGAGAGCCACATGGGGGCTGGGAGGGCGCAAGGTTCGGGCCCGGCCAAAGCGTGGGTGCCAGGTATGGTGCCCACCAGGACCGCGCGGCGTGTACTCCAGAAAGACCCTGGGGCGCAGGACGGGCTTGCCATGCTGAGGTCTGGAAAGTAAAGAGAGGCACTTCACGGCAGCACGCCAGCCTGCATGATCTGTGCTCACACTCACCCACTACGAGCAATGCCCTCCTTCTAGAAGCTTCCTCACTAACACGTGCACAAGGAATGAAGGGAATGGGGTCTCCCGTCTCACAGCCCTCCATGTAATGGTGCCCTCAACCGACCGACTGCTCCCGACCGGCCGCAGCCCTCGGCCCCGCGGCCCACCTCTGCCTGACCCCGGCCCTGCTCTCCTCCTGGCAGCTCAGGGATTCGCCACTGCCTGGGCTCAGCCGGAGCAAAGCCCGTGTCCCCCGGCACCCCACACAGCCGAGTCACCCCTCCCTCACGGCCCCCACCTCCTCGGCCCTGCCGGCCCAGCCACGCTGAGCTGCTCCTGGGCCCCCTTCCCAGAGACATCGTAGCCCTGCAGGTTCTCCAGGCCCTCCGCCCACTCCACTACCCCTGCCCGCTCCCAGCTGCAGGCTGAGCTCTGCCCCTTTGCTCCTGGGCCATGTGTGTTTGAGGCCTTCCCTGAGCCAGGCCTTGGGTGGGCCCTGTTTCCCCCAGGCCAGCCATGAACAGAGCGGAGGGCATGTGCCCAGCTCATAGAGGAGACCCCCAAGGCGGGGTGTGGTGGGCACACACCGGTGAGCCAGGGGCTGGTGGCCCAGAGGCTTAGACAGGCCGTAGGCCCCATCGGAAGTGACAGGGCCTGAGGGAAGCTCAGTGTGTGTGTGTGAGTGTGTGTGAGTGTGTGTGTGACTGTGTGTGTGAGGTGAGTGTGAGTGTGAGTGTGTGTGAGGTGTGTGTGTGTGAGCAGGTGAGCGTGGGTATGAATGTGACAGTGACTATCTCTGTCTCTGTCTCTCTCTGTTTCTGTGTATCTTTCTTATCTCTGTGCCTGTCTCTGTCTCTGTCTGTTACTCTGTCTCTGTGTCTCTCTCTGTCTCTCTATCTCTGTTACTCTGTCTCTGTCTCTGTGTCTCTCTGTCTATCTCTGTTACTCTGTCTCTGTCTCTGTCTCTCTCTCTCTGCCTCTCTGTCTTTCTCTGTTACTCTGTCTCTGTCTCTCTCTGTCTCTCTGCCTTTCTCTGTTACTCTGTCTCTGTCTGTGTCTCTCTGTCTCTCTGTCTTTCTCTGTTACTCTGTCTCTGTCTCTGTGTCTCTGTCTCTCTGTCTTTCTCTGTTACTCTGTCTCTGTGTCTCTGTCTCTGTCTCTCTGTCTTTCTCTGTTACTCTGTCTCTGTGTCTCTGTCTCTCTGCACTGTTTTCCTGGTGAAGGAGAAGCCATGTACCTTCCTGCATGATCTGTGCTCAGCTCACAACCACCCCATGATTGAGGACACCCCTCCTTCTAGAAGGTTCCCAGCTAACAGGTGCAGAAGGAGTGAAGATTGAAATAGGAGACCCCATCTTGAGACCCTCCCGGAACAGTGCCCCTGGGCCGTGTCCCCACTTCGGGACGTGGGATCTCGGTGCCAGGCGTGCGCTGCCTGACCCCGATCCCGTCGGCGTGTGGGCCCTTCCTCAGCCCAGGTGATTCCCTGTGGGCACGGGACTGGGCAGTGCTCCCCACGGCTGCTGGGCCCCAGGACCGGCCTCCAAGGCTGAACCGCGGCTCTGCCAGCTCCACAGAGAGCCAGCAGCCCACCCGACAGGGACCAACATGACAAGGTGCTCAGGGCCGCCCTGTGCCCCGGGACCCAGCTGCAGCCTCAGCAGGACAGGGCTGGGGGCGGAGGGTACAGCGGGACTCCTGAGGACAAACGGCCCGCGCCCCGGGTGAACTCAGTGCCGTGGGGAGCCTGTGCACGGGCTGTGGTGGACGCGTCCCTGAGACCCTGTGTGTGCTGTAGCGTGGCTGTGCCCGCTGCCCTCACCACCTGCTGCCCGGGGCCCAGCCTCCCTCGCTGGGGCTGGAGGGTGGATCCAGCAGGGACAGCGTGATGCTCAGAGTCATCGCATAGTGACAAGGACGGGGGCTGCTTTCAAAGCTCCTGAATGTTTTAGTGGCTCAGAGTGAAGGTTCACAGGCCTCGGGGGACATGGCCTAGACTGGGCATGGGTCCAGCCCCTTGGCAGGCAGTGGGTACAGGGCGTGTCCTCCTCCATCCCCATCTGTCTGGTCCGCAGCCACACGCTGAGCCTGGGTCCCCGACTCCCCCCCGACCCGGCAGCTCAGGCCCAAGTCCCTGTCCCCTCCTCACATCCCCTCACAGCAGGTGCTTCAGAGGGGCCCTGGAACGTGACCAGTGTGGGGGAGGTGCTGCGGGGACTGGGGACCACACACGGCACCCGGCCCAGTGCCAGGGGGAGGCGGGTCAGGGCCCAGGTCTCCGAGGCCCAGGCTGTGCGTGTTGGAAGCCCCATTGTTGATGGAGTCAGATGCCCACATCCTCATCCCCGCCTGGGGCCCCTTCTCCAGGAGCCCTGGGTTCAGTCAGAGCCCAGCCAAGGTCCCCTCCCTGGCCAGAGGCCTGTCTCGGTCACCCTCACCTCACTGCCCCCACCTCCTCATCCCTGCCAGCCTGGCCACTCAGGGCTGCTCCTGGCCTCCTTCCCACAGACACTGACCCACAGGTTCTCCAGGCCCTCCAGGACCTTCTCACACTCCACAGCCCCTGCCCCTGCCCCTGTCCTGTTGACCTCCCAGCATCCATCCCTGTCCTCGGGCTGCACCCTGCTGGCTGTCCTGTTCTCTGACCATCCCCCACTATCCAGTCCCTCCTGGGAGACCTGAGGCTGTCCTGGGCTTCAGCCCCCAGGGCTGGGGTCGCAGTGCGCAGGGTCCCAGGACCTCCTGCTCCTCCCTCTGGGATGTTGTTACCCACCCCAGCCTCCCCAGCCCGATGTTCGGGGTCCCGTGTGTATCTGTGGGTTTCCCCGAGGCTCAGAGTCCTGCCCCGGCCAGCACAGACGGGGAACAGGGCGAGGGCTGGGTGGTGGCCCAGTGACCTCGGGGGCCAGGCCTTGTAGGTGCAGGTGGGCCCGTGCTGCCGTGCCCCTCACCCACAGACAGGCCCCGACTCTGGCCCAGCACCCGCTCGGCCGCTCCCAGCTGCAGGCTGAGCTCTGCCCATTTGCTCCTGGGCCATGTGTGTTTGGAGCCTTTCCTGAGCCAGGCCTTGGGTGGGCCCTGTTTCCCCAGGCCACCGATGAGCAGAGCACTGTCGGCTTACAGAGGGGACCCCCGAGGGGGGTTTGGTGGGCACACACCAGTGAGCCCTGGAGCTGGTGGGGGGTGAGTGTGTGAGCGTGTGAGCATGGGTACAAATGTGACAGTGACTTAGCGTCGGGGTTTGAGTGTGGGTGGGGGTGTAAGTGTGGGTGAGGGTGTGAGTGTGGAAGTGTGTTAGTGAGTATATGAATGTGAGGGTGAGTGTGAGTGAGGATGTGTGTATAGGCGTGTGGGTTGTGTGTATAGGAAGTGTGTGTGTTGTGTGTGTATAGGAGGTATATGTGTTGTGAGTGTATGATAGGTGTATGTGTTGTGTGTGTATAGGTGTATGAGTTGTGTGTGTGGTGTATAGGTTGTGTATGAGTGGGTGGTGTGTGGGTTGTATGTATGTTTCATGTATGTGTTGTGTGTGTGTGGTGTATGGGTTGTATGTGAATGTGTGGTGTATGGGTTGTGTGTGTGCATAGGTGTATGTGTTGTGTGTGTTTGTGGTATATGAGTTGTGTGTGTGAGTGTGTGTATAGGTGTATAGGTTGTGTGTGTGTGGTGTATGGGTTCTGTGTGGGGGTGGTGTATGGGTGTGTGTATGAGTATTATGTGTGTGTGTGGTGTGTATGTGTTGTGTGTGTGGTGTATGGGTTGTATGTGTGTATAGGTTGTGTGTGTTTGTGGTATATGGGTTGTGTGTGTGTGTGTATAGGTGTATGGGTTATGTGTGAATGTGTGGTGTATGGGTTGTATGTGTAGGTGTATGGCTTATTAGTGTGTATATATGTGTACGGGTTGTGTGTGTGTGGTTATGGCTTGTGTATGTGGTCTGTGCGTTGTGTATGAGTGTGTGGTGTATGAGTTGTGTGTGTGTATAGGTGTATGTGTTGAGCGTGAGTTTGTGGTATATGGTTGTGTGTGTATATAGGTGTATGGGTTGTGAGTGTGTGGTGTATGGGTTGTGTAGGGGTGTATGGCTTGTTTATGAGTGTGTGTATAGGTGTATGGGTTTGTGTGTGGTTATGGCTTGTGTGTGTTTATGGTCTGTGGGTTGTGTGAGTGTGTGCTGTATGAGTTGCATGTGTGTGTATAGGTGTATGCGTTGTGTGTGAGTTTGTGGTATATGGATTGTGTGTGAGTTTGTGTATAGATGTATGGGCTGTGTGTGTGTGGTGTATGAATTGAGTGTGTGTATAGGTGTATGTGTTGTGTGTGTAGTGTATGGGTTGTGTGTGTGAATGTGTATAGGTATATGGGCTGTGTGTGTGGTTATGACTTGTGTTTGTGTTCTATGGGTTGTGTGTGTGGTGTATGTGTTGTGTGTGAGTGTGTGGTGTATGGGTTGTATGTGTGGCATATGGGTATGTGTATAGATGTATGGTTTGTGTGTGAGTGTGTGGTATATGGGTTGTGTGTGAGTGTGTGGTATATGGGTGTGTGTGTATAACTGTATGGGTTGTGTGTGTGGTATACAGATTGTGAGTGTGTGTGGTGTATAGGTTGTGTAAGTGTGTATGGGTTGTGGGATTGTGTATAGGTGTATGGGTTGTGTGTGAGTGTGTAGCATATAGTTTGTGGGTGTATGTGGTGCATGGGTTGTGTGAGTGTGTGGTGTATGGGCGTGTGTGTATAGGTATGTGGGTTGTGTGTGTGGTATATGGGTTGTGTGTGTGCTATATGAGTGTATGAGTGTGTGTAGGTGTATAGGCTGTGTGTGTATGGGTGGTGGGTGTGTGTAGGTGTAGGAGTTGTGTGTGTGTGGTGTATGTGTGTGTGTAGGTGCACAGGTTGTGTGTGTGGTATATGGGTGTGTGTGTATAGGTGTATGGGTTATGTGTGAGTGTGTGGTATACAGTTTGTGGTGTGATTGTGTAGTGTATGGGCTGTGTGTGGTGTATAGGTGTGTGTGTATAGGTGTATGGGTTGTGTGTGTGTGGTATATTGGTTGTATGTGGTATATGGGTATGAGTGTGTATAGGTGTATGGGTTGTGTGAGTGTGTGGTATATGGTTTGTGTGTGTGGTGTATGGTTGTGTGTGGTATATGGGTGTGTGTGTATAGGTGTATGGGTTGTGTGTGAGTGTGTAGTATATAGTTTGTAGGTGTGAGTGTGTATAGGTGTATGGGTTGTGTGCGTGTGGTGTATGGGTTGTGTGTGAGTGTGTGGTATATGGGTGTGTGAGTGTATATAGGTGTATGGTTGGTGTGTGTGTGGTATATAGTTTGTGAGTGTGTGTGGTGTATGGGTTGTGTAGGTGTGTGGTGTATGGGTTGGGTGGGAGTGTGTGGGACGTGACTGGATAAGTTCGTGAGTGTGAGTGTGTGGCTGTGGGTGTCTGTGTGTCTCTGGGTGTGTGTGGATGGGGGTATGTGGGTGTGAGTGTGTGTGTGAGGTGTGGGTGTGGGGGTGCACTGCGTGTCCTCCCTGGGGGTGGCCCCTGAGAGTCGGGGCCTGAGCCCGGATGTCTCCGCGACTCTGCATGTCTCCCTCTGCCTCCGTCTCTCTGCTTTGTGTCTGTCTCTGTCATCCCTGCCTCTGCCCCATCCCTCTGGGTCCTAGAATCTGCCCAAGTCTGGGGCCGCCTCCCAGGAAGCCCCACAAGTGTCCACCAAGGGATGCACGGAGGACAAACTGCAGTGCACACATACGAGGAGGCTGAGTCACCAGAGCCTCCACCCTAGTCCTGCCCTGACTCCCCGGGTCAGGGCTCCAGGCCCCAAGCACCGCCCGGCTCCCCCCTGGGCTGGGGCCTGTATGGGGCTGGGAGTCTGGAGGCTCAGCCCTGCGGGGGAGGTGTGAGCAAACCCGCCTGCACTGCGAGCCCCGCACAGGCCATCCCCTGACACTCAGACACGCAGACATGCACAGACACACACACATACACACAGACACACACAGACATGCACACACAGAAACGCACAGACACACACAGACATGCACAGAGACACACACACAGAGACATGCACAGACATGCACAGAGACACACACAGACATGCACAGAGACACACACAGAAATGCACAGACACACACGGACATGCACAGACACACACATATGTGCACAGAGACACACATATAGACACACATCCACATGGATGCACAGACACAGAGACACACACAGGCAAACACATACACACACAGACACATAAAGACACAGACACACGGATATGCACACACACATGCACGTGGATGCACAGACACACACTGACACACATAGAGACACACACACACAGACACATAAAGACACACACAGACATGCCCGCACACAGGCACCCCCTCCCGCAGGTCACGCTTGCAGCCCCTGGCCACTGTCCTGCCCCGTGTCATGAACCTGCCTCCCCTGTCCACACCACACACCTGTCCACCCCACACACCTGTCCACACTACACCCCTGTCCACACTACACACCTGTCCACACTACACCCCATCCACCCCACACACCTGCCCACACCACACACCTGTCCACACCGCACACCTGTCCACACCACACACCTGTCCACACTACACCCCGTCCACCCCACACACCTGTCCACACCACACACCTGTCCACACTACACCCCGTCCACCCCACACACCTGTCCACACCACACACCTGTCCACACTACACCCATCCACCCCACATCCCTGTCCACCCCACACACCTGTCCATACCACACACCTGTCCACCCCGCACACCTGTCCACCCCGCACACCTGTCCACCCTGCACACCTGTCCACACTGCACACCTGTCCACACTACACCCCATCCACCCCACACACCTGCCCACAATACACACCTGTCCACACCGCACACCTGTCCGCACCACACACCTGTCCACACCAGACACCTGTCCACACTACACCCCGTCCACCCCACACACCTGTCCACACCACACACCTGTCCACCCCACACACCTGTCCACACCACACACCTGTCCACACTACACACCTGTCCGCATCACGCACAACCTCACACCTCCAGCTCATCCACCACTCACTGCACACACGCTTGCATCTCACACGCTCATGCTCACACTCATGCACTAACACACACATTCTCCCACCTGTTGCCAAGCTCACACTCACACATGCACACATGGCGTTGCTGGGCCAGGCTTGGGCACATGGGGTCAGGGAAGGCTCGGAGAGCGTACGCCTTGGCCTCTCTGGCGGCATGTCCGGGTCTGCGGGGCAGAGGTCACAGTTGCTGCCCCACGACACCGCATGTGCCCCTGCAGGGCCTGGGAATGGCACCCCGCAGAGCCCGCGCTCAGGGCCAGCTCGTGTCAGCACCGCGTGGACCACGTCCCGAGGACACCTGGGCCAGCCAGTGCTGCGGGCTGCAGCGAGTGTGTGTGCACACGCATGCCCATATATGTGTTGTGTGTGCTTGTGTGCATGGGAGGGGGTCCCTGGGTGGGCCAGGGTCTGCCTCGGGGGCTGGAGTGGGAGGCCTGGGCCCCTCAGCTTTCCTCCAACCCAGCCTCACTTCCCCGCCCCTCTCAGCTCTGCGTGGCCACCAGCCAGCCCTGGGCTTGGCCCCGGCATGAGGCCTGAGGCAGGGCCCTGGATAACGCTCAGGACGGGCACCTGGGCCTTCTGGGCCTCCTCGCCAAGGACCAGACTCGGCCTCAGCGCCTCACACTCATCGGGGGTCATGCCCTGGGGCCCAGCCAGGACGCTCGCTGCCCCACTCAGGAGGCTGGACACACTAGCAGGTGGGGGGGCCGCAGCTCCCCCTCCCCCACCCCCGTCCAGTCTGAAAAACAAGACCTCATGGGCACCGGGCCGCAGCTCCCACCCCCACCCCACCACACAGGCACAAACACATTCTTGCAAATATTTCTAAAAATGCTGAAAATGGGAACCACAGAGCAGGTGGGACAGTGGTGTGGAAACCCCCACCCACCTCCGAGATGGCGATTTGCATTGGGGGAGGTGGGGGGAAGGCTGGCACCCAGGCAGCTGGTTTGCAGGATTCCTGACTATTCACACTCCCCAGCCACACCCCATGTCCAGGCCAATGCTGTGGCCAGGCCCAGAGTGACCAGGCCCCAGGGCACTTCCCAGAGGACTGCCTGGTGGAGGGGGTAACAAGTCGGACCTTGCCCCAGGGGAGCTGGGCCAGGGAGGAGACCCCTGCATGGAGGTCCCAGGCATGGCCCCCAGGAACAGGACCCCCAGCACCCTCGGAAGAGGATTTTGTGGGTCACCTGGGGACAGAGCTTCCTCCGTGCACCTGCTGGGCCCCTCACAGCCCACCTGTCACCAAACCTCTGTCCTCCCCTGTGCCCAGGCCTGGCCAACCCAGGCGCTTTCAGCCCGTAGACCCTAGGTGGGGTCGCCCAACCCTACCCCGGCCTCAGTACCCTCTGGGGTTGCCCCACGAGACCACCCCAGAACAGACCTGCCCAACCCCAGCCCTGCATCTTCAGTGGGACACAGAGGCCTCCATAGGACCCCACCCCACACCCAGGGGCTGTCCGGGGCCCATCACCCCAGCAGCTGAGACCCTGGGAGATGACACCCTGTGCCTAGAACAGGGTGGACCACATGGGGGGACATTCTGACCCGTGTCCCAGCCAGGCAGGACAGCCCCACCCCAGCCTCCTAGAGGAGGGGTCTGTGCCCGCGCCCACCCCCTCAGTGGAACCTAAGCCCTCCAGGGAGGACTCAAGTTTGAGGAAAGGATCCCTGGGAAGACCCCCAGGGTGCAGCCCGGGTGACAATGCTCAGGGGGCCCTTCCTGCACATACAGCCTCCCACAAATATAGTCATGCACACCCCACAGAGACACACAGAACACACAAACACACAGAGACACACAGACACATAGACATACAGAGACATAAAGACACACAATACACACAAACACACTAACACACACAGAGAGAGACACACACACACATAGGCACACACAGAGTCAGAGACACACAGACACACTACCACACACACAGAGACACACAGACACACATAGGCACACAGAGTCAGAGACACACAGACACAGAAACACAAGCACAGACACACTACCACACACAGACACGCATAGGCACACACAGAGACAAAGACACACGCAGACACAGGTACACAAGCACAGACATGCTACCACACGCAGAGACACACACAGAGATAGATACAGACACACATAAAGTCAGAGGCACACAGACACATATAGACACACAGAGGTACACGGCACAGACACACACACTCAGAGGCTCACACTCAGCCACAGCCACGTGCACACAGCTCACACGGCCCACACTCAGGTCCACAAGGGCTCACAGCGTCACAGAGGCCCCCAGTCCCACAGCCAGACAAGCACAGGCCGTGCTCACGCTCACACACTGACGCACACATTCTCCCACCCGCTGCCAAGCTCACGCTCACACATGCACACGTGGCATTGCTGGGCCAGGCTTTGGCACATGGGGTCAGGGAAGGCTCAGAGAGTGAGCATCACAGACACAGGGTGGGACTGGTGTCCGGGGGGTCCATGAGGAGCCGAGGGGCAGCCCTGCCACGCCCACAGGCCCCAGGTCTATTCTCAGGCACCCGCCTGGGGCTGGGGGCTTCCTTCTGGGAACACGAGGACCTCCGTTCTGCACGGAGACACACGTCCAGAAAGGGACACCCCAGGGCCACACCCAGACACACCCAGCCCGACTCGGGCACCCAGCACACGCCGGGCACACAACAAACACAGGAGCTGGCACACGCCTGGCCCCAGGCCAGGACAGCAGCAGGCAACTCGGCCAGTGCACACAGCCGCTCACACACACCACACATCCCCACAAGCCCTCACACCCTTACATCCCCACACTCCCACACATCCACACACATCCTCAAACACCCCACACATCCACACACACCCCACACACCCCACACATCCTCACATCCCCACACACCCTCACACCCCACACCCCACACACCCCACACATCCACACACACCCTCACATCCCCACACACCCCCACACATCCACACACCCCACACCCCACACACACCCTCACACCCTCACACTCACACACACTCTCACATCCCCACACATCCACACACACCCCACACATCCACACACACCCTCACATCCACACACACCCTCACATCCCCACACCCTCACATATCCTCACACTCCCACACATCCCCACACACCCCACACCCCACATCCACACACATCCTCACACACATACACACACCCTCACACACCACACACCCACTCCCTCACACACCCTCACACACCCCACACATCCACACACCCTCACACTCACACCTTCACACATCCACACACACCCCACACACCCCACACATCCACACACACCCCACACCCCACACGTGCACACACACCCTCACACCCTCACACATCCACACACCCCACACACCCTCACACATCCTCACACTCCCACACATCCACACACATTCTGAAGCACCCCACACATCCACACACACCCCACACACCCCACACATCCACACACACCCCACACACACCCACACATCCTCACACTCCCACACATCCACACACACCCCACACACCCCACACATCCACACACACCCCACACATCCACACACACCCTCACATCCCCACACATCCACACACACCCTCACATCCCCACACACCCTCACACATCCTCACACTCCCACACATCCACACACCCCACACATCCCTCACACTCCCACACATCCACACACATCCCACACATCCTCACACACATACACACACCCTCACACACCACACACCCACACTCCCTCACACCCTCACACACCCCACATCCACAACCCTCACACCCTCACACCCTCATACACACACCCACACACACATTCTCACTTCACACACCCACACACATCCACACACCCACACATCCATACACACCCACATTCTCACACACCCTTACACCCTCATACACCCACATTCTCACACACATGCTGACACAATCCCAACTTCATACATCCCACACTCACACCCTCCCACACATTCTCACAACCCTCACACTCACCCCACACTTCCGCATATCTCCACACTCCCACACCTTCACAAACATTTACAAGCCCTCACACCCTCACACTCTCATGCACCCCTAACACTTATATCCTCACACACACATCCTCACACATCCCCACACCCTTACACTCTCAGTCACACCCTCACCCCCTCACACCCTTACACACCCTCACATGCCCTCATACACACCCTCACACACCCACACACCCTCACCCATCACACACTGACTTCACACGCATTCTCTCTCACACTCACCCACACACCCTCATGTGCCCTCACACCGACACACCCACTCACCCTCACACACCCACACCCTCATACACCCTCACACCCTCACATGCCCACACACACACCCTGACACACCCACACACACCATCACAACCCTCAGACTTCATGCATTCTCACACCCACACACCCTCACACCGACACACCCACTCACCCTCACACACCCTCACACACCCCCTCACACCCTCTCTCACACACACCCTCACACACCATCACACAGCCCTCAGACTTCACATTCTCACACTCACCCTCACACACACACACCCACACACCCTCACATACCCTCACACCCACACCCTCATACACTGTCACACACTCCACACCCACACTCTCACACACACCCTTACACCCTCACACACACACTCACTCACCCTCAGACACACACACCCTTGACAGCTTGCCTGCAGTCTGTCAGAGGGGTCCCTCAGAGGGCCACCACACCCTGCGGATCAGGTGCCCAGAATCCACCATCCAGCGGCTCTGGGCCTTTCCCCTCTCAGCTCATGACCTTTGGGTACCACGGCTCAGGAGTACCCCTGTGCTCCCCAGCTGCCAATCCCTGCATCTCCTTGGGCCCCTGCTGACCTCTCCAGTGGCCTCAGGGTGACGTCCTGGCCAGGCCCTGTCCCTCTGCAGCCACCTCTGCCCACTGCCCCACCACCTGCCCAGGGCTCCCCCAGGCTCCCACACCAGCCGTGGGGGTCTCTCAGGCAGGCCGGCCAGGTGGCACCACGGCTCCCCCAAGGGCAGCAGGTCAGGCGTGAGCATTGCCGTCTCCCATCCCCTCCTGCTGAGCCCCCACAGGAGCCTGGCAGCCCGATCCTGTCACCATAGTGAGGGCAGCTCCTGGCCCACCAGGCCCAGTCCACACCAGCCGGCCGCAGGCAGCGTGTCTGGGAGACACCCCAGGCCGCCCACCGCCCAGCAGGGGACAAGCCAGCCCCCAGACCCGTGCCCTGCACAGGGGGACGGGGCTCAGACCCAGGCTGCCCTTGACAGCAGGAGCTGTGGTGGGCCCACGGTGGGGACCACTGGGGACAGGCCTGGGGGCACACAATGCTCCTGAGGGGCCTCAGGCTGCGTCCTGGGTTGGGGCACTGTTCTGTGAGTAGGTGACATGTCACCTTGAAAGGGCTTCTATTTCACTAAGAGAAAAGGTGGAGGCTTTCCTGGGGGAGGGCGGTGCGGTGTTGTGTGGGACAGTGAGAGAGGGACCACCAGCACAGACAAAGGAGAGGAAAGTGCAGGGGGGGTGGGGGCTGCAGGGACAGAGGCTTGGGGAGGCGCTGGAACCGCAGGGCGCGGGCCTGGGGGGCCCACACGCCACCTCGAGGGACCGCACCTGGGGACCACAGACGCAGGCCCACTCGGGCTCTGGAGGGCCCTCCTGGGGCTGCCTGGCCACGCTCTCTCTCTCCTGGTCCCAGATCCCCTCCACGGCCCCTCCCCACCCGTCCATCCAGAAGTTGCCCAGGGCTGGTCAGAAGGGGCCACATGACACCCCCAGGACAGGCTGGAAGTGGAGGGATCGTGGTCCCGCAGTTCAACTCCCACCCGGCACTCCCCACTCAACATCACTTAGGACAGTTATATTGTTTCGGGTTCTTTTTTTTCTGTATTAAAAGCATTAACTTCCAATACTGCTTTTATAAAACACACATGCACTGTGGTGAGGACGTTTTGTTAAAATGAAAGGGACAAGCCGGGGCTGGACGGGGAAGCCCCCTGGTGGGGGGACACGGGAGGGGAACCCTGCACTCACAGAAAAGCCCCTCCATTCTTTGCACGTTTCAAATGTTGTATTTTCAAATATAATTAAGCGACGTGGGAGGAAGGGCACCGCGTGCTAGGCAGGAGCAGCCCCCTCCTGGGAGGGAGATGGCAGACAGGGGACAGGGTGGGGGACAGGGTGGGGGACAGGGTGGGGGACAGTGACCAGGTGAGGAAAGATGCGGGTCAGGGACTGGGGGTGCAAATGGGGAGGTGGTGGGGGACGAAGCCCCTCCAAACCTGACGCCCCGCCGCTTCCCGAGCCCGGGGTTCAGGGCTTCCTGTTTTCCTGTGTGATTATGAGCTCCTGCTCCTGCCCTCGCCCCACGCGCGAGTCTCCCCTGGAAGGATGTGCAAGCTTTTCACAAGCACCACAGACTCTTACAACCCGGGACCACCTGGGACCCCAGGCGGTCAGGACCAGGGCCACCCCACACGGCAGGCACCAGCGCTCCTGACCTGGGCTGCAGAACAGCCTGTGGTCAGGCAGGGGCTCCCACTGGCCCCTGTCCTCGGCAGGCCCTTCCCCAGGAGCAGCGTCCGGGAGCTCAATACAGGCTTGGGGGCTGCCCGTCCACCTGGGGAGGATCTTTGCAGGGCCCTTTCTTTCTCACTAAACAGCTTGCCTGTAGAAAGGAGAATTCGAAGGGATTTAAATCCAGTATTTTTACTGGTTTTCCCCGGGGCTAGCCAGGGTGTCTGCCCCACCTGCTGGTGGAAACGAAGTTCCCACTCTGGCCTTCTCCGTTAGGGCTTTATTTCATGGAGGTTGCATATGCCCGCCTCCCTGCAATGCGATGGTGAGGCCAGGGACTGCGGATGGGGCAAGGCCTGGAAGGGTGTGACTGTCTGTGAGGTGGGGATGGGCCTGCAGAGGGACGTCCGGGAATACACGGAGGCGTCTCGCACCGACACCGGGGTTCACTGTGACGGGAGGGGCTAGAGACCATCTGAGTGGGCTGGAATGGGGGTTGTCGCACACCCCTCGGGGGTGGATGTGGGTGCCCAGCAAGAGAAGCAGACCCGGCCCCACAGGAGGCTGCAGATGGAAGCTTCAGAGGCGGCTCCGGGGCTGCCACAAACCCCGCCCCTCCACGTGCCTCCCTGTCCCGGGAGCCGCCCCTCTGACCCCCAGGCCCTTCCCCGGACGTCCCAGCTGCTCCACAGCCCAGGCTTCTCCCCTCCTGCCCCCATGGAACCCCCACCCTGGGCTGTCTGGGCCTGCCTAGCCGGCCGTGTGGGGTCCCCCAGGCCCGTGGCCCAAGCACCCATCTCCGTGTCCAGCGCCCAGCGCACTCGGACGTTTCACACGCGGGCCTCTGGGGAGGACCCCCAGGCACCGCCAGCCCAACCCCGGCGGCCGGAAACTGGACCCGCTGCGGCAGCCGCTGAGGCTCTGCTGCCCCCGTGTGGCCGACAGCAGCATCGAACGCCGCCGACCACGCGGCGCTTCCCGGGCTCGGGGCAGGGGCAGGGGCACGGGCAGGGGCACGGGCAGGGGCAGGGGCAGGGGCAGGGGCAGGGGCAGGGGCGCTCTCGGGGCCGGATCCCGGCTCTGCCTTGGGCTCAGGGCTGGGGCCCGGTCCGTGTCCAGCACTGTGATCCCCTCCCCTCCCCAGCGCCTGCCGCGGAGATGGCTGTGGCATCCGCGAACAGGCGTCAGCTTGTGGGGCTCTGTGGTCTGGGATCCCAGCCTCTGCCAAAGTCCTGCATTCCCTGGGTGTGGGGACGCTGTGACCTGGGGACGCTGTGACCTGGGGACGCTGTGGCCTGGGGGCCTTGCAGGGCTGCACCTGGGGCAGATGGGGAAGCTGGCCTGGGCTCCTCGGTGGGGCCCCGCGCCCCCCACTTCTGCCGGCAGCATCCGATGCTCCCTGACCCTGGTCAGGACCCTTCCTCCTGGCGTGGCCCAGTGTCCCCGCAGAAGCCCCAGAACGCGGCCTGCCCGGGAGCCGGCTCGGGCCTGGGGCCTGCGGGTCTTCACTATGGTCGCGAATGGACCCACGGGATGCTGCATGAGGCGCACGAGCTTGAGGCACCAGCCTCCGGCCACTGTCCCTGGAGGACAAGGGACGCGGCTCCGGAGCAGAGGGTCCTCCCCTGGGGATGCCCTCCCGGCGGCTGGGTGTGGGGCTGGGGGCTGTGCCCGGAAGTGGGTGGGTGGGAGAAGCCTCCTGAGCACAGAGGACAGCAGCCAGGCCCAGGCCCAGGCCCTGCAGGCCCCCAGGGGCTCCAGAGCCCCAGAGAGGAGGAAGGCCTCCGTGTGCTCACAATCAGCTCACACCCCGGGGAGGAACCTCAGAGGGTCGGGACAAGGAAAGGAAGGCCCCGGCCCAACATCGGGGTCTGGGCGCTGGTGGGACAGGGCAGGCTCAGCCTTGGGGCCGGTCAGGGCCCTGTTGGGGTTCGGGTCCCCCTGCCAGGTCCGCGTCTGCAGCCACAGCCCCTCAACCCCAGCAGGGACCCCAGAGACCGGCTCGGGACCCCCTGGTGGCCGTCTTGTGCCACTGCAGTTCTGCTGCTGAGAGGTTCCCGGGGTTCCCGGGGTTCCCGGGGTCCCTGGCCCGGCAGCCTCCTGGGCTCCCAGGCAGGCGCGCTCTGCCGTCCGCTCATGCGGGGACAGCGGACCTCAGAGGCAAGCCTCAAAGACGCGCCCAGATCAGGATCCCAGGAACCCAGCTCACATACAAATCAGAAAAGCCCTAAAGAAGCAGAAACAAGAATCAGTGAAACAAGAAACTATAGAATAAGAACCCAAACAAAAGCAAAATGTCGGCGTTATCAGACATAGAATATGCAATGTGTGCTTAAGAGGGTTTTTTTGTTTGTTTTGTTTTGAGATGGAGTCTCGCTCTGTCGCCCAGGCTGGAGTACAGTGGTGCGATCTCGGCTCACTGCAACCTCCGCCTCCCGAGTTCAAGCGATTCTCCTGCCTCAGCCTCCTGAATAGCTGGGACTACAGGTGCCCGCCACCACGCCCGACTAATTTTTTTGGATTTTTAGTAGACACGGGGTTTCACCGTGTTAGCCAGGATGGTCTCGATCTCCTGACCTCATGATCTTCCTGCCTCAGCCTCCCAAAGTGCTGGGATTACAGCGTGGCCACCACGCTCGGCCAAGAGATTTTTTAAACTTACTTACAGAAGCTATTCAAATATTACTGCAAAATGGGAAATTACTGCACATTGCATTTTGAAATGACCTGAGAGTTTTACGAAGAACTTCTAGAACTGAAAACCGTAATAGATGAGGCTAAAATAAGAATGGATGGGACAGGCAGCGCAGAGGACACGCAGGAGCAGGAGCTGGTAACACCGAAGAAAGAGCAGGAGACGCCACCCAGCCCGAGCGCAGCCCCGCGGAGGCTGGACCGAGGCTCCCACAAGGGCTTCTTCTGCCCAAAGGAGAAACAGAGTCGGGGGAGGCAGTGGCTGGGAATTTTCCAAAATCGCTGAATAACAGGATGTGTCAGGATCAAGGCCAAGTCCCAAGCAGGATAAATAAAAGCAAACCGCGTCCACACCTTGACGCTTGCCGATGGAACTGCCAACACCAGAGACAAAGAGACTTTAGAAGCATCCAAAAGGAGGCCGGGCGTGGTGGCTCACATCTGTAATCCCAGCACTTTTCGAGGCAGAGGTGGGTGGGTCACCTGAGGTCAGGAGTTGGAGAGACCAGCCAGGCCAACATGGTGAAACCCGGTCTCTATTAAAAACACAAAAATTAGCTGGACGTGGTGGCGGGTGTCTGTGGTCCCAGCTACTCAGGAGGCTGAGGCAGGAGAATCGCTTGAGCCCGGGAGGCGGAGGTTGCAGTGAGCTGCCATCGCGCCACTACCCTCCAGCCTGGGAGACAGAGTGAGACTCCATCAAAAAAAAAAAAAAAAAATCCGTCAGGGCCGGCCCAGGCAGGTGCACTCGCGCGGCCACAGACTCCAGAGCCGGACTCGGGAGCCCCCCGGCGGCCGTCCCGTGCCACTGCACGTTCTCATAGACAGGAGAGTCTCAAGAACCCTGGAGCAAACAAGACGCCTGGAGCAGCCTCCCAGCATCTACTCACCTCTGCCGGCCGTTTACACCCGAAAGCCACCCCTCAAGACCAGGACAACGGTGACACTTTCATACAAAGGGCACAGGCACTTAACTCCGCACGCTGGCTGCTGGCGCCTCCTAAGAGTGTGTTTAGAAATGTTAAAGAAAAAATTATTCCATGATAGTTGTTCAATGCGGAAGCAGGTGTGATTCAGGACCACCGCCACAGGAGCAGGGACCATGGCCATGGGGGAGAGAGATGGGGCTCAGTTCTTAACACAGCATGGGCTGGCAGGGATCGACAGCCAAGGAGGGAGCTGGGTAAACTCGGAGGACGGACATTCCCAAGAGGAAATATTGGGGGGAAGGAGGGTTCTGGCTAAATTAGCCCAGGAAGATTTTTGCTGAAGACAGACCAGGGTGATCAGACCTGGGAGATGGTGGAAGATGAGGAACTCAGGATCAAGGGTGATCAGATGTCAAGAGTGGGTCTTTAACCTGACTTAGGGGGGTTCTTTTTTTTTTTTTGAGACGGAGTCTCACTCTGTCACCAGGCTGGAGTGCAGTGGCATGATCTTGGCTCACTGCAACCTCTGCCTCCCGGGTTCAAGCGATTCTCCTGCCTCAGCCTCCCGAGTAGCTGGGATTACAGGCACCCTCCACCACACCCAGCTAATTTTTGTATTTTTACTAGACAGGGTTTCACCATGTTGGCCAGGCTGGTCTTGAACTCTTGACCTCAGATGATCCGCCCACCTCAGCCTCCCAGAGTGCTGGGATTACAGGCATGAGCCACCGCTCCGGGCCCCACCGGGTACTTTTTAAAGCCTTTTTCTTACAAGGAAGTGCAGGCTGGCCTAGGAGAAGGTTCCAGAGCCCGACTGTAGTTTGGCCAAGCAGAGAATCTTTGTCAGTCCACCCTGTTTAAAGAAAGAGGAGACATTCTGGTTTCCCTCCAACAATATAAGTACATTTTCTTGTTGGGTGGCCTTTCGTTCATTAAGAACCAGCTGGATTTTCTGTTGGGACTGGGTAGAAGAGGACATTTTGCCGCATGGTGCTAGCAGTTGGACATTCAAAGAGGAGAGACTCTGAAAATAAACGAAACACAAAGGTTAACACTTAGAAATGCAGTTTCCGAACCCAGTGGGCACCAGGCTGGAAGATTTCTAGACGCTGGGCCTGAAGCATCTTCAGCTGCAGCCAGGTAGGCAGCTGAAGGGCCTTCCTGATTTGCAGGTCAGGTGTTGCAGAAGCTGCCCGCACAGGATCTGTGGGGATGATTTCTCTAAAGTTTACATCAACTTGTCCCATTTCAGCTCACAGGGCTTCAGGAACAGAGCAGTTTTAAATTTGACTGATTCCAAGTCAGAGGGTGAGGGAAAAATTGGAAAAATTAGTTTGCAGAGTTGTTGCCTGATATTAGAGAAAACTAGAAGAATTCTGAAGGGGCCAGCCCCTCCACACCTGTGGGTATTTCTCGTCAGGTGGGACGAGAGACTGAGAAAAGAAATAAGACACAGAGACAAAGTATAGAGAAAGCACAGTGGGCCCAGGAAACCAGCGCTCAGCATACAGAGGACCTGCACCGGCACCGGCCTCTGAGTTCCCTCAGTATTTATTGATTACTATTTTCACTATCTCAGCAAGGGGAATGCAGCAGGAGAACAGTGGGGAGGAGGTCAGCAAGAAAACGTGAGCAAAGGAATCTGTGTCACAAGTAAGTTCAAGGGAAGGTACTATGCCTGGACATGCACGTAGGACAGATTTATGTTTCTCTCCACCCAAACATCTCAGCGGAGTAAATAACAAGGCAGCATTGCTGCCAGCATGTCTCGTCTCCCACCACAGGGTGGTTTTTCTCCTATCTCAGAATAGAATAAATGTACAATCGGGTTTTATACCGAGACATTCCGTTCCCAGGGGCAGGCAGGAGACAGTGGCCTTCCTCTATCTCAACTGCAAGAGGCCTTCCTCTTTTACCAATCCTCCTCAGCACAGACCCTTCACGGGTGTCGGGCTGGGGGACGGTCAGCTCTTTCTCATCCCACGAGGCCATATTTCAGACTATCACATGGGGAGAAACCGTGGACAATACCCGGCTTTCCAGGGCAGAGGTCCCTGCGGCTTTCCGCAGTGTATTGTGCCCCTGGTTCATCGAGACTGGAGAATGGCGATGACTTTTACCAAGCATACTGCCTGTGAACACTTTGTTAACAAGGCACGTCCTGCACAGCCTAGATCCCTTAAACCTTGATCCCATACAGCACAGGTTTCTGTGAGCAATTGTTTAGGGTACAGGTCAAAATGGAATCTCTTATGTCTTCCTTTTCTACATAGACACAATAACAGTCTGATCTTTCTTTTCCCTAAAAATTCAAGATCCAGTCCAGTTTGTAGATAAATAACAAAACCTCGTAAACAATGAGCAGGGCTGAAATCTCATCACGGTGCCCTGCAGTTTTGCATTGAATCATTTTTTTCTCCACAGTCACTCCCACATTTCCATAAATGTTGATCCAAATAAGAGTGATATGTTTGCAAAGTCAGTCTAGTTTCACTATACTTGGCCTGATTGTTTACATAAGTGCAACAAGAAGCAGTTGACCACATTCGCTCTCTTTAAATTTGCTTTGCTGGAGGCTGGGCGTGGTGGCTCATGCCTGTAATCCCAGCACTTTGGGAGACTGAGGCAGGTGGATCACGAGGTCAGGAATTCAAGACCAGTCTGCCTAACATAGTGAAACCCCGTCTCTACTAAAAATAAAAAAATTAGCTGAGTGTGGTGGTGTGCACCTGTAATCCCAGCTACTCGGGAGGCTGAAGCAGGAGAATTACATGAACCTGGCAGGCGGAGGTTGCAGAGTCAAGATCACGCCATTGCACTCCAGCCTGGGTGACAGAATGAGACTCCGTCTCAAAATAAAAAAAAAATTGCTTTGCTGGAGCTTTTCATAAAGAATCTCAGATTGAACTGTAAAGGCCTCCCGGGGCTGGGAAGCCACATCAAGGACATGCCATCTGACTTGGCACAGGGTACCTATAGATCTGGGTGAGTTCCTTTCTGCTCAGTCCCCAAAATACAGAGGTTGCTGGGCTGCCTTACTCAACCTGCAAGACTGGGAACCCTCAGGCCAATTTTTCCAAGGGGGGGTTTACTGGCTCCATAAAGTCAACTCTAGTTCCTTAAAGCTGTGTGGTCGTATCTGAAGATAGGATATTCCGGTCAAAGCCTTGGTAATATCATCAGAGTCTGTAATTGTGCCGTTACAAGGAGAACAGATTCTTACTGAACTTTTACAAATAACTCTACTGTCATAAAAATAAGTGTAGGGAAAAGAGAGATCAAACCGTTACTGTGTCTATATAGAAAAGGAAGACATAAGAAACTCCATTTTGATCTGTACCAAGAAAAATTGTTTTGCCTTGAGATGCTGTTAACCTGTAACTTTAGCCCCAACCTTGAGCTCACAGAAACCTGTGCTGTATGGAATCAAGGTTTAAGGGATCTAGGGCTGTGCAGGACATGCCTTGTTAACAAAATGTTTACAGGCAGTATGCTTGGTAAAAGTCATCACCATTCTCCAGTCTCGATTAACCAGGGACACAATGCACTGCGGAAAGCCAGGGACCTCTGCCCTGGAAAGCCTGGGTATTGTCCAAGGTTTCCCCGCCCTGAGACAGTCTGAAATATGGCCTCATGGGAAGGGAAAGACCTGACCGTCCCCCTAGCCCGACACCTGTAAAGGGTCTGTGCTGAGGAGGATTAGTAAAAGAGGAAGGCCTCGGCCGGGTGCGGTGGCTCATGCCTGTAATCCCAGCACTTTGGGAGGCCGAGGCGGATGGATCACCAGGTAGGTCAGGAGATCGAGACCATCCTGGCTAACATGGTGAAACTCTGTCTCTACTAAAAAAAAAAAAAAAAATACAATTAGCTGGGCGTGGTGGTGGGCGCCTGTAGTCCCAGCTACTCGGGAGGCTGAGGCAGGAGAATGGCATGAACCCAGGAGGCGGAGTTTGCAGTGAGCCCAGATCATGCCACTGCACTCCAGCCTGGGCGACAGAGCGAGACTCTGTCTCAACAAAAAAAAAAAAAAAAAAAAAAAGAGGAAAGCCTCTTGTGGATGAGATAAGAGGAAGGCCTCCGTCTCCTGCATGTCCCTGGGAGCAGAATGTCTCGGTGTAAAACCTGATCATACATTCATTTTATTCTGAGGAGAAAACCGCCCTGTGTCTGGAGGCAAGATATGCTGGTGGCAATGCTGCTGTTACTCTTCACTACACTGAGATGTTAGGGTGGAGAGAAGCATAAATCTGGCCTATGTGCACATCCAGGGATAGTACCTTCTCTTGAACTTATTTGTGACACAGATTCCTTTGCTCACGTTTTCTTGCTGACCTTCTCCCCACTGTCACCCTGTTCTCCTGCCGCATTCCTCTTGCTGAGATAGTGAAAATAGTAATCAATAAATACTGAGGGAACTCAGAGGCCCGTGCCGGTGCGGGTCCTCCGTATGCTGAGCCCTGGTCTCCTTGGCCCACTGTGCTTTCTCTATACTTTGTATCTATGTCTTACTTCTTTTCTCAGTCTCTCGTCCCACCTGACGAAAAATACCCACAGGTGTGGAGGGGCTGGCCCCCTTCAATAAAAACACTCACTACTGGTTTTGGGGTTCTGGAGGGATTAGGAAGGGAGAAAATAGTTGTTTCCTCTCTGTTCACAAAGATGTAACTTACCAAATTGCTGCAAACTATTGACAGCTTAAGGGAAAAAAGTTTTCTAAAATCTGAAAAACAAAACATTAAAGAACCAGCAATGTTTCCAACAAAAAGTCATTTAAAAATTATCCTCGGCCGGGTGCAGTGGCTCACACCTATAATCCCAGCACTTTGGGAGGCCAAGGCGGGCAGATCACGAGGTCAGGAGTTCGAGACCAGCCTGAACAACATGGTGAAACCCCGTCTGTACTAAAAATACAAAAAAATTAGCTGGGTGTGGTGGCGCACCCCTGTAATCCCAGCTGCTCAGGAGGCTGAGGCAGGAGAATCACTTGAACCCGGGAGGTGGTGGTTGCAGTGAGCCGAGATCGCGCCATTGCACTCCAGCATGAGCAACAGAGTGAGACTCCATCTCAAAAAAAAAAAAAAAAATTATCTTCCTTTGTTCATTCAGTCCCATGTAATTGAATCTTGTTCTGTTTGAAGCTGGATTAGTAGTCTGATGACATCAGTTTTTTCATTCCATTTCTGAAAATTCTTACACAGTCCAATGGTATGATCTTAAAGCTATCAGCAGCGGTCTGTATTTCGGAGTAACTGTCAGAGTCTTTTTCATGAATCTTGAAGAATAGCCACTTTTGTCTACCTAATTGCAAATTACTTTAGTAAAGAATCAAAGGAAAAGAATAACTGAATGGCAAAGGCTTAAAATGGCCATTTTTAAAGATCTGATGAGAGTTCATTATAATAATGATACAATTGACAAGGAAATCTGGTTATTTCTGTAACATACAACACTTTAACACAATATCTGAAATTATGGCTGATAAAATTATACCAGGACATATCCGATTTCTAGGATTTCCACATAATTTCTGAAGCATTCATTAATGACATATCCAAAAATATGATTTAAAGATGTAGTATCAAATACTATTTGTTTTCTTTATAACTTTACTTATCAAATAAGCCCAATTAGACCAGGCACAGTTGCTCACACCTGTAATCCCAGCACTTTGGGAGGCTGAGGTGGGCAGATCACCTGAGGTTGAGTTTGAGACCAGCCTGGCCAACATGGTGAAACTCCATCTCTACTAAAAATACAAAATTTAGCTGGGCGTGATGGCACACACCTGTAGTTCCAACTACTTGGGAGGATGAGGCACGAGAATCACTTGAACCCATGAGACGGAGGTTGCAGTGAGCCAAGATCTCACCATTGCACTCCAGCCTGGGCAACAGAGTGAGACTGTCTCAAAAAAAAAACAAACAAAAAAAAAAGCCTAATTAGTTTAAAATCTCTTTTTTGAGACAGGCTCTTGCTCTGTCACCCAGGCTGGAATACAGTGGTGCAACCATTGCTCACTGCAGCCTCCACCTTTCAAGCTCATGCTATCCTCCCACCTCAGTCTTCGGAGTGGTGGGGATTACAGACATGTGCCATGTCACCGGGCTAATTTTTATTTTTTTGTAGTGACAGGGTCTCACTAAGTTCCCAAGACTTGTCTTCAACTCCTAGTCTCAAAGGATCCTCCCACCTTGACCTCCCAAAGTGCTGGGATTATGGGCATGAGCCACCATGCCCAGCCTACAATCCAGGGGTAAGGCCATTCCAAAGCATCCAAGCTGACTATATTGAAATGACCCCAATAGGCCACCTCAAGTATTTACTAGTGATAGCAGACCACCTTACCCACTGGGCAGAAGCTCTCCCCTTCCCACGCGCAACAGCCAGTGATGCAGTTAAAACCCTGTTAGAACACATCATACCCAGGTTCAAACTAACAGAGACCACTGATTCAGACAATGGGACCCACTTTACCGTGCTCATTAAAGGGCTAACCCAAGCACTACAAATAAAGTGGGAATACCATACTCCCTGGCATCCACCCTCACCAGGAAGAGCAGAAAGAATGAACCAGACTCTAAAAACCCACCTACCTAAATTAATTCTAGAAACCCGGTTACCATGACTAAGTGTCTTCCCATGGCCCTATAAGAGTCTGAACTGCTCCCTGAAAAGACATCGGCCTATCCCCTTATGAAATGCTTCATGGGTTGCTTTATTTAAGTTCCACTACTCACCTCCCAACATTTGAGACAAACGATGAGTTTCTTAAAAACTATGTATCCAGTCTGTCTTCTATCCTCTCCTCCCTTGAATTCTCAGTTCAACACCAGCCCCGAGATCACATTCTTATCAGAAGTTGGAAAGGGGAAAAGCTTGAACCCACCTGGAAAGGACCTTATGTGATGCTCCTAACGACTGAGACGGCAGTCAGCCCGCTAAGGAGTAGACCCACCATACCCAGTCAAAAAGGAGTCTCCCTCTCCAAAGTCACGGACCTTCATCCCAGGACCAACCCCCACCAGAGTAACGTGAAAGAAAAAAGCCTAATTGGCCTGTCCGCATTTCCTCTTCTCTTTCCCTTAGCTACCCCACATCTCATTATTAATGTAACCACGGCAAAGTCACCCCAAATCATTACTTTTGATGCTTGTCTTGTTACACCTTGCGGAGACTTGGGACGTCAAACGCAGCTCTCTACTTCAGAAAAATGTCTTTGCGAAAAAAAATTACCTTTTTCGTGAATCACTGACATAATGAAAAACAACATGAAGCACAAGTTATCTTGATGGCACACAAAAATCCTTGTTTTTCCTAAGCCAATTACTTAAAACGTAAAAAAAAAAAACCTTCCGGCCTCCGCACCCAGGCCTGGGGGGCGGCGGGGCCGCGTATGGAGCCCCCCACCTCCCGGAGCTGCCAGCATGGCCAGCACCACCGCCCCGCTACACACAGGTACCCCTAGGATGGCGTGAGCACTCCCCCGGCGATGGACCCACCTGTGACGCTCTGGCACTTTCTGCTGCAGCTGAGAGCAAGGCAACGGCCACAGCTCCTGGACTTCATGGGATGGTGGTGGTTGCAGAGGAAGGTGGCCTAGCCGTGGGGGCGACGCAAGAACAAGACCAACGTGAATTACGACAAGCTCAGGCGGGCCTTGCCGTACTACTGTGTCTGGAATTGGTCGGTTCTTGATCTCACTGACTTCAACAACGAAGCCGCGGACCCTCGCAGTGAGTGCTACAGTTCTTAATAGGCGGCATGTCCCGCCGTTTGTTCCCTCATGTTCCGAGTTTTTGTTTTTTTTTTTCTTCTGGTGGGTTTGTGGTCTCGGTGGTTCAAGACTGAAGCTGCAGACCTTCGTGGTGAGTGTTAGAGCTTTTAAGGCACCGCGTCTAGAGTTGTTTGTTCTTCCTGGTGGGTTGGGGGTCTCGCTGGTTTCAGAAATGAAGCTACAGACCTTTACCATGAGTGTCACAGCTCACAAAGGCACTGTAAATGCAAAAACGAAGCAGTAACAAGATTTATTACAAACAGTGAAAAACAAAGCTTTCCCCTATAGAAGACGACCCTAACGGGTTGCCGCTGCTGGCTCAGGCAGCCTGCCTTTATTCCCTTATCTGGCCCCACCCACATCCTGCTGATTGGTCCATTTTACAGAGAGCCGATTGGTCTGTTTTACAGGGAGCTGATTGGTCCGTTTTGACAGGGTGCTGATTGGTGTGTTTACAATCCCTGAGCTAGACACAAAAGTTCTCCACGTCCCCACTAGATTAGCTAGATACAGAGTGTCAATTGGTGTATTTACAAACCCTGAGCTAGACACAGTGCTCATTGGTGCATTTACAAACCTTGAGCTAGATACAGAGTGCTGATTGGTGCATTCACAGTCCCTTAGCTAGACATAAAGATTCTCCAAGTCCCCACCAGATTAGCTAGACACAGAGCGCTGATTGGTGCATTTACAACTCTTGAGCTAGATACAGAGTGCTGATTGGTGTATTTACAATCCCTTAGCTAGACATAAAGATTCTCCAAGTCCCCACCAGATTAACTAGATACAGAGTGCCGATTGGTGCATCCGCAAACCCTGAGCTAGACACAGGGTGCTGATTGGTGGGTTTACAAACCTTGAGCTAGATACAGAGTGCTGATTGGTGTATTTACAATCCCTTAGCTAGACATACAGGTTCTCCAAGTCCCCACCAGATTAACTAGATACAGCGTGCCAACTGGTGCATCCACAAACCCTGAGCTAGGCACAGGGTGCTGATTGGTGTGTTTACAAACCTTGAGCTAGATACAGGGTGCTGATTGGTGTATTTACAATCCCTTAGCTAGACATAAAGGTTCTCCAAGTCGCCACTAGACTCAGGAGCCCTGCTGGCTTCACCCAGTGTATCTTGCACCTGGGCTATAGGTGGAGCTGCTTGTTAGTCCCCCGCTGTGTGCCCACACTCCTCAGCCCTTGGACGGTCAATGGGACCAGACGCAGTGGAGCAGGGGGCAGCGCTCTTCCGGGAGGCTCGGGCCAGGCCGGAGCCCATGCCGGCGGGTGGCGGTGGGGGGCGGCGGGGAGGCTCAGGCATGGCAAGCTGCAGGTCTCGAGCCCTGCCCTACGGCGAGGCAGGTAAGGCCCAGTGAGAAATGGAGCACAGCGCCGGTGGGCCAGCACTGCTGGGGACCCCGGCGCACCCTCCGCAGCTGCTGGCCCGGGTGCTAAGCCCCTCACTGCCCAGGGCAGGCGGGGCCTGCCACTCCGAGTGCGGGGCCCGCGGAGCCCACGCCCACCCAGAACTCGCGCTGGCCCGCAAGCGCCGCGCACAGCCCCGGTTCCCACCCGTGCCTCTCCCTTCACACCTCCCTGCAAGCCGAGGGAGCCGGCTCCGGCCTCGGCCAGCCCAGACAAGGGCTCCCACGGTGCAGCGGCGGGCTGAAGGGCTCTTCAAGCGTGGCCAGAGTGGGCGCCAAGGCCGAGGAGGCACCGAGAGCGAGTGAGGGCTGCCAGCATGCTGTCACCTCTCACGACTATGACGAGAACATCATCCGCAAGGTGAGCGGCCAGAAGTTGGTCTACAAGTTTGTGTCCTATCCTGAGGTCGCAGGGTGCTCCACTGAGTGAGGACTGCCCGCCCCACCCAGAGGTGTCGGTTACTTCACCATGGCAGTTGTGGCCCCTGCTGCTGCACATGCCGCCCCAGGGGGCACTGCCTCAGGAAAGCCAGGCACACCCAAGGGTGCAGGAATGGCAGGCCCTGGCGGTTTGGCGCGCAACAGCCGGAACAAGTACATGCGCTCGGGCCTCTGTTCCACCTTCACATCCAGTCTCTGCAGCCGCAGCCACCCCCTCAGCCTCGGCCTGCTGCGGTGCTCCCCAACGCAGCTCCTGCAGTCCAAGCCCCTGGGAGGCCTGCCTGGAGGCTGAGGAAGCCGGCTTCCCTCTGCAGGTCATCCTGACCCCGCCCGAGGCCCCAAACCTGAAATTGGAAGAGCCGAATGTGGAGCCGGGCTTGCGCCGCCCTTTGCCCCCGGAAGTGGAAGTGGAAGGGCCCGAGGAAGAGCTGGAATTCGCGGGGGAGAGAGGGTTCGTGCCAGAAACCGCCAAGGCCGAGCCTGAAGTCCCTCCACAGGAGGGCGTGCCAGCGTGGCTGCCGAGGTCCTTATGGACACCGCAGGGCAGGCGGGCGGCCACGCGGCTTCCAGCCCTCAGATCTCCCAGCCGCAGAAGGGCCGGAAGCCCCGGGACCTAGAGCTTCCACTCAGCCCGAGCCTGCTAGGTGCGCCGGGAGCCGAACGGACCCCAGGATCGGGAACTGGCTCCGGCCTCCAGGCGCCGAGGCCGGCGCTGACCCTGTCCCTGCTTCCTACGCACACGTTGACCCCGGCGCTGCTGACACCCAGCTCGCTGCCTCCCAGCGTTCACTTCCGGAGCAGCCTGAGTCCCGCTGCGCCCCGCAGCCCGGCCAAGCTCTCCTGCCAGCTTCCGTCCAGTGGCGGCGCCCAGGTGCACATCCCTTCCATCGGCGTGGCTGGCCTCTCGACCCCCGCGGTGCTCTCGCCAGGGCCCCAGAGGCCATGACCACCACCAGCACCACCACCCCTTCTGGGGTCCCTCCATCCGTGCTCTCTCAAGGAGAAACACAGTTCAACTGAAAGACTCATGCTCTGATTGTGGTGGGGTGGGGATCCTTGGGAAGGATTTCTCCCAGGAGTGACTCTCATTAACTCCTCCACAGAAAACACTCAGCTTCCACAGCTTCTCTCTTTTCTCTCTTTTCTGTCCGTCCCCCAGTGGCTGCCCTGACACGTCTCCTACTTCAATGGTAGGGGCGGTTTATTTATTTATTTTTTGAAGGCCACTGGGAAGCGCCTGACCTAACCTATTAGGGTGGTCAGGACGTCTCCCCCACCTCCCCGCTTTTTTCCCCAAGACAGGACAATCGGGGTCTGGCTTGAGAACGACCTTTCTTTCTTCATTCCTCGGCCTGCCCGTGGGGAGATGAGGGAGCCCTGTGTCCATTTTAGGATGTGAGTAGAAGTTAGTTTCGTTTTATTATTCCTGGCCATACTCGGGGTCCAGGAAGAATTTGTACCATTTAATGGGTTGGGAGTCTTGGCCAAGGCAGAATCACACCCTTGGAATAGAAATTTCCACCTCCTCAACCTTTCTCTCAGACAGCTTATCCTTTTTTAACCAACTTTTTGGCCAGGGAGGAATGTCCCTTTGTTCTTCTTCCCCCTGAGAAGCCATTCCTTTGTCTGCCAAACTCCCTGGGGTCCTGCCTGTTTCCTCCCATGGAGGGGTTTTGTGGGGGTGGTTCCTGTCTGGGGGGCCCCTCCAGCCAGTACTCCAGGTCTCCCTGTCTCTCCCCTGCTGCCATTTTGATAGTATAATCTATTTTTAAATGGGGCTTTTCAATAGAGGAGAGGGAGTCATCTCTTCCTATATTTGGTGGGGTGGATGTGAAGGAAGGGATGTGGGGGGCAATCTTCCTGCCGCCTCCCCCTCAGGGGTTTATTTTTGATAACAAATGTGTATTTTCAGTTCCCTCCCTCCCAGCCCCCCAATTTCCTGCAGGTAGGTACAAAGGACACTTTCAATGTCCCTGGAGTTGGGAGGGAGGAATGGGGGACATAAAGCCTGTCCTGTCTCTATTCTAGGCAGGAAGAGTGGGTTCAAAAGACTCCTGGGCTTCCCTGTCAGCCCTGGCCCAGCCCAGGCCTTGGGACCTGGGGGTTGGTGATTTGGGGGACGGTGCCGACTTTAACCACATAAGATCCCTTTTCCACAATCCTTTTACAACTTTTTTTTTTTTTTTTTTTTTTTGAGACAAAGTCTTGCTCTGTTGCCAAGGCTGGAGTGGAGTGCAGTGGTGCAATCTTGGCTCACTCCACCTCCCAGGTTAAAGCGATTTTCGTGCCTCAGCCTCCCAAGTAGCTGGAATTACAAGCATGCACCACCATGCCTAGCTAGTTTTTGTATTTTTTGTAGAGATGGAGTTACACCATGTTGGCCAGGCTGGTCTCTAGCTCCTGGCCTCATGTGATCCGCCTGCCTCAGCCTCCCAAAGTGCTGGGATTACAGGCATGAGCTACCACGCCCAGCCTAACATTTCATAATTTTTAAAAACACGCTTCCTCATAGTACAGCTTCTCATGTTAATAACAGACCCAAATATGTTTAGCTTTTCAATACCATATAAAAACAAGATGCCAGGCCAGGCACAGTGGCTCATACCTATAATCCCAGCACTTTGGGAGGCCAAGGCAGAAGGCTCACTTGAGCCCAGAAGTTTGAGACCAGCCTGGGCAACATAGCAAGATCCTGTCTCTACAAACAAATTAAAAGTTAGCTAGGTGTTGTGGCCCATGCCTGTAGTCTTAGCTACTGGGAGGCTAAGGCTAGAGGATCGTTTGAACCCAAGAGGTTGAGGTTGCAGTGAGCTATGATCACACCACTGCACCCAGCATGGGTGACAAGTGAGACCTTGTCTCTAAAAGGTAAAATTTAAAATTTGTTTAACAAAAGAATAGAAACTGAATGTATAACTTCTAAATCAGAAGAAGAAAGATTAAGTGAGGAAAATAACTCCTAAAGAAATAAGAAAACGATTTAAAAGATACTCAGAAAAAGCAAGACAAATAGAAACACAAAATAAGGAGGTAGAAATAAATAACGAGTAATGAAAATAAAAAGACATGGACTACATTCTCCAGTTAAAAGATGGATGCTCTTAATCCAGCTATGTGGTTTTTCAAGAGACACACACAAAACAAAATGACACAGAAGAGTTAGGAGGGAAAATCATGGGAAAAGATAAACCAGGCACACAGTAGCTCACAAAACTCACAAGTTTGTGGCATTTTACTGTCAGGCAAAATTGATGTTTTGGGAAAAAGCATTACTAGAGATGTTTTAAAGGGCATGAAATACTGATTATTGTAATAACATGTAGCACACGAAGCACTTACAATGGCCTGGGGGCTGCTCTCAACCCCTTAGTTAAATTAACTCCCCATTTTACAGGTGAAGGAAGCCAAGCACAGAACAGTCAGGAAGTATTTTCTGAATTTTCATGTAAGCTGTCTTTTCAATCATCTGCCTTATGATTTGTGCTTCCGAATTTTTATTTTATAACTTTTTCCCTGCTCCAACATCAATAAGTGATCCTCCTTTTTTTAGCATTAACTTTATAGTTTTGCAATTCACAGATCTATAATCTGGCTCAAGTCCACGCACATATGGGATAAGTGGTGGAGGCCCAGTTTCTATTATTCCCTGTATAGTGAGTCGATTTTGCCAACACCATTTATAAACGATCTTGTCTCATTGATTTGTGGTGTTTCCTTTTTATCTTATATTAAGAATCTGTATGTGGTAGCAGTAAACATTGTTCATATTCACCAATAGCCAGTGGTTCTCTACTTCCAGGAGCACAGAGTTACTCCTCCCTCACCCCTTGGCCTTGTCATTCGTTCTGGCCAATGATATTTGAGAAGCGATGTATGGAATTTCCAGGTCTAAGCATTCAATGGCCAGGATCCCTCTCCACTCCTAGCTTCCCTGCTATAACTGTGATGATAACCCTCTTAGTTCATAGTTTTCTATCCTTGTAATTTTTCAACTTGTGTCTTCTTTTGTTTTAATTATAAAGTTGCTCTTGGAGTGCTCGTTTCTTTGTTTGTTCATTTGTTTGTTTCAGAGACAGGGTCTTGCTGTGTTGCCCAGGCTGGACTCAAATTCCTGGACTCAAGCAATCCTCCACCCCAGCCTCCTGAGCCTGAGTAGCAGGGGCTATAGGCAAGTGTCTGCCACTATGCCTAGCTTTGTCTTGTCTTAATTTTTTTTTAATTTCAATACAAGAATCTCTACTTTTTAACTGATTAGTTTAAGCCATTAATATTTATTGTGATTACAACTGTATTATGATTTAGTTCTATCATCAAAGTTATTTTTTGTTTGTTTCTTCCACATTTCCTGTTTTCCATTGAATAGATTACATCTTCTTTTACTAGTTTAAAAAATTGTACTTGTAACTTTCATGGTGATTGTTCTTAAGATTAACTTTTAATAACTTTACTCATTTATTGAATGTATTCATAAATATAATTCATATTCTCCCAACAAGATATATGCTTTAGCATAATCTTAGTTCCTTGATTAATTCCTTATCCCGCATCATATTGATATTGTCTGGAGTTTTGGTTATGGGTAATTGTAGACATATTATCAATTTTTCATTTTCATGATATCTGTTATCAACAGTATATTATATAGGTATATATCATGATATTAACAATAACCTTTACTCGCTCTTTCTTCCTGTATCTCTTGCAACAGCTCCTGGGATTTTCCCTTCGTTTGCGAGAACTTTTTCCTACAGTGTTTTCAATGTGGTCTCTGTATAGCAAGTATTCTGAGGCCTCTTTTGCCTAAAAATGTTTTTAGTATACCTTCACATTTGAATTTAAAAATTTGCTGGATATAAGATTATAGGTGTAGGTTGGCCACATGCCTGTAACCCCAGCATTTTGGGAGGCTGGGGTGGGAGCATTGCTTGCAGCTAGGAGTTCAAAACCAGCCCGAGAAACATAGGGAAACCCCATCTCTACAAAAAATTAAAAGATTAGCCAGGTGTGGTAGCACATACCTGTGCTCCAGGTACTCAGGAGGCTGAGGTGGGAGGATTGCTTGAGCACAGGAGTTCAACGCTGTGGTGAGCTGTGATTGAGCCACCGCACTGCAGCCTGGGTGACAGTGCAAGACCCTGTCTCAGAAAAAAAAAAAAAGGTATAAAGTGGGTTTTTTTGATACCTTAAAAATAATTTGTAGTCCTCTTGCATTTTTGAATCATGTTGAAAGGTCTGAAGTCGGTGTGATTCTTACCCTTTATCCACCACTTGCTCTTCCATTAAAACTTTTTCCTTCTTTTCAACATTTTTTAAATATTCCCTTTTTTTCCTAATATTCTTCAATTTTAATATAATTGTGACTAGGTACAGGTTTTCCTCATATCATCTTTTGGATTTCTGTGGCGTCTTTCATCCCTAATGTTTGAAAATCCCTCTCATCTTTTTCTTCTGCTCTGTCCTCCCACCCACTTCTCTCCTCACAGTCCCTGTCCTTCTTCCTGCATGCTGGCCACTCTGCCAGGATTCCTTCCCCTCGTCTGTCACTTCGCAGATTGTTTTCCTCGGCTGCGTCCGTCCCACTGAATTTCAGTTACCACATTTTTCTCAATCATTATTTTGATACCTGATATTCCTACTTAGTTCTTTGTGCTCCCTGTTATTGCTTTCTCCCTGTTATTGCTAATATCTTTCCTTAATTCTTCAAGGATGTTACCGCATTTGTCTTTAATTCTTTGCCCAGAGGGTCTCATACTCCTGCTGCACACAAGTCATGCTGTGGAGGGTGCTGTTTTTCTTTCAGGCGCTCTTCTCTCCAGGCGTCTTGTTACTTTGGCCTGGGAGGGCATGTGCCCCAGAGGGGCTCAGTTCCTCTGTCTTGTGGTGTGGCCTGGGGAAGTGCTGAAGGCCGCAGCCTGGTCTGGGTGGGTCCTGGCAAGCTTTGGAGAGAGGAAGGGGGAGCAGAGAGGCCTCATCACCCTGGCTCAGCCGGTGAGCCGTCCTATTTCTTGCCCCACCACCAGGCTGCCCTCTAGCCGGGCTTCACCTTCCAGTCTCCATGATGGAGAAGGCTGGAGGCGGTGGTCTCCACAGTTGCAGCCCAGCCCTGGAGACGTGGACGGAGTGGGCAGGTGAGGGAACGGGAATGCGGCGGGTGTGCTCCAACTGGGATTTTCCATGGAAGGTCTATCTCCAAAGGAACTAGAGGTGAGAGTGGGATGAGTGGGATGCGGAAACCGCGAGGGTCAGCACAGGAACCTAAGGCTGTCAGCATCCGAGCTTTGCAGCCCAAGACCCAGCAAGGCGAGGGTCCGGCACAAAGGGAAGCTGTGTGGACCCAGCCGCCTCTGGAGGAGCAATGGTCTTGGGAAAGTTGTCAGAAACAAAATGGAATCAAAATGAGAAAAAAAAATCTGACAAACAGAGCAGAAAGGAGACGGGCAGAGAGGGGTCAGGAAGGGAGAACCAAGGTGCCCTGCAGCCTGATGAGGCTCACGGAGCCGCGTTGGCCCACAGGTTCCCCAACTCCTCCCCACAGGGTTGCCACCACCAGGAAGCATCCAAAGGATGCCAGTGGCAGAGGCCCAGCTGCCCCCACCAAGTTTCGCCAAGAAAAGGTCAGTCACGAGAGCAGAAGGCAGGGAAATGGTTCCCGAGGGTTCCCTCTGCCTCCCCGGGGCCTCCACCACAATCTGCAGCCCTCACCCCACATGGGGCCAAGACAGCATCCAGCCTGCCCAGGGCTCTGCAGCCCTAAGCGTTTGCCGCTGGAATCAATATGTCTTCCTATAAATACAGGTTCTCCAGGGTGATTTTTTTCATTTTTTTGAGACAGGGTCTTGCTCTGTCACCCAGACTGGAGTGCAGTGGTGCAATCATAGCTCATTCCAGCCTCCACCTCCTGGGCTCAAGGTATCCTCCCACCTCAGCCTCCCAAGTACCTGGGACTACAGGTGCACACCACTATGCCCTGCTAAGTTTTAAAATTTTTTGTAGTGACAAGGTATTGCCATGCTGCCCAGGCTGGTCTGGAACTCCTGGGCTCAAGCGATCCTCCTGCCTCAGCCTCCCAAAGTGCTGGAATTATAGGCGCAAGCCACCACACCTGGCCCAGAGTTGATTTTTTTTGTTTGTGTTTTGTTTTTGAGACAGAGCCTCACTCTTGTCGCCCAGGCTGGAGTGCAGTGGCGCGATCTCGGCTCACTGCAACCTCTGCCTCCTGGGTTCAAGTGATTCTCCTGCCTCAGACTCCCGAGTAGCTGGGACTACAGACGTATGTCACCACGCCTGGCTAATTTTTATATTTTTAGTAGAGATGGGGTTTCACCATGTTGGCCAGGCTGGTCTTGAACCCCTGACCTCAGGTGATCCGCCTGCCTCGGCCTCCCAAAGTGCTGGGATTACAGGCATGAGCCACCACCCCTGGCCCAGACTTGATTTTTTATTAACTTTCTTTGCTCCTGGCAGGACCAAAGGCCCTCATATTCTGTCTCTCAAAGTGGGCTCTGTGTGCATAAATGCATGGACATCATTTTACGTAGATTCTTTCTATATTATGTATCATAAAATTTTAACAGAAAAATGTATTATCAAATCACCTAAAAGCGCCAGGTGTGGTGGCTCACGCCTGTAATCCCAGCACTTTAGGAGGCCGAGGCGGGCGGATCACGAGGTCAGGAGATCGAGACCATCCTGGCTAACACGGTGAAACCCCATCTCTACTAAAAATACAAAAAATTAGCCGAGTGTGGTGGCATGTGCCTGTACTCCCGGCTACTCAGAAGGCTGAGGCAGGAGAATCGCTTGAACCCAGGAGGCGGAGGTTGCAATGAGCCAAGATCGCACCACTGCACTCCAGCCTGGCGAGAAAGCAAGACTCCGTCTCAAAAAAAAAAAACAAAAAAAAATCACTAAAAGCTGTGGAACAAGGAGGACACCTTAACTTATATGAAAATTGATCATCTGGGCCAGTTCTGAAGCTTGTCTCAATCCAGATTTGTCAGAAACTGGATCCAGTGAGCACCATCGCCTGCCCCAGACCCAATCAGCCAAGCATGGGGAGAGCAAAGAATTTCGAAGTTTAAAGTGTGCCATGAAGAACTGCTTTGTGTTGGATAAATAAGTTTAAATTATTTGAAATCTGGATTTTTATTTCTTTCTTTGTGTTTTGTGTGGGTTTTCTTGAGACAGGGTCTTGCTATGTTGTCCAGGCTGGAGTGCAGTGGCACCATCTCTGCTTGCTGTAGCCTTGACCTCCTGGGCTCAGGTGATCCTCCTGCCTCAGCCTCCTGAGTAGCTGGGACCACAGGCACGCGCAACCATGCCTGGCTAATTTTTAAAATTTTTTTAGAGACAAGGTCTCACTACATTGCCCAGGCTGGTCTCAAACTCCTGGGCTCAAGCAATCCTCCTCCCACCTCAGCCTCCCAAAGTGCTGGGATTGCAGGGGTGAGCCACAGCACCCAGCCCTCAGAAATCTTTTGTAATGCCCAGTGATGTTTGTAATGTGTTGATAACAGACACCAAGTCAGGGTCTCTCGTTCCTGAACACAAGTGGGACAGAGTCCCAGCCTTCTTGTGGCAGATGTCACCGTGAGGCTGGGCCCTGGACAACAGTGAGTGAGATAAGCCGGGGAGCTTCGACCGGGCCAGGCTGTCGGGGCCTCAGCCCGAGTGTGACCCAGGGCAAGCCAGGGTCAGTCTGCGATGAGCGTCAAGGTTCAGTGTGGACCTGCACTCAGGGCCTGGGACTGTGGGAGACACGTCCGTCGGGGACGAGGCCGAAACAAACAGCCCCAAGCGCTCAGTGGCTTCAGCAGCAAAGGGTTGTCTCCTGCTTGGGCTTTGGTGGGGAGGTGGGATCCACTCCAGAGCTCACTCAGGGCCCAGGCTGAGGCAGCCCCACCTTCCTTAGCCCACCCCGTGCAACCGCAGCCTCTCCGGACGCTGCAACAGGGAGATGCTGCTGGGCCATGGTCAGCCGGGAGGTGACACAAAGGTGGCGCAGGAGGTGATGCGGGAGGTGACACAGAGCTGATGCAGGTGATGCGGGAGGTGACACAGAGCTGATGCAGGTGATGCGGGAGGTGACACAGAGCTGATGCAGGTGATGTGGGAGGTGACACAGAGCTGATGCAGGGGATGTGGGAGGTGACACAGCTGATGCAGGTGATGTGGGAGGTGACACAGCTGATGCAGGAGGTGACATGGAGGTGACACACAGATGACACGGGAGGTGACGTGGGAGTTGATACGAACCCACTGGCCAGGCCCTCGCTGCCGGGGCAGGCAGAGGCAAGGGAGCAGATGAGTGTTCAGTGAGCAGAATCGGGCTCGGGTTCTGGTCAGGGGCATCAGCACAGCCTGGGGCTGGGGCAGCCTCAGCCTTTGGCCGCGCAGGGTCCTGTGGGGTCGGGGGGTCGGGGCACCACTGGCAGGTCCCGGTCTCACAGCCGGGTCCCGCGGCTCCCTCCTCAAAGGGACCCAGAGCCGGGCTCGGGAGCCCCCTTGTGGCCATCTGGCGACACTGCAGGCTCCGCCGGCGCGAAGGTCCAGAGGCTCCCGCATGCCCCAGCCAGGTAGGGTTCTCAGGCAGGTGAGCTTTGTGGGCAGCCTCACCTGCCAGGAATATGTGTGCCCCCTGCCTGCAGGCCAGCCTTGGCCACGGTCCAGTCCCAACATAATATCACTTGGTGAGGCCTACCCTGACCCAAGGCCTGCCTGAGTGGGGTCTCTCTGTGTGGCCCTGCCCCAACCTCCCTGCATCACACTCCACCCCACGCACCTGTGTGATACCTGTCTCCCTCCAGGCGTGGAGCCTCTCCTCCTAGGAGGCATCCCAGAGACACCCCGGGGGGCCGGGGTCACTCAGGTGCACCCCACAGGTGCAGGTTGCAGGTGGGAGAGCAGCACACAGCTGCTGTGTGGCTCCTGCAGTGGGCCCTGCCTCCCATGCTGTGGATTTGGCATCCGGTACACAGGCCCACTGCGCCTCACCATCCCCTCCAGGCCCACCAGCCGTTTCTGTGCAACTTCCCGCAGCAGCCTTGAAAGTGTTCACTGTGGGAACGCAACACGGACCAGCTCTCGAGGAAAGCACCCCCTGGGGCGGATACTCATGAGGGCGGGAGAAAGCTTTCCTCAAGGCTCACGCACTTTGAAACATGTTTCCGATGATCTCCACATTCAGCTTATTTCATAAGCAATGAGTAAAAGTGAGTCGGTCACCTTAGGTCACCTTCAGCCGGGCGAGTGCTGTGGGCCCGCAGGTGCTGCAGGGCAGTGGGAGTGCAGACAGAAAATGCAGACCCCCGGGCATTACTCACCTCTCCAGCTCTGGTCCGCTGTTGTACCACGGGTCTAATCAGGCTGTGTCTGTCTCCTTCTTGAACAGCCCAGAAAATTCATCTGAACAGCCTTCCTACAGCCGCTCCCCACACCAGGTGGCCAGGTGGGAGTTCCAGACCAGAGCTGTCTCCCGGGATGTTGACACAGCAGCCACGTTGATTGGTGTTGGGGCAGCCCCTGTCGGTGTGGCTGGCTTCGGGCCTGGCATTGGAACGGTGTCTGGCAGCTTGTTGGCTATGCCGGGAATCTGTTTCTCAAGCAGCAGCTCATCTCCGATGCCATTCTGGGCTTTGCTGTGTCTGAGGCCATGGGGCTGTTCTGTTTGGTGGTCGTCTTCCTCATCCTCGCCACGTGAGGCTCCACAGGGGTCACCTGCCTGTCCCTGCTGCCCGTCCCTACTCCACGCCATTCCTGGTGATGGGGTATGCTAATTTTTACCATTAAACACACGTTTCTCTCAAAAAAAAATTCTCCCCCACATAAATTTTACTACGAAAACCTGAACCACGGGCCGGTGCTCATCCATATCAAATTTCGCCAGTCGATGGCTTCCGTCGTCGTGAGTTTTCCTTCTCGGCCATTATGACCATCAAGGGCGACTCTGTTTTGTAAAATGTTGCAGCATTGCACTTTGTCCAGAGGATTTGCCAGCAGCAGGTGTGAGTGAGGAGGTGGTCCCTGGGCTCTCTCACTGCTGGGCAGGATGCAGGTTTGGGCAACGCTTGGGAGGAAAACACTGAAAAGTCCAGTAAAGTTACCAAGGTGCAGCAACACAGGAGGGCTCCCCTTCTTCCTCACCTGGGCATGCGGCACCCAAAGGCAGGTCCCTATTCCTGGCTCCCTGGCAGCTCAGGGCACTGGCATGTCTAAGTTCTGGGCAGCAGAGTGTGGGCAGGTGCCTCATGCCAGCTCCTGAGCCCCATCCCAAAGAGACCCCAAAAGCATGCCTCGTCAACCTCCTCCACCCTGGCTGTGCTGCCGCCGAGCCCTGATGGTGCAGCCTGACCTGTGAGAGCAAGATCCACACCCAGGACCCAGGGGCCACGAGTAGGAGGGATCTGTGTCCTGGCAGCCTGGACCACTGCCCAGACTCACCCAGGAGGGAAATGAATGTGTACGTTGACAAACACCACCATCATCCGAGCCTGGGCTATGGCTTGAGTGTCCCCTCCAAAATTCATATGGAAATGTAATTGCCACTATGGCAATATTAAGAGGTGGGGAGCTGGGCGCGGTGGCTCACACCTGTAATCCCAGCACTTTGGGAGGCCAAGGCGGGCAGATCACTTGAGGTCAGGAGCTCAGGACCAGCCTGGCCAACATGGCAAAACCCTGTCTCTACTAAAAAAAATACAAAAAATTAGCCAGGTGATGGCAGGCGCCTGTAATCCCAGCTACTTGGGAGGCTGAGGCAGGAGAATTGCTTGAACCCGGGAGGCAGAGATTGCAGTGAGTCAAGATCGCGCCACTGCACTCCAGCCTGGCGACAGAGCAAGACTCCATCTCAGGCCAGGCGTGGTGGCTCATGTCTGTAATCCCAGCACTTTGGGAGGCCGAGGCGAGTGGATCACGAGGTCAGGAGATCGAGACCATCCTGGCTAACACGGTGAAAACCCCATCTCTATTAAAAATACAAAAAAAAAAAAATTAGCCGGGCGTGGTGGCGGGCACCTGTAGTCCCAGCTACTCGGGAGGCTGAGGCAGGAGAATGCGTGAACCTGGGAGGCGGAGCTTCCAGTGAGCCAAGATCGCGCCACTGCACTCCAGCCTGGGTGACAGAGCGAGACTCCGTCTCAAAAAAAAAAAAAAAAGGTGGGGCCGTTAAGAGGTGATGAGGCCAGGCGGGTTCCACCCTCGTGGAGGGGTTAACGCCATTATCTTGGGGCGTGTTTACTATCTGCACTGTGGGTGGTTACGACAGCAAGCTGGGCCCTCTCTCTCTCACCCTTTCCTGCCCCTGCACCTTCCACGGTGAGCCGATGCAGCACAAAGGCCCTCGCCAGAGCTGGCACCTCAATCTTGGACTTCCAGCCTCCAGAACTGTGAGAAATAAATGTCTTTTCTTTGTAAATTAGTTCCCAGCCTGTGGTATTATTATAGCCACACAAAATGGACAGCCTGTTGCATTGGGGATTATGTTTCCACATAAGTTTTGGAGGGGACGCAAATGTTCAAAGCACAGCGGTCACCATGGGTTTCCTTTCTCGGGGGACAGTGTGATGTTAGCGCCCCTTCCTTGGCAGCTGCCCCAGCCCTCAGAGGACGGAGTCCATTCCACATCAGCCACGGAGTGAGGAGAGGCGGCACTGTCCCAGGGAAATCTGGGACCTCGTGCCAATGCAGGGTGGCGGGGGTGGGCATGGGCCGGGGGCTGCCGTGTGTCTGGCAACACTCCTGCCCACCTCCCCCTGTCTTGACCTCCCTCTGGCACCCAGGCCCCTTCCTCCTCCTGCCCCCGTCTGCCTCCCTCTGGTGTTCCCCCCACCTGCCCACTGCCTTTTCTACCCTCTCCTCACCCACCTCTTGACCCTCTGCACGCTTGGTCCTCACGCCCAGTGCGGCCCTAGCCCTGCTGCTGGGGCCTGCCTGCAGGTCAAGCCCCGAGGACAGAGGCCCTCCCTGACAGCCTCTGATTGGGGGGTGTTTTTTCCCTTCATCTTTCCCTGGTTAAATGGCAGTTACCTTGTTTTTGCAACAAATGAAGCCACCCATGTTTCAGCCAGGGTGGGAATGTGGCTTTGCAGCCTCTGCCACCATTCTGCGCTGGCAGTGACTCTGATGGCTTTTCCCTCGGGGGTTGCCACTTAGTGCATCTCCGTTATTTTACTGCATAAAACGAATCCAATAATGTTTGGCTTTCTTATTGCTTAAGATAAGTGAGTTCACTTTCGCTAAATTGAGTTTTTATTATTATGAGGCTGTTTTCCTATAGAAAATGTGAGTGTGTTCTGAAAGGAAGATGAAGGGTCGGAAGTTCGAGTATATTTTATCTTTTTGGGTGACTGATCTTCTTGTGTCTGCGATCAGACTCCGACGTCTCTTCCCACAGGCACGTGGAGGCAGGTCTGACGCAGCTCCCAGCCCTACCGTTCTAGGGGGATGAAGGGGGACACGGTCCCGCTCTCTGCAGTAAAGGAGAGTGGCTGGGGCTTTGGCCAGGGCAGCCCTGGGTAAGCCGAGCTGCAGAACTTCCCAAGGGCTCAGGAGCTGCCAGGCTGTGCTGCTGGAATCACCTAGGAAGAGAATTGTTGACACGTGCTTGGTGAGACAGAGCTGGAGGCTGGGTTGCTGCTGTGCGGGTTAAACTGGACGTTGCTCCGTGTGGGGGGTTAAATATGTGCTGGCGTTGTGTAGAAAGAAATTGATCACCATGATGGCTCTTATAGGATCAAAGGCAATTTGCAAGCTCACAGCTTTTGCAGAATGTGAACCTGGGCCAAGTTGCAGAGTATTTTTGATGTCACACTGCGGCCTCCTGGGTAATGGCAGAGGGAGGGTGGGCTCCTGCCAGCTGTGTGTGCTGCATCGCCAGGCACTCCCGTCGCCCCCACGGGATTGTAGGCAAGAGGAGCCACAGCTGAAGCTCATGCTGAGAAACAGGGCCCTTTGTCTCAGACCCACGAGTCTCGTGTCTTCTGGGGCATCCATGATACCACGGGCTCACCTGTGGGCAGGCAGCCAGTCATGACACCCATGTCCCCTGCCAGCGGAAGTGTACACATTGTCCTGGAACAAGCTCTGGACCACAGGACCTCAGCAGACACATTCTGGGGGCTTCTGAGAAGGGTTTTCCTCCCAAGGAGAGGGAGGCACCCAAGGAGGAGCCGTCCCTCCTTCCCTCACGCGGATGACATTTTGAGACAATGTGATGCTCGCTGCTGTTGTGGCTCCATCACCAACCCCCCCAGATGGTGAAGAAAGATGGGCTGAGCCTGGGTCCTCCATGGCCAGGTGACCCTGGAAGGGCTCACCTCAAACTTCCACAGAGTGACCTGACAGTGTCTTCACAGCTACAATCTGCCATGTCCTTCACAATTAGAAAAGAGCTCACTCTCATTCATCTAGGGGAGGCGACTGGGCTGGGGCTTTCTTGATGCAGCTTCAGCAGCACCTGAATTCCTGGTGGCGGTGGAGCTATGGTGGGGCATGCACGCTGCATGGATTCCTGGTGGCCGCAGGGCAGGGAGGTCTCTGCTGGTGTA